>NC_000011.10:8847878-9150909 GCF_000001405.40 Homo sapiens | reverse complement strand
ATAAATATTTATGAAACAATCAATTAAAGTGTTACCAGTGTAACCACCTGTTTCCCATAGCAATTTGTGATTTAAGGTAAGGGAAGGGCAGTCAGCTATTTGGATATTCAGATCTCTTTGGACATGACCAACTTGTTTATTCTAGGAATACTTCTTGATTCAGAACGTAGGAAGTCTGATGCCAGCTCACTCATGCCTCCCCTGAGGATCTCCCTGATTCAGGATATGAGGTCAGTATGGGCTCACATGTAATAAGCCACTAAAATCCTGTTTTCAGTTGCTGCTTAGGTGTCCACTTTTAGTAACAAGGTCTCAGTGGCTGCTACAGCATCTCAGCTAACATGGAAGCCCTCCTAATCACAAAGCCTTGTGTTTCATAATACATTTGTAAAGCTGTACAAACCGTTGGGTTTCCTGGCATTTTTGGAGGTGAGGGAGCATAGGAGAGTATCTCAGGCCCTAAGGGCTCAGAGTTAGCCTGGCTTTTTAAGGGCTGTACTGTCTTTTTTCCTCCCAAAATATGGTGAGCCTATCTGGTAAAGCTACATGGAAGCCCAGTATTTGGAGAATATAGAGATAGGCTCTCCCAGGGTGAGATAAGTCTGTCTCAGCAGGTCTCCTTTGGCTTTACAGGTAAGTTATTGGCAGTGAGTTCATCTCCCATCCCACCCTCCACTTCCTTTTTACATTCTTCCTCCAGGCACATCCAGAACATCGGGGAAATCAAGACTGATGTGGGAAAGGCCAGAGCATGGGTGCGACTGTCCATGGAAAAAAAGTTACTTTCCAGACACCTGAAGCAGCTCCTCTCAGACCATGAGCTCACCAAGTAAGGCTGCTCCGCCAGGAGTAGAAGCAGGCTCCCAGGAATGGAGGGAAGAGATTGGAAACTTGTGTGGGAAGGGGGAGTATTCAGTGTGACATTGCTGCTGCATTCAGCTAACCTCTTTGCTTATGAAGGTTTTGCAGTATTTCCTCTTCTCCCTTTTTATCAGTAGAAGAATACTTCCGCTATATTGGTTCTCCCTGTCTTCTCAACCTGCATGCCCAAAACTAGCTTTCTTGGAGAGGTAGTGGGAAGGATGAGGTCTTCCTCTCCTTCCTGTATTCAGGTGACATGTATACCTCTTGGACATAAGGCGTTTCCTTTGTCTCTTTCCTGTTCTGGGGAGCAAAGGATTGGAGAATTAAAAGGAAACTTCTGAGATGTCCTCTTCTCTCTCTTGTTCAACACATCATACCCCTCACCCCTCTCGGGATGTCTGTAGCCTTTTCTTGTCTGTACTTCTGCATGACCCTAGTCCCTGTCCACACTCTACCTGGTAAACTTCTTCAGGGCTCAGTTTTCTTTCCCAGAGTTTTCCTGGACTCCCCAGAAACGTGGTTCATCCCTCTTCCAGGCATGCATAACATTTGTTAGAATATTTGTTCATCCCCTTTTCACCATGATGTGTTGTATTATCATTGTCTATTTGCTTGCTACTTACTGAAGTTTGCTTTCATTGAAGGCATAAACCTGTCCCTTTCCCAAGGCTGAGCATGTTGCTTGGCATCCACTAGGGATTCAGCCAGCCCACATAAAAGGTATGCTTAGCTGCACAGACAGGAGGTGGACAGTCTATGAAGAGTATATCTTGATAGAATGTCCCTCAGTCTCTGGGATTTCCAGCTAGCCCCCAAGACTGTTTGTAGCTTGGAGATGGGATAAGGTGGAGGCAGGGTTGTATATTCATGGGGGCTGTGTATTCATGGGACCCACTGAATTCTAAATTCCAAAGGAAGAAATGAGTTAGCTCCCATATAGGGAGCCTAAACTCTTTCTCCTTAACTTGTCTGCAGTGACTAATACCATGTAGTGCCCCCTTTACCTTGAAACTCACTTTATGTGGCTGCCATGACCTTATACCATCTTGTTCTCTTTCTCCGCTTACTCTTTGCACAGTGTTGGCTTTCACCATCTTCAATTCTTTGCATGCACACAGTTTCTTTGTTGCTTTCTCGCTTGCTCTCTTACTTGGTGATCTCACCCAATTCTCATGACTTCTCTCACCTCTAAGCAGGAGATGCCCACATCTGAAGTTCTAGCCCTGACATGTCTTTTAAACTCCACTCCTGCATTTATTTCCATTCTGATATTCTATCTTTAGCTCAGAGAGAACAAAAGCAAGCTTCACAGAGTCTTCACCATAACTACTTTACTCTCAGATTTTTTGTTAATGTCACCACTGTGCTCTCTGAAAAGCTTACCCCCACTTCTTCTCCGTACCTACACTGAAAATTTGGAGTCAGTTTTGACTCCTTGCTTTGCTTTATCTCCCACATACAGGTTTCAGGTTCTTCACCTCTGTCCCACCTGTCTCCTTACCATTTTTACTGCACAGACTTAGTTTAATCCTCATTTCCCTTTCACTTCTCACCTGCACTAAATTTAAATTTCCTGAAGTTGGTCATGGCTGTCTCTTTTTCTAGGGCAAATTGCAGAAACCCCTTACTTACTGGGCAGATTGCAAACTCCTTAGTTTAAAATTTTAGGACCTTCCTTCATTTGAATAGCCTTTTTTTTTTTTCATTTGACACCTTTGGTACAGTAGCTTAACTTCTTAGTCTCATTGCTAACTGATCACTTCCCTGAACCCTCAACTCCAGCCAAACTGGTTTCCAAACCTGTCTGTACAACAGTTGTCTAAATTTCTGCTGCCCTTCAGGTCCCTCTTGTTCTAGAAGGCCTTCCAGGACCACTGAAGCGTATGGCTCTTTAAATTCCCAGAAACAGCCTTTTGTTTGATTATTCATTGTGAGCAGTCCTATACCATGGCCTTTACCTGATTTATTCACTTAGACTGCATTTGAGGATAGGCGCTTTCCTCTCCAGCACCTGGACATAACAGGCCTGGGTTGATAAATTATCTGTTGAAAGTGCCTTGTAAACCTGGCTAGGTAGAACCTCACAGTTCTGAATTCTGTACCCGTCTGGCCATGGTGATTGCAGCTTGGACAACCAGGACAGTTGTCTTCTTTTGTTCTTTGTGTTGAAGGCCTGTACATTTGGCTCTGGGTGTCTCCTCTATTTGGGGGAAGATATCATTGCTTTGAAGCTGCGGAGGGCCTGGAATGTCAGGCAAAGGAGTTGACCTCTGATGAATAGGCAGTGAAAATGAAGGGAGAAAGTTTGAAAAAAGGGGAAGGATATGATCTGCATGGCTCTTCCTTGCCTGTGACCTGGATCAGAGGCGGGAGCAGAAGCCTGCCCTTTCTCGCCTCTGAATCTGTCCTAGGCTTATACCCCCATTCAGAGCAGTGTTCTGACTTGTGGCTCTCAGATCTACTCAGGGTTCGAAACTAGGCCTGGTGATGAATGGTGACCACAGACCTTCATCCACTGCCACTCACACACCATACACTAGCTGACAGCCTAGCTAGAAGCCTGAGAAGACCTGTGTCATCCTTGATGGAATTTCATTCCAGCCCTCAGTTTAGAAAAGGAGATTTCATGACTTCTGACACTTGATATTATAGTAACATCAACATACCTTGGACACAGGCAGTATTTGATTTTTGTTGTTCCTGCTGTAGCTTAAACCGTTGTCCCTCTGTCCCTTAGTTAGAGTAGCTAGCTTTGTTCCTTTATAGGGTGAACCTAAGGAACTTGAAGCTTGACATCTTATGCTTCCCTTAGCTGTCTCCTTCCAGAACTGAAAATTCTAGTTTCTTTCCCTTCCTTTTGGTCGGAGACTGATGTATTACCTCCTCTCCAACAGAAAGTTATATAAGCGCTATGCCTTCCTGCGCTGTGATGACGAGAAGGAGCAGTTCCTCTATCACCTCCTGTCTTTCAATGCCGTCGATTACTTTTGCTTCACCAATGTCTTCACAACTATCCGTGAGTAGCCCTGTGCTCCCAGCTGGCCTTCTCAAGGCAGTCTTTATGAACCTGCCTGAGACTCACTCATTGTCCCCTTTTTAAAGAAAGAAGATTATCCCTTGTACTTTCTATTTGTCTTTTGCCTCTGTGGGGAGAGAGGTGCACTTGCCCTCCTTGGAGGCTGTGTTTTCTCTGAAGTTTCTCATTCTTGTTCTGAACTGGAGAGCTCAGTCTTTTTTGCCATTGTGTTGTCGGTGTTGTCCTAGGCACTGCTCTGGGAGCCTAAGCTGATGAAGGTGGAGTGGAGTCAGTTGAGCTGATGCAGTTTACCTCCCTCCCTGCATACCCACAAAGAATCTCCCTTTTGTTTTCGCCTGAGAGGCTCACTTGGCATCACAGAATGTTTCAAACCAGGCTGAAGGGAAAAAGAGCTCTTTTCTGAGGTAGCAGAAAGAACTCCAGATACCAGTGGGAGATTTCATTCTGGGCTCAGCTTTGGCTAACTCATTATGTGTCTGTGAGCAGAGTCTATCCTGCTGTGAGTCCCAGTCTCTCTATTTACAGAAGAGGGAAGAGGGTTCAATATGGTCTAATTCCCTTTGAGCCTCTTCTTTCCCTGATGCCAGGATTCTCTACTGGGTGGAGGGTAGTCTCTGAGTTTGCCACATGGCTAGTTCTTTGGCCAGTTACTCAGCAGCATGGACTCTTGTTTCTGTCTGATGCTGCATCTTCCCTTTTAGAGACTAGGGCTGTGGGCTTAATAGAAGTAGCCCTGGACTGGAATTTAGAAGACCCGAGGCAAACTTTCTTTCTCTGTGCCTTGGAAAAAGGATTGCAATACTTCCTCTCCAAAGATTATGATTGTTATTAGGGTTCATGAGATGATAGATTGAAGAGTGCTCTAAAAAGCAGTTCAGTACAATGTTAGGAGTTGGGGATATTGTTTAACGAACAGGTTCATTTAGTTCTGAGCCTACAGATAGGCTTGGATCTTTGATGTTTGGGTGGTAAGCCTGAGAGGAGTGAAATTGAGGAGGGGCCATGGGGTAGCTGGCTAATATTCTACATTAGCCAGGGACTAGGTCCTGGGGCCCTCTTGTTCCAGGGCTCTGCTTGAGCTGAGATAGCAGGAGCCACAGTTGTGCCAGCCTTCCTGGAGCAGGTCAGAGTCCCATCTGGTATGGGAAAGATTCCTAATTCTCCTCAATACTTTTGTGGCTTCCCCTAAACAGTGATCCCGTACCACATTCTGATCGTACCAAGCAAGAAGCTGGGGGGCTCCATGTTCACTGCCAACCCATGGATCTGTATATCAGGAGAATTGGGTGAGACACAGATCATGCAGATTCCCAGGAATGTGCTAGAGATGACCTTCGAGGTATGTGTTATTTGGGGCCACAGCTCTGTGGGGATCTGAGTTTGCAACAGCCGCTTTGGGGAGTTTTCTGCAGGGTTTTTCAGAGGGCTTGCTATGTACAGTGTAATGCTTCAGCATAGCTGACCTTCCTGAGATGATCTGAGGCTGGATCCAAAGACTGACCCTGAGGAGGGGGACCCCACCCTGTCTAAACAATGTTTGGAAGGCACTTACTTGTCTGGACATGCACATCTCTCCATGCATAGTGTGTTGAGAAGTCCCCAGGAGTTCTTTCAGCTACTCAGCCCACCTGTTCCCAGAGACCTCAGAACCCACTTCCAGAATCTCTTGCTCCCTGACCCTGTTCTTCTAGGTAGAGTGTTTTCTTTCTCAGCCTTGGGCACCCCCATGAGATAGTGCTGTACCGCAGTTCTGGCGGTATGTAGAGCCATGACCTCTAAGCCTGCAGATGCTGAGGGGTCAGGTTGCAGGCAGCCAGTCAGATCTGTGCCTCCGAGAACTACTGTTCTTTTCTCTGATTTTCCTGACCTACCTCATCTTCTCTATTCTCTAATAGTGCCAGAACTTGGGGAAGCTTACTACTGTCCAGATTGGCCATGATAACTCTGGGCTGTATGCCAAATGGCTGGTGGAGTATGTGATGGTCAGGAATGAGATCACAGGACATACCTACAAGTAAGTATACCCTCAGGCTGTAAGGTAGAGGGGCAAGGTGTATCTACAGGAGCTCTTCGATGCTTGGGTATGTGGAGTTCCCAAGGAGACCCTTTAGGTTGTGATAACCTGAGGCAACTTCCTGTTTGGCTCTGCCTCATACACTTGAAAGTAAGTAGAAGGAGGGTTTCTTCTGTTGTTTCTTTTTCTTTCTTTTTTTTTTTTTTGAGACGGAGTCTTGCTCTGTCACCTAGGCTGGAGTGCAGTGGCGTGATCTTGGCTCACTGCAGCCTGTGCCTCCTGGGCTGAGGCGATTCTCCTGCCTCAGCTCCCCGAGTAGCTGGGATGATAGGCATGCACCACCACGCCCAGCTAATTTTGTGTTTTTAGTAGAGACAGGTTTCGCCATATTGACCAGGCTGGTCTTGAACTCCTGACCGCAGGTGATCCGGCCGCCTCGGCCTCCCAAAGTGCTGGGATTACAGGCATGAGCCATCAGGCCCAGCCAGAAGGAGGGTTTCTAGGTGAAGATGTGTGGAATTGCTGTGCCCAGATCCCAGGCCACCTATGCCACTCAGGGTGATTCTCTGATGATACATGGTGGAACCAGCAGAGCATTGAAGGAGTCTCTATCCTGGTTTCAGAGCCTATCTCCAGGGATTGGCTTTGTTGATGGCTCTTCCTGTGAGCAGCAGGGAGGAGCTGGCTGCTCTGACAGTCCATTGTCTGATCTTCAGGTTCCCGTGTGGCCGGTGGTTAGGGAAGGGCATGGATGATGGAAGCCTGGAGCGGATCCTAGTTGGGGAGCTGCTCACATCCCAGCCTGAGGTGGATGAGAGGCCATGCCGGACCCCGCCGCTGCAGCAGTCCCCCAGTGTCATCCGGAGGCTTGTTACCATCTCACCCAACAACAAGCCCAGTAAGTGGGAGGAGGGGTTGGGCCCTCATGCCATACAGTCTAGGGAATGGGTGGATCTCTGTGAGCCCTGATAATGGGAACCTGGGTCCCAGCCTGTGCAGCTGCCTCAGGAAACACTTCTGCTAACAAAGCCACCTCACACATATGGCACCCTTCTCTTATGAATCACTGAGAGCATTTGGCACTCTCCTTAGAGGGCTGGCAGGAGAGGAGAGAACTCATGCTGCCAAACCTGGGCGCTGTATATATTCATGCATGATCCATTAAAGGAGAGGGGCCTACTTTCTGGACTCCCCCTGCCTGATTCCTGGGCTTCACAGCCAAGGCTTGGCTCTCTTTTGGTTACCCACAATTCCAAGGTAAAATGGAAACTAAACTTTACCAGCATTTCTTAGAGATAGAACTCTAAGGTGTTAGCTTTTGTGTTTTTCCCCCAAGATTTGCGGAAGAGCTAAATCAGCAAAGCTGGGTGGGCAAGCGCCTCTGCTTCCTAGGGTCCAGCTGCCCTGCCTCTCCTATGGGCCCTCCCCGTGTCCTCAGTCTCCTGCTCAGGCAGCTAAGCACTGTTAGCCTCAGAGATTGGTTAGGGATGTCTGCTTGATTTTTATTAGAGCTGAACACTGGGCAGATCCAGGAGTCCATCGGGGAGGCAGTCAATGGCATTGTGAAGCACTTCCATAAGCCTGAGAAAGAGGTGAGCCTTCCTGCCCTCCAATCCAGGGCCTTACATTGAATAAGAGAGAATAATTTTGTTTTTCCGATTATCTTGTTATGCTCTTCCAGGCCCATGTGCTGTGGACACCCTAGAGTCTTGTAGAGTGTGTGCCTCAGCTAGTTGGAGATGGAGCAGACTCCTTCCTCTGGGGGCCTTTGCCTCAGGTTACCCTGTTTTCCCTCCATACTGATGACCCAATAGAGTCCCTGGGCCCCTAGTGAACAGTGCCTATTCCTGTCCTCTTCTAGATTTGCCTGGGTCTCCTTGAATAGTGGCCACACTGGCTTTGTCCTCCAGTGGAGAATCTCCTTGTGTGTGACCCAGATCCATCATCTCTTCTTTCATCCATTTATTCAGCAGCTCTTCACTGGGAGCTGCTCTGAGCCAGGCACTGTGCCAGGTGTTAGGGAAACAGACAAAGTCCTAGCCTGTCTTTTGCAGCCCTCCCAACTCTGGGCTGTGGGTTTAGGGATGCAATGGTGGGAGGGCAGCTCGGCTGAGACAAGCCTGGCACCCTCCCCTGTTTCCTTACGTAGCGAGGCAGTCTGACGCTGTTGCTCTGTGGAGAGTGTGGCCTTGTCTCGGCCTTGGAACAGGCTTTCCAGCATGGATTTAAATCGCCCCGGCTCTTCAAAAATGTCTTCATTTGGGATTTCCTGGGTGAGTTGAGCTGGAGTATGAGGGTGGGAGAAGCATGTAGAGATATAAGGGGACTCACCAGCATAGCATGGGTGCTGACCACTCTGAGAGGCAGAACCCAAATTAGGTGACTCTCAGATCTCATTTGTTTGCTCTGGTTTTTCTTGAAGGGAGTGACAAGAGCTCTCCTCCCCGTCCTTGGTAAATGCTTACCTCTTGAGAATTGCACAGAAAAGATTCTTCTAGACATCTGTTATTTAGTATGGACTTAGTCCTGAGTCCTCACACTTTCCCCTTATAGATCCCAAAGTCCAGTTGAGCGTATTGGAGCCCCAAGCCCTGTGTTGCACCCATATGGAGAATTTTCATGCAAGAAACCATCCTCAGAATTTTTTGTGTCTTCAGACTAGGGAAAAGAACATCTTTATATCAAGGGCCACATACATAAATTTAAAAAATAAGGATAGGGAAGCTAAGGATCATTTTGAAACATGACCAGTGACATCAGAACACTTGTGCTATTCTCATTAAGTTACCTGTGTGGACTTGGAGAGGCCCATGGCAAGTGGCCTGTAGGACCGTCAGGGTTGGTGTTGAGAGCCTTTTCACTGGCAAGCTTTTCTACTCTTCACAGAAAAAGCACAAACCTATTATGAGACATTAGAGAAGAATGAAGTAGTCCCTGAGGAAAACTGGCATACAAGAGCCCGGAACTTCTGCCGATTTGTCACTGCAATCAACAATACTCCCCGGAACATCGGCAAGGATGGCAAGTTTCAGATGCTGGTGTGCTTGGGAGCCAGGTACTGCAGACCCAGGGCCCAGAGTGCACAGCGGTTAGCCTTGGTGGTGGTGTTGGAGGCCTGGTGCAGTGCAGGGGTGAGGAATGGCTCATCAGGTGCCCTTAGGGAGATGAGGCCTTAGAAGGTTTCCTAGAAGCCCTGAATTTCCTCTGTGTATCGTGTATGGTCACACACTGCATAAAATGTGCTGCGTAACAACATTTGTCAGTGACGGACTGTTTATGGGATGATGGTCCTATAAGATTATACTCTGTTTTTACTGTACCTTTTATAGGTTGAGATGTTTAGGTACCCAAATACTTACCATTGTGTTTTAGTTGCCTACGGTATTCAGCACAGTATTCCTTCATTTTTATTCTTCAGGCTGCTGTGGCAGGAAGCTCCAGGAGAAGTGTAGAAGAGCAGGCCTGGGGGCTGGTGACAGGGCTGTACCGATTTGTAGCTTAGGAGCAACAGGCTAGACATATAGTAGGCTCTACCATCTAGGTTTGTATGAGAACCCTATAAAGTTCGCATGGTGACGAAACTGTCTAATGACACATTTCTCAGACTGTATCCCTGTCATTAAGCAACACGTGACTTATGTGTGTGGTGATCTGTCGGGGTAGGGATGACAACGTGTATGTAACTCGGGGCAGAGGGGCCCCATTTTGAAAGGAAAGATCAAAATCACACCACTGGGGAAGTTTGAAGCAGAGTATATCTAGTTATTCCTTCATTAGACATTTAAATGGCCTTATGGAAGTTGGTAGGAAGACAGCTGAATAAAACGTGGCCCCTTACCATTTATTTATTTATTTATTTATTTATTTTGAGATGGAGTTTCGCTCTTGTTGCCCAGGCTGGAGTGCAATGGTGTGATCTCGGCTCACCACAACCTCCGCCTCCTGGGTTCAAGTGAGTCTCCTGCCTCAGCCTCCCGAGTAGCTGGGATTACAGGCATGCGCCATCACGCCTGGCTAGTTTTGTATTGTTAGTAGAGACGGGGTTTCTCCATGTTGGTCAGGCTGGTCTTGAACTCCTGACCTCAGGTGATCTGCCTTCCTTGGCCTCCCAAAGTGCTGAAATTACAGGCGTGAGCCACCATGCCTGGCCAACATTTAGAAGCTTACTTGTCCTAATTAAATACAGAGCATGGAAGAAGGTTTTGAGGGTCCAAAAATGAAGTGTACATTCATACAATATGCTGAAAAGGTAGAGGAGAAAGATCAGAGAAGACTTCAGGGAGGAGTTGGTATTTAAGTGAGCCTTTAATGGAAGGAAATAACAGAACGTGGCAAGGGCAGTAATAGGAAACACAGTTGAAAGGAGGGTAGGGCCCCTGAGCTGGGACAGAGAAAGATTCTTTTCATATTAGTACAAAGTTGTTTCATCAGGGGACTGAAGTAATATTAATCTGATATTATGGGTGGTATGCATTAGAGTGGACATGATTATTAGGGGCTATTCCTGTAGGTCAGGTGAGAGAGCATGAAGCTCAAATAAACTTAAGGCAGTTTATTCAGGCTGCATAAAGGGAGAGAATTGGCATAGTGGTTAAAAACAGACTCCAGAACCGCATTCACTAGGTTCAGATCTCAAGTTATCCATTTACTAGCCATGTGATCTTGGACAAGCTACTTAACTTCCATCTACCCTACTTTCTTCATCTATAAAGTGGGGATAATAATAGTACCTACCTCATATCACAGGGTTATCATGAAGATTAAATCTCTTATGTCAGTGCCAGCACATGCTGAGTGTTATGTGAGGTTAGTGCTTATTATTATTCCTGGTGGTGGTAGCTGTGGGAGGAGAGAAGCTCTGGGAGACACCAGTGGTGGGGCTGACTAGGCAGGGCGAGGGAGGCAGGGGAGGAGGAGGCTTGGAGGCTCATGACAGGGCTGATTTGGGTCAGGTTTGTTTGGTGTCCTGGAGCTGAAAGACCTCTTTGCCAGTCCCTGTTTGGGAAAGGGGGGTGTGGGGGGCTGTCAGCTTCTCCAGCTTCAGACTTAGTTCATGGTTTCCCCCTTGGCCTTGCACTAACGCTCTCTCTTCCTTTTCCTTTGCCCCTCTGACCTGCCTGGACTGCTCCCGCTCTGCCAGAGATCACCTCCTACACCACTGGATTGCCCTGCTGGCTGACTGCCCCATCACTGCACACATGTATGAGGATGTGGCACTGATCAAAGACCATACACTTGTCAATTCCTTGATTCGTGTGCTGCAGACATTGCAGGAGTTCAACATCACGCTGGAGACGTCCCTTGTCAAGGGCATCGACATCTGACCTCCCAGCACCAGCCAGCAGCAGGACTGAGAAAGACTCACCCTGCAGCTCTGACCTTTTTTCCCAAAGGGACTTAAGCGATTGTGCAGGAGTAGGAGACAAAATGTACACTCACTGTAAAAAGAAAACTAGAGGATTTTTGGAATAAATAATCTATTTTAGAGTTTATTTGCTGATTTGCTTTTTACACACTTTCATGTGAAAGAGTGATAGGGAGAGGGAGCGAGGCTGGTGCCGCTTATTTTGAAGCTGGTGCCCTCCCTCGCCGTGGCCACATGCTGGAAGCCTGAGGCCTCCCTGGACTGAGCCTGTGGCACTGCGTGCGGGACAGTTATGTTTCCTTGCCCCGTCGCATTAATGAGGCCCTTCCACATCATTTTTAAACTAATGTTTTTCTATATTAACATTATTATGGATATTTGGCTTTCATAGGCCACACACAGGTGTGCTGCGCGGGAAGCCCCATGCTCCAATCAAAGGGATTTTTAGTAGTGCCTCTAAGCAAGCACCGATGAGTCAGTCCCACGTATTTTCTTTTTTGTCAGTATTGTTTGGGAAGGAGACATGCCGGGATGTGTCATCGTGCCAAATACCACATTTCCTGTTGGCACAGTTTCACAGAAGTAAACATAAGCATGTTTTAACAGGTTTTTCTTTTCTTTTTTCTTTTTTAAAATGTTTTATTTATTTAACCCGCCATTGTGTGTTTTTAAGTATTTTCTTTTTTTAAGGAAAGGAAAAGCTTGTCACAATCTAACTGGCTATGTTATTATTATTAAATTTATGTTTTGCAACTTAGAAACCAGCTACAGTATGGCCCACTTAATAAAACACCTGAAACAAAAACTGCATGGATCACTGATTTTTATGGAGGTTTATGAGCAGTGGGTGGCTGCGGGTGCAGTTGGGTCCATCTGTGAGGATGGTCTTGTGGCATCACCTCTCTTTACCAGCAGGCTCGGGGTTGTGGCCTGCCCAGGATGCCCCTGAGGGCCTGGGGTCTCCTGGGTCCTTCTGCCCGCAGTGCTAGGAGCCTTCCTAGCTGTTATGTGGCTGATTCACATGGATGCAGACAGGGTTCTTTCCCCACTCCACAGAGGAGGAGACTGAGACACAGGAGGGAAAAGACCCGGCCAGGGGTGCAGAGGTTGTCACTTGACTGAGACAGGATGGGCCCTTTCTTGAGAGGGTAAGGGAGACCAGGTGTGGGAAGCTGGGGGTCGGGGGAAGCTCTTGAAAGAAAGGTTTGCTTTCCTGGGGATGGCAGGTGGGAGACCTTTATGAGAGGTCCAGCTTCGTTCATTTTTATTCTTCAGGCTGCTTTGGCAGGAAGCTCCAGAAGAAGTGTAACGTGATCAAGTCAGGCACCTCAGACCAATCAGTGCCCTCTTTTATGCTTTCCTGGTTTGCATGCATTTTCCCTTTGCCTGGAATGCCTCCCCTTCACCCACTTTGTGTTTGTTGTACAGGGTTTACTTTAGCAGTCACCTGCTGTGAAGTGTCCCCAATCTCCCTAGGCAGTTAATCATTCCATCCTTGTGCTCCTTCATTTTCTTAGATGCTGGCATCTCCTCTCTGGATTGTCATTGCCTGCTTTCGTGTCAGGCTCAGCCCTTGCACCGTGAGCTCCCAGAGGGAAAAGGGGGATCTCTTGCCTGTCTCCATCCCCTGGGCCTGGCAGGTGGTAAATGCTTCTGAAGAGATGAGGAGAGGGCCCAGAGAGCTGCAGCGCAGCGTCCTGCCTGCAGAGGGGGTGAGAGGCCACACTGCAGCCGTCTGCCTGGAGCCCACGGACAGAGCTTTAGTTCTCTCGGAGAAGGCCGAGGAAAGGGGAAGGAAGGTAGGCAGTACCTCTGGAGCAGGAAGTGGGATTCTTGGCTGGGCAAGAAGGGCAGCATGGAACTCAGCTGTATGTGTTTATATTGTGGGCCTAGGCCTGAGCTTACCTTAAGGCAGGTGCTGGGACCAACTATTTCCTTGCTCTTTGTAACAGCTGATCCTACTCACTTTCTACTGTGTTTTGTTTTGTAATCTTCTGCAAATCTGTTTTGGAATGATGTGTGATATAAGAGAACAGACCTGTTTAGTAGCTCAAGATTTCAAGGACATTTGAGTCAACTGCGTTCTTCCGTGTAGGGCCCAGCCAGGCCTCTCCAGTGGTCCTGGGTAAATCAGGTGTGTTTGGTTCACTCAGCAAGCAGCCCTGCCTGCCTCAGCTTCTGCACCTGCTCTACTTCAGGGCTTCCCAGGCTGTGATTTCAGGGACTGGTAAATAAACAAGCAAGCAAAGGAACTCAGGGAATTACTATAAAGCAAGCACCCTTATAATCACCACTCAGGTCAAGAATAGAACTTTGCCAGCCCCCCAGGGTCCTCCATGTTCCCCCTTCCCCATCACAGTCCCAGCACCTCCCTTCTTCCATCTTAACTTTTATAAGTAATAATTTCGTTGAGTTTCTTTATTGTTTTGTCACCCAGATGTGCATCCCTACATGCTATAGTCTTACTGTCCTTTTAAAAAAACTTGATACATCTTTTAAGTCTCTTTTAATCTAAAGGGTCCCCTCCATCCCTTTCCTTTTCTTACAAATTGTTGAAGATTTTAAGCCATTTGATCTGTAGATTTTCACAGCCTGGGTTTTTGCTCATTTCATGCCCGTGGTGCAGTTCAATATACTCCTTTATCCTCAGCATTTCCTGCAGATCAGCAGCTAGATCTAGACAATTTGCCTCAGGTTGATCCCTTTGATAAGACTCTAGGTAGTGGTGTGCTCATTTAGCAAGAAGCACGTAACATCTGTTTTTCACTTTTGTTATGTTAGCAGCCACTGATGCTCAATGCCTACATCCAGCAAGTAATTCACTGGGGATTGCAGCATGGGGATATTCTAATCTATCATTTTCTCTTCATTTATTAGATGGAATAATTTTATAAGGAGACATTGTCTCTCATCTACTGTTTGATTTCCCAGTAGAGTTTGTGTGGGAAAGGCAGATAAGTGCTTAATTCTTTCCTTTTATTTACCCAACTTTTAAGATATGAACTGGTTCTTTGTTATCCTCAGAAGGTGACTATTTTTTAAACAATATTATGAACTCATGAGTTTAGATGTATTTGATAGGCTTCATCTCATTGCAATTATTATCTTTATTGTCCTGCCTTTGGCCTTTGGGAGCCTCTTTAAGTTGGTTCCTGAGTTGTTCTGACACAACTCTAGTTGTCTTTGATATCTGCTTTGTTTTCTGGTATTGCAAGATGTTCTAGGCTCACTTTATTCATTTTCTGTCCTAGACTTGGAATCAGTCATTTCTCCAAAAAGCCCTGGTTTCCTTAAGTGGGAAATGGTATTGCAAGACCATAATTGGACACTAGAAATTCTCATTGTTACTGGTAGATCATTGGTTCTAGGCCTATTCAGTAGACAGAGCTTTGATTATATTTAAATATAACATTTTTATACATTTAATATAGACATCTAGAAACATATATAGTAAATATGTATTTTTAAAGATAGTGAAGGTCTTGGAATTATATATGTTAAATGCATATATAAATATGTATGTATACATGAGTGTGTATACACACATGCATCTATGGTACCCCATGATTTTACAGTGTTCTTTCTGATTCCAATTCAGGATTATAGGGTGCCTTTGTCCATTTAATGCGGCTACAAAGGAATACCTGAGGCTGGGTAATTCTTAAAGAAAAGAGGCTTAGTTGGCTCATCGTTCTGCAGGCTTTACAGGAAGCATGATGCTGGTACCTGCATCTAGTGAGGGTCTCAAGCTGCTTCCACACATGGTGGAAGAGGAAGGGTGTGCAGAATCACATAGCAAGAGAGGGGTGAGAGAGACGAAGGAGGCTGGGCTCAGTGGCTCACACCTGTATTCTCAGCACTTTGGGAGGACGAGGTGGATGGATCACTTGAGGTCAGGACTTCAAGACCAGCCTGGTCAGCGTGGCGAAACTGACTATGAGATTTGGAGGGATCAAACCAAACTATAACATACTTTTACTTTTTTTTTTTTTTTTTGGAGATAGGGTCTCACTCTGTTGGCCAGGCTGAAGCACAGTGGCACGATCATGGCTCACACAGCCTTGACTTCCCAGGCTCAAGTGATCCTGCCTCAGCCTCCTGAGTAGCTGGGACTACAGGTGTGCACCACCACAACCAACTAATTTTTAAATTTTTTGTGGAGACAGGGTCTCACTACATTGCCCAGGCTGGTCTTGAACTCCTGGGCTCAAGCAGTCCTCCTGCCTGGCTTCCCAAAGTGTTGGGATTACAGGCATGAGCCACCATGCCTGGCTTAACTTCTTATATATTACATCTGTATCTCTTTTTTCCATAATGAGAACCCTAGGTTTGAAGGGCAGAGAAATTGGTAGAATAAGAAGATCCCCTAATTAACCATTTGCTTTATCCCACATTATAAACACAGCCATCTCAGAATAACAATACTAATGCTTCTACTACCAATTATGATCATGGAAAACAGTTAAACTTTTTTTGGTATGTTATTCCCATCCTTCCCCCTCAAGCCTGGCCCACCCCGCTGCCCCACCCTTTTCTTTGAGACAGGGTCTCACTCTGTCACCCAGGCTGGAGTGCAGTGGCACAATCTTGGCTCACTGCAGCCTCAACTTCCCAGGCTCAAGCAATCCTCCCACCTCAGCCTGAGTAGCTGAGACTACAGGTGCACACCACCATGCACAGCTAATTTTTGTATTTTTTGTAGAGACGGGGTTTTGCCATGTTGCCCAGGCTGGTCTTGAACTCTTGGGCTCAAGCAATCTGCCCACCTCAGTCTCCCAAAGTGTTGGGACTACAGGCGTTAGCCACTGCACCCGGCCAAGCCCTTATGTTTTATTTTTATGTATTTATCTGTGGCTCGCTGCAACCTCCACCTCCCAGGTTCAAACAATTCTCCTGCCTCAGCCTCTTGAGTAGCTGGGACTACAGGTGCGTGCCACTACTCCCGGCTAATTTTTTGTATTTTTAGTAGAGACAGGGTTTCACCATGTTACCAGGATAGTCTCAATCTCCTGACCTCGTGATCCACCCGCCTTGGCCTCCCAAAGTGTTGAGATTACAGGCGTGAGCCACCTTGCCCGGCTAGCCCCTATGTTTTAGTAGAGGTACTCTATCTTTGAGAGATCATATATTATTTCTGTCAACTTGGGTTTTTTTGAGAAGCAGATGCCAAGACAAAGGAAACACCTGTGAGGGCTAAAGAGCAAGGGAGCAAGAGTAGGCAGGGAGAGGCTTTAGATCCAGGGGCCAGGCTGACCCCTGGGAGAGGACAGAGGGAGGAAGGACTGGGAAGGAAGTCTTAGACCATAGACCAGCTCTGAGAAGAATCTCAGTGAAGTTGATGGGGAGTCCCTGGCAAAAAGCTGCTCATGAGAGGAGTCCACTTTGGGCAAGACTGGGCACACCAGTAATCCTGTTGTGCTCAGTTGTTGTCTAGAAGCAGAGCCTAGAGGAAGTGTGGCTTCTGCATTCACAGGGGAAGCAGCTGGGGGCTGCCATTAATTATGACTCCTCTGGGCACTTTGTCAGGTTTTCTTGAAGGAGACTTGAGTGATGCAGCTCCACAACCTGCACAGTCTGCCCCTTATACTGCACAGATCCTCTTTTCCACAATGCACCCATGTTTCTTTCCATGGTTTCCCGACGGGAAACCTAGAAGAGGGAGCTTTGGGGAACAAATTACAATCACCATTGATGAAGTTAGTCTTGGGGCCATGGTTGGTACTTACCTTCTCCCTTCTGCGCTATCCTAAGTTCCCATCACCTTCAGCTATCACTTCAGTGGGGCTTGGCTTGCTTAGTGGTATAACCCCAACCTTCATTCCTGAGAGGTCCAAGCCCTTGGTCATCATACTCTTCTTGACCAGGGTTGCTGCAAATGTCCACTTAGAGTTACAACTGGACAAGGGAGTACCAAGAGATACCCAAATGGATCATTTGGGCTTCACATTATTTTAGCCCCTACTGATGTATAAAAACAGCGCGACCACGTCCTGCTATTCAAGCTCAGTCATCTCTGCCATGATGGTGACTCTTTTCTTGTCTACTCATTCTTAGATACAAGGAGTCCAAAGTACCCTGGTGGCAGCCAGAGTTCTGTAGTTCAGTGGGACTTAACGGGTGTAGTTGTGTCCCTGGCAAGAATATGCCCCCTTTGGGGATTAGTGTTTCCAACCCTACGGAACCTAGAGTTCAGGGACAGGAAGCACAACATTCCCCAGTGGGTCCTTGGAAGTGATGGTAAGTGTAGCCACTCTTGCTTCTGCCCCTAGGTTCCTGGACCCATGCATTTTTCCTGTAGGGGACATAGCAGGAAGCTGTAATTTAGATGTGATTATAGCTCTCTGATTTAATGCATGTGCTGGGTCCTGAAGGATGGCATCCAGTCCTTGCAGATTATTGCCTCCAGGCGAGTGCCCTAGCTGTGCCTTCAGTAAGCCATTCTGGTGCTCTTTCAGGCTGGCAGCTTCTGGATGGTGCAGTATATATATATGACCAGTAGATCCTATTGTCATAGGCTCACTTGCTCACCTCCATTGTGAAGTGGGTCCCTGGTTGGATTCTATGCTGGATGGAATTCCATACCTGTGGATCAGTTACTCTGTAAACTTCTGAGGATACTGGTGCCGGCTAAGGTTCTGTAGGCAGAAAAGGCAAGCTGATTCCCAGGATACGTCTCTATCCCTGTGAGGATAAACCGCTGGCCTTTCCAGAATGGAAGGGGCCTCATGCAATTGACTTGCCACCAGGTGGCTGGCTGGTCTCCTTGAGGAATAGTATTATATCTGGGACTCAGCATGGATCTCTGTTGCTGGCAGAGGCAGCAATAGCTAGATCAGCTTTGGCATGTGGGAGTCCATGCTTTTAGGCGCATACATAGTAGCCTTCATCTCTGCCACTGTGACCAATTCCATTCATGAGACTGTTGTGCCAGTTCCAGGATGGCCAGTGATGAAGTGGCTGAGTCATTTAATCTACTCAGTTGTTAGTTGTCTTTTGTGGTGGATGCTTTCTGGTGGGTGTTAATGTGTGATACAAAATCTTCACATTTTGTGCCTATTTCTAAATGTCCACCCACATGCTTCCTTGTCCTCAATCTTCCAGACTTTTTCTTCCAGCCTCTGACTAGGCAGCTAGATCCTTGGTTGCTGCCCAGGAACATGTCTCCTGTGTAGAGTTCTCCTTCCACAAGCAGCTGCCGCACTTGCAGTTCTGCTCATTGGGGAGATTTTCCCTTGCCTCTGTCTTTCAAGAAAACCCCTGACTGTGGCTGTCAAGCAGGCACTGTCCATTTTTGGCTTCCACCCACACGCTGAGTTGACCCACCAGTAAACCAAGCTTGGTTACCGTTTCTATCTTGCAATGAAGTACTACAGGCCCTACCTAACTAGGACTTGGCTGACTTAACAGAAGCCAGTCCGTCATGGCCAGTTCTAGATGTATTGTCACTTGATAGTCAAGCATTGCGTCTAAATTGGAGCCTAGTCACATGCCAGGAACTGTTTCTCAAAAGGTATATGCAGATGTCATGCTCCAGAAACCCAGGGGCCTGCTTTGTGATTATTTCACTGGGGCTTTCAAAGAGGTCTGTATTGCATCTTACCTATCACTGACACTTCCAATGCCATAGGGTCTGCTGGATCATATGATCGAAAAGATAAGCTATTTGCCTAGCTGCCTGGACCTCCTGTAGAGCCCTTTTCTGTTCCAGGCTCCGTGTAAAGCTGGCAACTTTCGGTACCACCAGAGAAGAATTTCTAGGTGTGGAATGTGTGGCCTCCAGAATGCAAAGAGCCCTGCCACGTGCTGTGCATCCTTCTTTGTGGTAGGAAGGATGAAATGGGCATCAACTTGCGTTTTACTTTGAAGGGGATGTCCTGGCACACCATGACCACTGGATACCTAAAAACTTCACACGTGTTCTTTTCTATTCCAATGGAACAAGAGGATCAGAACAGTTGGCATTCATGTGGAACAGACAAAGATATTCATCTGCAGTTTTCCCCCATAGTTATATTAACTCTCTTGCCTTCAGTCATTATGCAGAGAGAGAGGGACAATCTGGACATCCCACAGAATAGCACACAGATGCATTAAATCAACTGCATCATAGCGACTGGGCAGGATAAGCAAGAGGTGGCTAGTGTGCTCCAGAAGGCAGATGATAAACCCTGTGAAAACTCAGGGACCTGCTCTGTGGCTGGAGACCAACTGTGCTGGGCCATGGAGACAACCTGGGGAGTTTTATCTTTACCATTAGAGACCTGAGAAGTCATGGAAGGATTTTCTGGAGATGGGTGATATGTTCAGATTTGCATTTTGAGGAAGAGATGTGAGCATCCTAGTGAATAGCCACAGGGGAGATGAGCACAGCTTGGCTTAGGAGTGGTGGTAGAGCTGGAGGGAAGGGAATGGATTCTAGATTGCTTCAGAGGAAAGACTGGGAGGATCTGGTGATGGATTGCTTCTGGGGTAAGGAAGAAGAGGTATTAAGGATGTTGTATAGGCCTTAGGGATACTTGGTCTACACTTTAGTTCACAACACAGACTTGTGATGTTAGTCAAACTAAGATTTGGGAGGTGGTGTGTACGTCCATGCTCACAGGCTTACAGTCACCTGTGTTTACAGTCTCGAGCTATTTTGAACTTCCTTTTCTCATACTAATTCTGAGGGAGCTGGGGCTGGCTGGCACACTTAAAAGAAGCCCTGGAACTCGAGGTTCCTTCCTGCCTTTCTCTGACCCTGAACATAAAGCCTGCTATTGGCTCCAGGGAGGGGTAGGACCTGAACACTTCTGACTTGGCCCTTTGGCTGGGGTCGTGGTGATCTCAACTTCCGAAAGGAGGTTTATTATAGGGTCTGACCTTTAACTCCAGCTAAACAGGTGGGATAGTTATAGCAACCTCAGAACTGCAGGATTAATTGCCTAGAGTCTGGTTTCAATTGCTTGAGTTTCTCAGCCAGAGCTCTAGGCTGCTCCAGAGCTGGGCCAAGGGCATCACTGGACCAAACTGTACATTACTTGCCATCTTGGTTCCTGATCTTCTTGTCCTTGGTAAGCTCTGGCCTTAAGGACAAGTATTAGCTTCCCTACCCCTACAGGCTGTCACAGGCCTGACAGCTCTTTGAATGCTTAAGCTCCACTTCCCCAAAATGTTGGTGCTCTCACTGATGTTAAAACTGAGAACCAAAAACAGAACACATTAGGGACAGGCCTTCCGATAAATAAACCTTTAGCCAAAAGTGTGTGCAAATCTTTGTAAAAGCTATTCTTTCTGGACTTGGACTTGTGCCTCTTTATGCAGTTTTGGGGTTTGGAGGTACCTCTGGTGAGAGCTGGAAATGTGTGACCTCAGCCTACCACTGAGGCTCACTTGGTTGTGTAATTTACTAAGCTCAGTCTCTAGCATAATTGAGATTATGTAGATTTGTACAACTTTGTAGCAAAAATCAATCTGAAGGTTGAATTAAAATTGGTGCTTGGTTTTATTTGCAACAAATTTCAATTTACTGAATTTACAATTGTAGTTGATTCTCTTGGGGGAGTTCTTTATTTAGAATAATGCTGTCCAACTTCAAAGAGGTCATTAGTCTGGGACACTGAGACAGCTAGGTTTTAGTCTTAGAATGTTGTAGGACCCATACATCCAGGTAGTGTGCCTTTCTGTTCCTCAGTTTTCTTATAAATAAAGTAAGCACCAAGTTATTGGTGTGTGCTACAGACAAAAAGACCTAGCAAATAAATGATTCTTAAAAATAAGTCAGTAATAATTAGGCAAGAAAATTAAATAAGAGTCATCCAGATTGGAAAGGAAGAAGTGAAACTATATTTGCAGATGACATGATCTCGTATATAGAAAATCCTAAGGAATCTACTAAAAAACTATTAGAATTAATAAAAAAGCTCAGAAGAGCTGGGTGCAGTGGCACATCCTTGTAATCCTAGCTAGTTGGGGGGCTGAGATGGGAAGATTATATGAATCCAAGAGTTTGCAACCAGCCTGGGCAACATAGTGAGACCTCATCTCAAACAAACAAACAAACAAAAAAACAACAACAACTTAGAAGATTTCAGGATACATGATCAATACACAAAAATAAGTTGTATTTTTGTATCAATATACAAAAATAAAACTTACTGCAGTAGCAATAAACTGAAAATTAAGAAAACTCCATTTATCATAGCATCAAAATGAATAGAATACTTAGGAATGTTTAACAAAAAAAGTGCGGAATGTATGCTCTGAAAATTACAAAACATAATTGAAGGAAATGAAAGAAGACCTAAATAAATAGAAAGACATCATTGTTCATGGATCATTGGTAAGCTGGTAATGCTCTTCAGACTGATCAATAGATTCAGTGTAATCCCTATCAAAATCCCATCTGACTTATTTGCAGAAATTGACAAGCTGATCCTAAAATTCATATGGAAATTCAAGGGACCCAGAATAGCCACAGCAAGCTTGAAAAAGAACAAAGTTGGAAGATTTGTATTTACCTATTTCAAAGCTTACTACAGTAATCAAGATGGTACAGTATTGGCATAAGGATAGACATATAGATCAATGGAATAGAATTGAGCACATAAATAAATCCTCACATTTATGGTCAAATAACTTTTGGCAAGGGTGCCAAGACAATTCAATGAGAGAAATAATAGTCTTTTCAACAAATGATGCCAGGACAACTGGATATCCACATGCAAAAGAATAAGGTTGGACCTTACTTCACATTACATACAAAAATTAACTCAAAATGGATTGATGATCTAAATGTAAGAGCTAAAGCTATATATAGGCATACATCTTTATGACCTTAGATTAGGCAATGGTTTCTTAGCTATTACATTCAAAGCACAAGCAACAAGCTGGGCACAGTGGCTCATACCTGTAATCCCAGTACTTTGGGAGGCCAAAGCAGGAGGATTGCTTGAGGTCAGGAGTTCAAGACCAGCCTGGTAAATATGGTGAGACCCCAATCTCTACAAAAAAATAACAAATTAGGCCAGGCCCAGTGGCTCACACCTGTAATCCCAGCATTTTGGGAGGCTGAGGTGGGTGGATCACTTGAGGCCAGGAGTTTGAGACCAGCCTTGCCAACATAGTGAAACCCTGTCTCTACGAAAAAAAAAAAAAAAAAAAAAAAGCAACAAACAAAATTGGACTTCTATAAATTTATGTTTATTTTATTTTTATTTATGTTTTATTTTTCCATAGGTTATTGGTGTACAGGTGGTGTTTGGTTACATGAGTAAGTTCTTTAGTGGTGATTTGTGAGATTTTGGTGCCCCCTCCTTCCCCACAAGTCTCCAAAGTCCATTGTATCATTCCGACGCCTTTGCATCCTCATAGCTTAATCCCAACATATCAGTGAGAACATATGATGTTTGGTTTTCCATTCCTGAGTTACTTCACTTAGAATAATAGTCTTCAGTCTCATCCAGGTCACTGCAAATGCCATTAATTCATTCCTTTATATGGCTGAGTAGTGTTCCATCATGTATACATACCACAGTTTCTTTATCCACTCATTGATTGATGGGCATTTGACTTGGTTCCACAATTTTGCCATTGTGAATTGTACTGCCATAAACGTGCATGTGCAAGTATCTTTTTCGTACAATGACTTCTTTTCTTCTGGGTAGAAACCTAGTAGTAAGTTTTTTAAGGAATCTCCACACTGTTTTCCATAGTGGTTGTACTAGTTTACATTCCCAGCAGCTGTGTAGAAGTGTTCCTTGATCACTGCATTCACGCCAACATCTACTGTTTTTGATTATGGCCATTCTTGGAGAAGTAAGGTGGTATCACATTGTGGTTTGGATTTGCATTTCCCTGATAATTAGTGATGTTGAGTGTTTTTTTCATATATTTGTTGGCTATTTGTATATCTTCTTTTAAGAATTGTCTATTCATGTCCTTAGCCCACTTTTTGATGGGATTGTTTATTTTTTTCTTGGTGATTTGTTTGAGTTCATTGTAGTTTGTGGATATTAGTGCTTTGTCAGATGAATAGATTGTGAAGATTTTCTCCTACTCTGTGGGTTGTTTACTCTGTTGACTGTTCCTTTTGCCATGCAAAAGCTCTTTAGTTTAAGTCTGAGCTATTTATCTTTGTTTTTATTGTATTTGCTTTTGGGTTCTTGGTCATGAAATCCTTGCCTCAGCCAATGTCTAGAAGGGTTTTTCCAATGTTATCTTCTAGAATTTTTATAGTTTCATGTCTTAGATTTAAGTCCTTAATCCATCTTGAGTTTATTTTTATATAAGGTGAGAGATGAGGATCCAGTTTCATACTTCTATATGTGGCTAGCCAATTATCCCAGCACCATTAGTTGAAAAGGGTGTCCCCCGCTTTTTGTTTTTGTTTGCTTTGTCTAAGATCAGTTGGCTCTACACACACAAAAAAAAGCATGAGCAACAAACAAAACTAGACTTCCATAAATTTTAAAACTTTATGTTTCAAGGAACACTGTTCAAGAAAGTGAAAATACAACCTATAGAATGAGACAAAATATGTGTAACTCATATATCTGACAAGGGACCAGTATCCAAAAAACATAAAGAACGCAGTAATAAGAGGACAACGCAATTTAAGAATGGGCAAAGAATCTGAAGAGACATTTCTTCAAAGAAAATGTACAAATGACCAATAAGCATGTGAAAAGATGCTTAACATTGTTAGCCACCAGGGAAATGTAAATCAAAGCCACGATGAGATACCACTTTATACCCACTAGAATGGCTATAAGCAGAAAAACAGATATAAGTGTTGGTAAGAATGTGGAGAAACAGGAATTCTCATACATTGCTAGTGGAAATGTAAACGAGTGCAGCCACTTTGGAAAATAGTCTGGCAGTTCCTCAAAAGGTTGAACATAAAAGTTAGTTTATAACTCAGCAGTTCTAGGAATCAGCCCACAGGAAATGAAAACACATGTTTACACAAATGCTTGTACATGAAAGTTCATAGCAGCATTATTCATAATAGTCAAAAGGTAGGAACAACACAAATGTCTATCAACTGATGAATGGATTAACAAAATGAGATGTTATTCGGCCAGATAAAGAATTAAAGTACCAATACATTCTGCAACGTGGATTACCCTTGAAAAGACCATATATTGTATGATTCCACTTATGCAAAATATTCAGAAGAGGCAAATCTGTAGAGGCAGAAAGAGAATAGGGTTGTGTTGGGCTGGGGAACAAATGAAGAGTAACTACAGTAAATATGGGATTTCTTTTTGGGCTGATAAAAATGTTCCAAAGACAGCTATGGTGATGGTTTGCACAACTCTGTAAATATAATAAAAACCATTGAATTGTATACTTTAAATTGGTTAATTCTATGGTATGTGAATTATTATTATCATTATTATTATTTTGAGACAGAGTCTCACCCTATCACCCAGGCTGGAGTGAAGTGGCACGATCTCAGCTCACTGCAACCTCCACCTCCCAAGTTCAAGCGATTCTCATGCCTCAGCCTCCCCAGTAGCTGGGATTACAGGCATGCGCCACCATGCCCAGCTAATTTTCATATTTTTAGTAGAGACAGGGTTTCACCATGTTGGCCAGGCTAGTCTGGAATTTCTGACCTCAAGTGATCCGCCCACCTCAGCCTCCCAAAGTGCTGAGATGACAGGCGTAAGCCACCGTCCCCAGCTGATGGTATGTGAATTATATCTCAATAAAGCTGTTATAAAAATGTCAGCAATTAATAGATTCAAATTATTGCAGTTATTCCAAAGTCCTTAGATCTATTTCATACTCTTTCAGTAGGGTATCCAGCTGAGACTAATGCATTCTCCAGGACGCAGGACATTCAGTGCTAAAACCTGGGAAGTCCTGAGCAAATCAGGGTGAGTTGGACACCCTACCTCCAGGAGACATTTCTTAGGGATGGGCCATAAGGTGTGCTTGACCTTAAAGAAGGAAGTTGAAGGGAATTTCCTGTTCTCAACCCTGTTCTTGGGGAAGTCCAGAGTGCTGGAAAGAAACATTCTCTCTAAATCTTCAGGCAATAAAACATATCATATGATTAAAAAAAAAACCTGGAAAGGATACCTTTCAGA
Organism: Homo sapiens; assembly: GCF_000001405.40. Taxonomy (NCBI): domain Eukaryota; kingdom Metazoa; phylum Chordata; class Mammalia; order Primates; family Hominidae; genus Homo; species Homo sapiens. The sequence goes on along the minus strand of NC_000011.10, from coordinate 9,125,551 downwards.
GAATCATTCAAGCATGGATTCCATTTCCTCCTCAGTTACATTATCACATAACTAATATTTGATTGAGAGGCATTTCTGCTTACTGAATATACATATATTTCCCCACAATATTCCCAGTGCTTTTATAGTTGGGCAGGGCCATGTGACTATTTCTGGTAAGGCAGAAACAGGAACAGGCTCTGGTTTGTCCTTACAGGTTCCAGTTTGTCCTCCCTTTTCCCTGCTTCTACGCAGCTTTCTTCCCAACCTCCAGCCCTGCTGATCAGCAGAGACTCCAGGGCCACCACTATGTAAAAGGCAACAGTCTCCCCTAGAATTCTTCACCAGCTCCCATAATCCTTATGATAAACCACCTTTTCTAATAAACATCCGATTTTATTTACAAAGCATTAAAGCTTCAGCAAGAAGTACCCAAGGTTAAGTCTCATCTTGTACAAAACTACAGAATTTTTTTTTTTTTGAGACGGCGCCTTGCTCTGTCACTCAGGCTGGAGTGCAGTGGCACAATCTCAGCTCACTGCAACCTCCTCCTCCTGGGTTCAAGCAATTCTCCTGCCTCAGCCACCAGAGTAGCTGGGATTACAGGCGCCCACCACCATGCCTGGCTAGACAAACCCCCTTTTGTGAATCACTCACTGTGCTTCTGCTACCCTGCTTAGACCCTAACTGGTACAGAGAGCCACGTGGCCACTACCTGGCATGGGCCAGTCATCTCTGTCCTCTGGCCTCACCTGATGTGTTTCTTGCCAGGCATCAGGAGATGTGACCTGAGAACTGCCATTCACCAACCTCCTCCAGCTTTGGATCAGGGTGACCAGATGGAGGGAATCCCCAGGGCTGTGATCAGAGGGCTGTACTCAAGGCCAGGGCAACTAGAACAGCAAGAAGCCACTGACTCTCCTGGGAAGGACCTGGGTGCCTCTGAGCTATGACCCCACTGGAGCCACACTATATTCCCTCAGTTACAGCACTTAGGTGGAAAACATGTATCTGGGTGTTTTCTTCTATTTCCAACACAAACTCTGAGCCCTGGTGATAAAGATAAATATGCGATTCCAAGGCTGCTTTGACATAGGACACATTTGGAACTTAACACTTCACCTCATTCAAATCCCTACTTACTAGGTAACTCAGACTTTGTGTTCACTTTTGTTTTTGTTTTTAGACAAAGTTAAGCCACCCACTGCTCAGCTGCTGCTCCTCAATCTTCATGGTTGTGTAGCTTTTCTGCAGAGGACTGACTGGAAACAACTAGGTTGGTTTTGTAGCAAATGCAATATTCCTCTCAAGAGAGTTGGCTTGGGAGCACACACTTATTCCAATAATTCTGCCGTTGCTCAAAGCCCTTTTGTATCTCTGGTTGGGTCTTCACTTCCAGACTGATTACCTAATACACTCCTTGTGCTGGCAAAACTTTGTCCTACAAAGGAGGATTTAAATGTTTAGAAATAGATGTCTTAGTCACCTTAGGCTGCTATAACAAAATACCATAAACTACAAACATTTATTTTCACAGTTCTGGAGGCTAGGAAGTCCAAGATCAAGGCACCAGCAAATTTGGTATCTGGTGAGGGTCTGCTTTGTAGAGATAACCAGTAGTGGGGTTGCTGGATCACATGGTAGTTCTATTTTTAGTTTTTTGAGAAATCTTCATACTGTTTTCCATAGTGGTTGTACTAATTTACATTCCCCACCAAGAGTGTGTAAGAGTTCCCTTTTCTCCACATTCTCACTTGCATTTGTATATTTTGTCTTTTTAATAATAACCATTTTAACGGATGTTAAGAGGATACCTCACTGTGGTTTTATTTGCATTTCCCTGATGACTAGTGATGTTGAGTTTTTTTTTTTATTATACTTTAAGTTCTGGGGTACATATGCAGAACATGCAGGTTTGTTACATGATGTTGAGTATTTTTTTTAACAGACTTGGCCATTTGTTTGTCTTTTCTTGATTTGTTTTCGTTTTTTTCTTTTTTTTGTTTGTCTTTTCTTGAGAATTGTGTTTGTGTCCATTGCCCATTTTTAATGTGTTTATTTTTCCGTTGAGTTGAGTTCCTCGCATATTCTGGATATTATCTGGGACTAATATCCAGATAAATAGTTTGCAAATACTTTCTCCTGTTCAGCTGGCTGCCCCTTCACTCTGTTGATTGTTTCCTTTGCTTCGTAGAAGCTTTTTAGTTTAATATAGTCCTATTTGTCTATTTTCGTTTTAGTTCTCTATGCTTTTGAGGTCTTAGCCATAAAATCTTTGCCTAGAACAATGTTCTGAAGTGTTTTCCCTGTTTTGTTCTAGTAATTTATAGCTTCAGGTCTTTTAAGTATTTAATCCATCTTGAACTCAGGATGGATTTTGTATATGGTGAGAAATAGGGGCCCAGTTTCATTCTTTTGCATATAAATATCCAATTTTTCCAGCACCACTTATTAAAGAGGGTGTCCTTTCCCCAGTGTATGTTCTTGGTGCCTTTGTTGAGAATCAGTTGGCTATAAATATGTAGCTTTATTTCTGGGCTCTCTATTCTGTTCCATTGGTCCATGTCTATGTTTATACTAATACTATGCTGTTTCGGTTACTTATAGCCTTGTAATATATTTTGAAGTCAGGTAGTATGATGCTTCCAACATTATTCTTTTTCTTTTTTTTGAGACAGGATCTGGCTTTGCTGCCCACGCTGGAGTGTGGTGGTGTGATCACAGCTCACTGCAACCTCTGCTCTGCGTCCCAGGTTCGACTGATCCTCCTGCTTCAGCCTCCTGAGTAGCTGGGACTACAGGTATGCACCACCATGTCCGGCTAATTGTTGTATTTTTGGTAGAGACGGGGTTTTGCCATGTTGCCTAGGCTGGTCTCGAACTCCTGAGCTCAAGCAATCCGCCCACCTTGGCCTTCCAAAGTGCCAGGGCTACAGGCGTGAGTCACCGTGCCTGGCTTGCCAACTTCATTCTTTTTGCTTAGGATCATTTTGGCTATTCTGGCTCTTTTTTGGATCCATATGAATTTTTGGATTTTTTTTTCTATTTCTTTGAAAAATGACATTGATATTTTGATAGGGATTGCATTGAATCTGTAGATTGCTTTGTGCAGTATGGTCATTTTAACAATATTAATTCTTCCAATCCATGAGCATAGGATAGCTTTCCATTTGTTTGTATCCTCTTCTATTTCTTTCATCAGTGTTTTATAGTTTTCCTGATAAAGGTCTTACTTTGGTTCTTACATTTCTCTGATGAGTGGGTTATGAAAGAATCTAGGTAGAAATAGTGACCATGTCTAGGGAAAGAAAACTCAGAATTTCTAAGAAGGGACGTCACAGAACTAAGTAGGGTTTCAGGACAGTTATGCTTGCATGTGGTTTCTTAACTGGCCTGCTGCTTCTTTCCAAAGTTTAATCAGCCAGGTAGGTACTGAGCATAAATTCAGTGCTGGCACCTTTGCTGGCTGGGATGTGAACAGAAATAAATAATATCAGGCCCTGCTTCCCCTAGGCAGCCTCCCACACAAGACCAAGTGGATGTCTTGATCAAGGGCAGATTCCATGGGCATGGTGGAAATCATAATGGTGATGGTGATGATGAGTAACATGATAGAGTACTAACTCTAAGCCAAGCACCGTTACAAGTACTTTACAAATATTACTCATTTGATTCTTACAAACATTCTTATCCTCATTTTATAGGTGGGGAAACCAAGGCATGGGGGAGGTGAACTAACTTGCCACACAGCTGATAAATACTAGAGCTGGTGAAGAAGGAGGCCGTCAGGGAAGGCTTCTGGGGAAGGTGCTGCACCTGTGCCAGGCCTGGAGCAGGTGATATCAATATGGAAGAAAGGGGAAGGCATCACGCTTAGCTGGGGCATGGTTTGTACTGGCTACATGTCTCTTTGGAGTCCTGTTGCCAACCTGCCCACACTGGGCTCAGCAGCCCCAGGGAACTCTGGGCCTGCCCTGGCCTCCACCTGCCACACTGCCTTAGTGAACATTCCCTCAGCCTGGCACAAAGCAGGAGGTTTTGGGTAGTTGCTGGACCCTTGGGACTTGATGTTTACACCTGCTCACAGGTGGATGCTGCTTCAACAACCACTCCTGATTTCTTTTGATACTTCTCTTGCTGAAAATAGTTGAATTACAAAAACAATGCACAGTCATGATAGAAAATGCGCAATCATTATGCACGGAGTGGGAAGACAACCAGAACCGACTCCTGCTGCTTTTTCAAGTTGGAGGAGATGACTCTCAAAAGGTTTCTTGATGAAATTTCCAACATAAAAGACAAGATCTTATTGCTGGAAGAAGTGGATTTTGTGAGGGAGGGCCTCATACTCTGCATATGAAAACAAAGAACCTGAGGATTTTGTTGTGTCCTCTTGGTGGCAGGTGAGTATCCTGAAGGCACAGAGTGGAGCCTGGAGGGGGCAGAAGTGAGGCCATCCCTCTCCCCTGGTGAGCGTCCAGTGAAAATCTCCCAGAAGCAGGGTCAGCCAGGACACGTCAGAACAGAGATGTTCATGTAGATTTTAAGTTGTCTATAGTACCATGTAGGGCTGTAGCCCCTCAGCAGTGCCTCATGTAAGATACTCCTTGGGGGAAGTCAAAGAAAAGGGGCAGTGTTCCATATTTGGGTTAACTAGGGGCAGACAGAAGGGAACAGCTGCAGAAAGCAGGATGCCAGGGAAATCGAGAGCAGCAGGAAGAGGAAACTGGAGTGAACATGACAGCTACTAGCACCAGGAAATTTGCAGCGGTGTTGGGGGAGGGCCATGGACTTTGCACAAGACATAGGACGAATATTTCAGCCATTTTTATTTCAATGTTAAAAGAAAGCATGATCCCGTTAATCTGGAAGATTTGAGGATACTGAGATGGCAGAAATATGGGCTACAAACATAAACAAATGGAAGAAAATACCCCCTCTCCACCCATCAAGAAGAAAGAGTAACTCCAAACATTTTGGTGTGTATCCTTCAGACTTTCTTCTATGTACACACACACTTCTACATCTAATTTTTAAAGCAGAATTAATATGCACATCATTTTGTAGTCTGCTTTTTCCATTTAACATGATATTGTGAGCATCCCGTCATTCTTAATAAATGCTTATCTTTGGCATCATTTCTGGGGAGGTGGAGATACCTTAATCGACCCATCTGATCACACAATCAAAGTATCATGTTTTGCTTTTAGCTGTGTTGTTATGAAAGTTGGAATGCTCATAAAGAGTCAGTTCTATAAAATTTGCTACAAAAAATAGCAATCCTGGGCCAGGTGCAGTGGCTCACGCCTATAATCCAAGCACTTTGGGAGGCCGAGGCAGGTGAATCACCTGAGGTCAGGAGTTCGAGACGAGCCTGACCAACATGGAGAAACAGGCCCTTTCAATTTATTTGGAAATTCATGAGCTTTAGTTCTAAGAATTTTTCTCAAGTTATCCCTTGGATGTTTCCTTCCCTTCTTTTTCTCTGTTTCTCTTTCTGGAACATCTATTATTGAGAAATTATATGTTCTGCATCTCTTTGTTCACTCATTTTTTCCATCTCTGTTTTTTGTTTTTGCTTTGTTTTTGGAAGATTTCCTCAGTTTTATTATCTAGCACTTTCTAGTAAGCGTTTTAGTTTTTTAAAATGAAACATAAGACGTAAACAACGAAGTGCACAAATCCCAAGTATACTTGTAGGTCGGTGAACTATCATCACAGGCTGGAAATACTTCCCAACCAGGCCAAGGAACAGAACAGCACTGGGACCCTACAACCCTCTCATGCCCCCGAGCTCCACTTCCCCATTTTCCTAAACCCCAAACCATCACTATCCCAACTTCTAACACCATAAATTAATTTTGTTGTTTCCAGTGATTTTCAAATTTAAGTGTATAACAGAATCACCTGGAAGATTTGTTAAAACATATTTCTGGGACACACTCTTAAAGTTTCTGGTTCAATAGGTCTAGGGTAGAACCCAAGAATGTTCATTTCTTTTTTTTGTTTTTTTTTTTTTGAGATGGAGTCTCACACTGTCACCTGGGCTGGTGTGCAGTGGTGTGATCTCGGCTCACTGCAACCTCTGCCTCCCAAGTTCAAGTGATTCTCCTGCCTTAGCCTCCCAAGTAGCTAGGATTATAGGCGCCCGCCACCATGGCTGGCTAATTTTTTGTATTTTTAGTAGAGACGGAGTTTCACTGTTGGCCAGGCTGGTCTCAGACTCCTGACCTCATGATCCGCCCGCCTCAGCCTCCCAAAGTGCTGGGATTACAGATGTGAGCCACCATACCTGGCCTAAGAATGTTCATTTCTAACAAGTTACCAGGTGATGCTGATGCTGCTGGCCCGGGACAACACTTTGAGAGCTAATGGCCTATTCTTGAACTTATTACAAATGAAATCATATGGTGTGTATTATTTTGCTCAACATTAACTTTGTAAAATTCGTCCATTTATTAAAATGTAGCTGACATTCATTAATTTTATTTTTTAAAATTTTTGAGACAGGGTCTCACTCTGTTGCCCAGGCTGGAGTGCAGTGGCATGATCTTGGCTCACCGCAGCCTCTCAAGTGATCCTCCCACCTCAGTTTCCCAAGTAGCTGGGACTACAGGCATGCACCACTGTGCTTGGCTAACTTTTGTATTTGTAGAGATGGGGTTTCACCATGTTGTCTAGGCTAGTCTCAAATTCCTGAGCTCAGGCAATCCTCCTGCCTCAGCCTCCCAAATTGCTGGGATTACAGGCATGTGCCACCATGCCCGGCTGAAGTCCATTAATTTTAATTGCTGAATAGTATGAATATACCATGTAATATGAAGCTTTTTTTTTTTTTTTTTTTTTTTCTGCTGTTGATGGGTATTTGGGTTATTACCAGTCTTTGGTTATTATGAATAATGGTGCTAAGAACATCCTTTGAGAGTTTTTTGTGTGAGTGTACATACATTTCTGCTGGGCATGTATACATAGGAGAAGAATTGCTGGCAGGTAGCATGTGTCAAACTCTTTTCCAGAGTGGTTATATCAATTTTCACTCCCATCAGCATGAGATGAGTGTTCTTCTTGTGCTGCATCCTGGACAACACTTGATATCATCAATCTTCTTATTTTTAGCCATTCTGGTGGGAATCCAGTGGTATCTTGTTGTGGTTTTAATTTGCATTTCCATGATGACTAATGATGTCGAATGTTTTTTCATATGTGTATTGACTACTTGGATATCCTTTCTGATGAAGTGCCCGTTCAAGTTTCTTGCCCATTTTTCTATTAGTTTTTCAGCTCTTTTCTTCTTGGCTTATAATAGTTTTTTATATATTCTGGATATAACTACTAGTTGGTAATACATATCACGGTATCTTTCACTCTGTGCTTTGCCTATACTCTGTTAATGGTGAATTTTGATGAATAGAAGTTTTAAATTTTGACGTAATCCAATCTTTTCTTCTATGTTTAGTGTTTTTTGAATCCTATTTAAGAAATCTTTCCTTACCATAGAAAAGGTTATAAAGATATTTTCCTATATTATCTTTAGAGGATTAATTGTTCTACCCTTCACATTTTGATCCATGATCCACCTGGATTGATTTTTTTTAAATGTATACGGTGTTTTGTTGTTTTATTTTTAAGTTTTTTTAAAAAATATGGATATCCAATGGCTAAAACATGGAAGAAATAGACAGTAGGTAAAGAGAAGAAAAACTTAAAGAAAAAAGGACCCAATTCTGTTTATTGAAAGGATTGCCCTTTCTCCACTACTCTGAAGCACTACCTTTTTCAAAAATGAAGGGTCCAGGCTGGACGCGGTGGCTCATGCCTGTAATCCCAACATTTTGGGAGGCTGAGGCAGGCAGATGACCTGGGGTCAGGAGTTCAAGACCAGCCTGGCCAACATGGTGAAACCCCATCTCTACTAAAAATACAAAAACTAGCTGAGTGTGGTGGTATGTGCCTGTAGTCCCAGCTACTCAGGAGGCTGAGGCAGGAGAATCGCTTGATCCTGGGAGATGGAGTTTGCAGTGAGCCGAGATCGTGCTACTGCACTCCAGACTGGGCAACAGAGTAAGACTTCATCTCAAAAACAAGAAACAAAAAAGAAGGTTCTACATATGTGGGTCCCTTTCTGGACCCGCAGAAAGGGGATTGGTCTATTTGTTTACCTATGTGCCAATATCAAAGTTAATTGCTGTAGCTTTATAATAAGTCTTGATACTTAATAGTATTTCCATCTTGTTCTTCTTTTTAAGAATGTCTTGACTATTTTTTATTCTTTGCATTTCCATATATTATAGAATCAGCTTGTCAATTTCCATGAACAACACTGCTAATATTTTTTATTGAGATTGCATTTAATCTGTAGATCAATGTGAGAAATGTTGGCATCTTCATAATATTGAGTCTTTGAATCCATGAATATGTTATATTCATTAATTTAGATCTTCTTTAATTCTCTAATGTCTTATTGTTTCCTGGGTAGAGGTCTTTCACATATTTTATTATATTTGTCCCAAAGGTACTCACTATTTTTTATGCTATTACAAACAGTACCTTTAAATTTTTACTTTCAGCTGGGTGCAGTGGCACATGCCTGTAGTTACAGCACTTTGGAGGCCAAGGTGGGAGGATCACTTGAGCCCAGGAGTTCAAGACCAGCCTAGGCAACATAGCAAGAACCTGTCTCTACAAATTTTTTTTTTTTAATTAGCTGAGTATGGTGGCATGCATCTGTAATCCCAGCTGCTCGAGAGGCTGAGGCAAGAGGATCACTTGAGCCCAGGAGTTTGAGACTGCAGTAAATGGTGATCATGCCACTGCATTCCAGCCTGGGTAAAAAAGCAAGATCCTGTCCCTCAAAAAAAAAATTTTTTTTTAAACTTCCTATTTGTTGCTGTTACTTTATAGAAATACATTTGATGTTTCTCACATCCAGAAACCTCAAGTGTGTCCATCAGGATAAGCTAGGTTATGCTACAGTAAAAAACAAAAACTTTCACTTCTTTAAACAGCATTTGCCTTTCACTTACACTATAAATCCACTACAGATCTGCATGGAAGCCCTGCCCTTTGAAGTCGCTCATGGACCCAGACTGATAGAGGATCTGTCTCAGCACATGCTTCAAGATTCTCATACGTACAGAAAACAGAGAACATGGTTAACCCTGAGCTGGCTCCTAAAGCTTCTTCCCAGAAGATACACACACCACTTAGCCAAAGTAAATCACATAGGTATGTTTAAGTTTAACAAGGCAGGGAGGCACGTAGAATATTTGTGAACAATAGTACAGTTAGCCATATTAATTGTAATGACTTTATCTGGACAAGCATAGCTTGTTTTACTGTACTTTGCCTTGCTGTCCTTCACAGATACTGCATTTTTTTTTTTTTTACAAATTGAAGGTTTGTGGCAATCTTGCATTGAGCAAGTCTGTTGGCGCCATTTTTCCAACAGCATGTGTTCACTTCATGTCTGTGTGTCACATTTTGGTAATTCTTGCAGTATTTCACACCTGTTAATTATTATATCTGTTAGGGTGATCTGTAATCAGTTATCTTTGATGTTACTATTGTCATTGTTTTGGGGTACCACAAACCATGCCTATGTAAGCTCGCAAATTTAATAAATGTTGTGTATATTCTCACTACTCCACTGACTGGCCCGTCTCCCATCTCTCCCCCTCTCCTCAGGCCTCCCTATTCCCTGAAACAAAACAATATTGAAATTATAATCCTACAGTAGCCTCTGTGTGTTCAAGTGAAAGGAAGAGTTGCAAGTCTCTCACTTTAAATTCAAAGCTAGAAATGATTAAGCTTAGTGAGGAAGGCATGTCAAAAGCTGAGATAGGCTGAAGACTAGGCCTGTTGCCCCAAACAGTTAGCCAGGTTGGGAAAGCAAAGGAAAAGTTCTTGAAGGAAATTAAAAGTGCTACTTTAGTGAACATATGAATGATAAGAAAGTCAAATAGCCTTATTGCTGATATGGAGAAAGTTTTAGTGGTCTGGATAGAAGATCAAACCAGCCACAACATCCCCTTAAACCAAAGACTAATCCAGAGCAAGGCCCTAACTCTCTTCAGCTCTGCGAAGGCTGAGATAGGTGAGGAAGCTGCAGAAGAAATGTCAGAAGCTAGGAGAGGTTGGTTCATGAGGTTTAAGGAAAGAAGCCATCTTCATAGTGTAAAAGGGCAAGGTGAAGCAGCAAGTGCTGATAGAGAAGCTACAGCAAGTTATCCAGATCTAGCTAAGATCACTGATGAAGGTGGCTACTCTAAACAGCAGACTTTCAAGGTAGATGAAACAGCCTTCTCTTGGAAGGAGATGCCATCTAGGACTTTCATGGCTAGAGAGGGGAAGTCAGTGCCTGGCTTTGAAGTTTCAAAGGACAGGCCGACTCTCTTGTTAGGCACGAATACAGCTAGTGACTTTAAGTTGAAGCCAGTGCTCATTTACTCAGCCTGTGCTCTATAAATGGAACAACAAAGCTGGGATGACAGCACATCTGTTTATAGCATGATTTACTGAATCTCTTAAGCCCACTGTTGAGACCTACTGCTCAAAAAAAAAAAAAAAAAAAGACTCCTTTCAAAATACTACTGCTAATTGACAATGCACCTAGTCACTCAAGAGCTCTCTGATGGAGATGTACGGGAGATTCATGTTGTTTTCATGCTTGCTAACACAGCATTCATTCTGCAGCCCATAGATCAAGGAGTAGGTGTGACTTCCATGTCTTATTGAAGAAATACATTTCATAAGGCTATAGCTGCCATACATAGTGATTCCTCTGATGGACCTGGGCAAAACGAAAATATTCTATAAAGGATTCACCATTCTAGATGCTATTAAGAACATTTATGATTAATGGAAGGAGGTCAAAATATCAACATTAATGGGAATTTGGGAGAAGTTGATTCCAGCCCTCATGCATGACTCTGACAGGTTCAAGATTTCAGTGGAGGGAGTAATTACTGATGTGGCAGAAACAGCAAGAGAACTAGGATTAAAAGTGGAGCCTCAAGATGTGACTGAATTGCTGTAATCTTATGATTAAACTTGAAGTTGCTTCTTATGGATAAACAAAGAAAGTGGTTTCTTGAAATGGAATCTACTCCTGGTGAAGATGCTGTGAACACTGTTGAAATGACAACAGAAGAGGTAGAAAATTATGTAAACTTAGCTGATTAAGCAGCGGCAGGGTTTGAGAGGATTGGCTCCAATTTTGAAAGAAGTTTTACTGTGGGTAAAAATCCCATCAAACAGCGTTGCATGCTATAGAGAAATCTTTTGTGAAAGAAAGAGTCAATTATGTGGCAAACTTCATTGTTGTCTTATTTTCAGAAATTGTCACAGTTACCCTAGCCTTCAGCAACCAACCACCACCCTGAGCAGTCAGCAGCCATCAATATTGAGGCAAGACCCTCCACCAGCAAAAGGATTACAACTCGCTGAAGACTCAGATGACTGTTAGCATTTTCAGCAATAAAGTATTTTTAAATTAAAGAATGTACATTTTTAGACATTATGCTATTGTACAATAGACTATAGTGTAGTGTAAACATAACTTTTTTTTTTTTTTTTGAGACAGGGTCTCATTCTGTTGCCTAGGCTGGCGTACAGTGGCATGATCTAAGCTTACTGCAGCCTTGACCTATTGGGCTCCAGTAATCCTTCCACCTGTCAGCCTCCTAAGTAGCTAGGACCACAGGCTTGTGCCACCATGCCCAGCTAATTTTTGTAATTTTTGTAGAGACGGGTTTGCCATGTTGCCCAAGCTAGCCTTGAACTCCTGAGCTCAAGCAATCCACCTACCTTGGCCTCCCAAAGTGCTGGGATTACAGATGTGAGCCACCATTCCTGCCCAATCATAACTTTTATATGCAATGGGAAACAAAAAAATTTGTGTGACTCACTTTATTGTAATATTTGCTTTATTGTGGTGGTCTGGAATTGAACCCATAATATCTCTGAGGTATGCCTGTACTTTTAAAAAGTTTCTAAATCCACACTGATACTGTTTGTGAATAATTCATTTTTATCCCTTTCCAACCCTTAGACTTAATTTCTTTTTCTTGTCTTATTGACTTACCTAGGATTCCTAGTACAATGGTGAAGTGATGATAGCAGGTATTCTACTGTGTTCCCTGTTGCAGAGAAGCTTTTAAGTTTTCACCATTAAATGTGAGTTTGCTCTAGGTTTGGGGTAGATATTCTTTATCAGATTAAGAGAATTCCCTTCTACTCTTAGATTGCTAAGCATTATTATCATAAATGGATGTTGACTTTTTTTTTTCTGAGAAGGAGTCTCGCTCTGTCACCCAGGCTGGCGTAATCTCAGCTCACTGCAAGCTCCGCTTCCCGGGTTCATGCCATTCTCCTGCCTCAGCCTCCCGAGTAGCTGGGACTACAGGTGGCTGCCACCACACCCAGCTAATTTGTTGTATTTTTAGTAGAGACGGGGTTTCACCATGTTGGTCAGGCTGGTCTTGATCTCCTGACCTCGTGATCCGCCTGCCTCGGCCTCCCAGAGTGCTGGGATTATAGGCCCGAGCTGCCGCACCCGGCCGGATGTTGACTTTTATCAGAAGATTTTTGTGCCCCTATTGAGATAATTATGTACTTTTTTTCTCTTTTAATAAAGCAGTGTGATTAATTACTTGGGTTGTTTCCTTGGGTTTAATTTGCTGTTCTTTTTCTTATTAGTTTTAGCTTAAGCTGTGTCCAAGACACACTTACACAATCTGTATAATTTCAATTCTTTGAATTCTTCAATTATTTTATTTTCCCCTTCTGTTAGCTTGGTAATTCTATTCCTTTACTCTTCCTTTAGTAGTGACCCATGAAATTATAATATGCACTGGCTTATCAATGTCTAATCTAAATTATTACTCTTTCTCTTTCCAGACAATGTAAGGACCTTTAGAATAACTTCATTTCTTGTCTGGACTTATATGTTACTGTTGTTATATATTTTAATTCTCTCTCTCTCTCTCTCTCTATATATATATACACATATATATATTATGTACAACAATAAATATATGTAATAAAAATATATTGAATATTAAATGTATATATTTAAACCCATTAGATGTTATTACATTATTGTTATTATTTTAAAAATACAATAGTTATCTAGCCTTCCCCCTTTTTTGATGTTCTTCATTAATGCCTGTGTCTAGAATGCCTATATTCTTCTGCTTCAAGAACACCCTTCAGTATTTTCCATTAACAGGGGTTTGCTGGAGTTAAATCATCTCATCCTTTAGAAGGACATGTTAGCTGGGTATGAAATTCTGGATTAGCGCTTATTTTCTTTCAGAACTTTGAAGATATTCCATTGTCTCTGGCTTCTACAGTTTCCACTGATAAGTTACCTGGCAGCCTCATTGTTGTTGTTCCAGTCAAGGTAATCTCTCGATTCTTTACTGTTTTTGATATTGTTTCTTTGTCATTTTTTAAAAATAATTTACTATTATTTGCCTGAATGTGGTATTTATTCAGCGTGGGTTTCACAATGTGTCCTGAATCTGGGGCTTTGTCTTTTGTCAGTTTTAGAAATTCTTCATCCACTATCTCTTTAGATACTGCTTTTTCAAATTTTCTCCCCTGTCCTTCCAGGATTCTGTTTACACATACGTTAGACCTTAGCACTGTATTCTGTATGTCTTTTATGTTCATATCTGTATTTTCAATCCCTTTGCCTCTCCATGAATCTGGTTATTCATTGTGGATATTTTCTTCCAATCTGTTTTCCAATTCACTTTAGCTGCTGCTAAACCCATTAATCAATCTCTTTCTACATAACTCTAATATAGAGTTCAGGTAAGGTTTGAGCAGGGCCCAGTTCTATTTCTCTGAGATTCCAGGCTCTTCCCTCTTCTGTGTATGAGCTTTTTCCTCAGGTTGGCTTCATCCATGGTAGCAAGACAGAAGCAAGGACTACTTGTTTTCTTGATTACATCAAGCAGACATGAGAGTGCTTTTGTGTCAGCAATTCAAGCAAAATTCTTGAATTCTTGCTTCTCATCATGATTCTTCTGGCTTTGTTAACATGCCTGCCTTTAGACCAATGTCTGTGACCAGAAAGATGGGATGTGCTAATTTAATTAGGTTCCACCCCTGGAGCTGGAATTGGGGTCAGTTTTCCGAAGGCATGTGTTGCTTAGAGGAGCGGTAGATATCCGAATGAAATTAATAAATTAAAAGCTGGGCATTGTTAGAGAGAAGGAGTGATGTATACTTACAAGGCAGCCAAATGCCTACTACATCTTCCAGTGAGCGTAATGAGCATAAACTCATGACTACTCTTGGAGCCTATGCAGACAAATAGGTGTTGGCTGAGGTTGCCCCAATTTCCAAGAGAATGACTTTCTGTGATAAATTTGTTTCTCGTATGCCTTTCTGCACTGAGAGCCTGACAAGCTAAAAAATGGCATTTCTAAGCTCCCTCGCAGCTAGGGTTCTGGACATGACTTTCTACTAGTGAAATGTACTTATGTGAGATTTGAAAAGTTTAGATGAGGCAGAGGCTGTTTCCCAATTGGTTTTAGCTTTGTTTGTTTTTGATTAAAAAAGATTGTGGTGATGAATCTATTAACCAGATTATAGGTACAGAGAAGCAGTGGCTATGATGCCAACTTCCTTGTCTTGATTCTTGAGAATTCAAGCAATGTGTTCAAGGTTACATGGATAACAAGCGACAGAGTTCAAGCTCAGGTGTCTGAACTACTTAGTGAGTTCTTGAAGTTTGTCCCATGGTTGCTGAGAAGTAGTGGCCTCCCAGCTGGGTCAGTTCTGTTGTCTCCTAAAAATCCTTCCTGAAGTTCAGTCTAGAGCTCACCCCTCCAGCTCTTCTAATCATTTTGTAAGCTCTTAGTTCTCTCTATTGTAGACCTTTCTGCTTACAATATCTACAGCCATTTCCATTTCCTGCACTGAAACCTTTTCACTAGCATAATAAGGAAAACACCCTTCTGGGATCTGGACAGAGCTACTTTATTTCCAAAAATTCCAGGTGTCCTAATTACAGTCATGGGATGGGTATGGATTAATAACCAGGTTTCTTCCAACAAGCAGGGACAAGTACCTGTTCTTTTACACAGCCACAGAATAGCCTGAATGGAGAAACTCAGGAACTGTGGTCCAGGTTGGGCTTGACTTCCATGGGTCTTGCCTCCACTGGGTGGGTGGGGGGTGGGAATCCTTTTTACTGTGTGCCTACTCTGTGCCACAGCCTGCACTCAGTGCTTCACACACATCGTCCATCCACAGCTCACTTCAGCCCTGGAAAGCAGGTATGATTATCTTCAGTTTACATGTGGGAAAACTGAGACTCAGAGAGGTTAAAGCAACCTGCCCAAGATTCTGTAGATAATAAATGACAGAATCAGAGTTAACATCAGGCCTGTCTGCATGCTCAGCCTGTACTTGTTTACATTTTAAAATTCCTTTTCTTTTCTTTCTTTTTTTTCCTGTCTTGCTCTGTCACCCAGTCTGGAGTGCAGTGGTATGATCATAGCTTACTGTTTCTTGAACTCCTGGGCTCAAGCAATCCTCCTGCCTTAGCCTCATGAGTAGCTAGGACTATAGATAGGCGCACACCACTGTGCCTAGCTTCATTTATTTATTTATTTAGTTAGTTAGTTACTTAGTTGAGACAGGGTCTCATTATGTTGCCCAGGCTAGTCTCAAACTCCTGGGCTAAAGCAATCCTCCCGCCTTGGCTTCCCAAATCTTTGGGATGCCACGCCTGGCATGAGCCACCACGCCTGGCCTCTTTTATTAATTATAAAGGTAATGCATGTTCATTGTAGAAACTTTGGCTTCACCCCTTTGGAGTCATGGTAGCAAGATAAAAACAGGGGCTATTTTTTCTACAAATATATTTATATAAAGTCCCTGCTGCTTTTGTCACATATGATGCCTAGTTTTTGATACAAGATATATGAACTCTGTATTACTCCATTCTCATGCTACTATGAAAAAAATACCCGAGACTGGGTAACTTATAAAGAAAAGAGGTTAAATTGACTCACAGTTCCACATGGCTAGGGAGACCTCAGGAAACTTACAATCATGGTGAAAGGTAGCTCTTCACAGGGCGGCAGGAGAGAGAATGAGTACCAGCAGGGAAAATGCCAGACGCTTATAAAACCATCAGATTTTGTGAGAACTCACTCACTATCACGAGAACAACATGGGGGAAACTGCCCCCATGATTCAATTACCTCCCACTGGGTGCCTCCCATGAAGGGATTATGGGGATTACAATTCAAGATGAGATTGAGGGGGAACACAGCCAAACCATATCAAACTCTATTTTCTTTCTTTTTCTTTTTCTCTTCCTTTTCTTTTCCCTTGATTACTGGTATGAACAATATTTCAGAAATAGCTAATTAACAAGCTGACTTTTTGTTGACCTATTAATAAGTGAAAGGGTAGACAATTACCTGCAATAACTGAATTGTAGATAATTATAAGGACTCACAGGTCACATCTTAACTCATTATCTCATTAATAGGCTCTGCGAGCTAATTTAAAAGGATTACGGCATTCCTAATATCAGTAATCTTTTTTTTTTTGAGACCGAGTCTTGCTCTGTCGCCTAGGCTGGAGTGCAGTGGCACAATCTGGGCTCACTGCAACCTTCGCCTCCCGGGTTCAAGCCATTCTCCTGCCTCAGCCTCGCAAGTAGCTGGGACTACAGGCACCCGCACCCGTGCCTGGCTAATTTTTGTATTTTTAGTAGAGACAGGATTTCACCATGTTGGTCAGGCTGGTCTCGAACTCCTGACCTCATGATCCACCCACCTCAGTCTCCCAAAGTGCTGGGATTACAGGCCTGAGACACCACACCCAGCCAATATCAGCAATCTTATATGATGATTTTAACCATATATAGAATCACACTGGCCAAAGTGTGTGTGTGTGTGTGTGTGTGTGTGTGTGTGTGTGTGAGTTTTGATTGCCTATTCTTTTCTCACAGCCTGTAGGCAATAGTTACCAATGTTGCCACAAAAATTTAAAAGATGTTATCTGTTGCCTTTTTAGCCCAGATTGGTCAGGGGTATAATTCACCATAATCATGTCAACAATTCTAAGGCAGCAGTTGAAAGTCAGTGCTGTACTCTGTGGCTGAAAATGAACTATGAGCAAATCTCACATTGAAAAATCCCACCTGATAAGCAATGAGATTCTCAAAAGTGACTGTGATCTGGACTTCATTCAGTTTTAAGTACTTTGGTAGTTATGACAATAAAAATCACCTCTACTCCAGTTCTCCTCCTCCTCCTCCTGCTTCTCCTCCTCTCATGATAATATAGTCACAATGTCAACAACTCAAAGTATAAAGAGAAAGTCCCCCTCCCATCCTTGACTCCCATCTATCCATTCCCATCCGTGCCTTTGGTAACCATCTTCTTTTTCTTATGTATCTTTCTAGAGATTCTTTATGTATATACAAGCAAATACAAGTACATATTCTCTTCCTTCTTTACACAAAAAGTAGCAAAATATATGCACTGTTCTGTACTTTTTTCCCATTTAAAACCGTATCTTGGAGATCTTTCCATATTAGAACATATAGAGCACCTTCATTCATTTTTATAGCTACTTAATGTTCTATTTTATGAATGTCATGTAATTTATATTTCTAGTTCCCTAGTCAACTTGATGGCCATTTGAATTGTTTCTAATATTTTGCTGCTACAAACAATGCTGTGGTGAATAGCATTGTACATACGTCATTTTGCACATAAGAGTCTATCAGTAGAATAAATTGCCAAAAGTAAAATTGTTGGGTGAAAAGATAAATACTTTTTTTTTTTTTGAGATGGAGTCTCACTCTGTTGCCCAGGCTGGAGTGCAGTGGCACAGTCTTGGCTCACTGCAACCTCCGTCTCCCAGGTTCAAGCAATTCTTCTGTCTCAGCCTCCCGAGTAGCTGGACTACAGGTGCCTGCCACCACACCCGGCTAATTTTTGTATTTTTAGTAGAGACAGGGTTTCACCATATTGGTTAGGCTGGTCTCGAACTCCTGACCTCATGTGATCCACCCGTCTCAGCCTCCCAAAGTGCTGGGATTACAGGCGTGAGCCACCGTGCCCGGCCGAAAAGATAAATACTTTTAAAATTTAAATAGATAATTTGAGATTTATCTTTATAGAACTTATGTCAATATACACTCTCACCACCAATGTTTGAAATGCCTGTTTTCCCAGTCTCACTGTGAGAGTGTTATCAAACTTTGGATTTTTGTCAGTGTACTCAGTAAGTAAACATTTCTATCTTAGTGTTTTATTTTGTATTTTATTCATTATGCATGAGGCTAAGAATATTTTCATGTGTTTAAAATTTATTTATATTTCTTGTCTATCCATGTTCTTTGCCTATTTTCTGTTGGGTTACTTAGAAGTCTTATTGACCGCTAGTGACTCCTGTTATATATTAGGGAGATTACTTCTTTGTGATTTGATATGAAAACTTTTCCCTGGTTTAATATTTATTCTTCAACTTTACTTTCAGTGTTTTTTAAACATGCAGAGTAGTTTTTCGTTTTGGTACAGTTGAACTTCTTGATCTTATATAGCTTCTGGATTTTGGGTGATAGAAGGCTTTCCTTACTACAAGATGAAAGGTATTTTTCCATTTTTCTTTTAGCATTTGTGAGGTTTTTTTAAAAAAGTTAAATTTTTTACGCATTTGAAGTTAACCTAGAGAGCCATGAAGAGTGGATTCAACTTTATTTTTGTCTAAGTGGCTGCTTATTTGTCCCAGTACTGCTTATTTAGTGGTCCGTAATTTCTCCAATGACTTGAGATGTCAGTTTTATGATAGTGTATCCATATATGATTTTGAGACTATTTCTGAATGTGATATTCTACTCCATTAGCCTCTATCTGTCTCCAACTTACAGGCCAGCACTACATTGTTGTGATGACTGAGGCTTCATAACATCCTTTTACATCTAGGAGTACTGACCCACCTCCCCCTTGCTCCTTGCTCTTCTTTACATTTTTTATTGCTACTTTTGCTTCTTTCTTTTTCTATATGAACTTTTAGACTCAAATTTTTTAGCCAAAAAAGCCTATTCGTATGTTTGTTGGATTACATTAAAATTTTTAAATTAAGCGATGGAGAATTTACAGCTTTATGGTGTTGAGGATTTCTATCCAAGAGCGTGTTATATTTCCATTTGTTTAAATTTTTTGAGGGGGGTTATGTTTAGTAGCATGTTATACATTTTCCTCACATGGGCCTTGACTATTTCTTGCTAAGTTTGTTGCCAGGTATTGAATTTTTTTTGTTTCTAATAGAAATAAGGTCTTTTCTTGCACCATGTTACTTATATTGATAAAACTTGATGTTTGTAAATTAATTTTGTTCCTGACTAATTTTGTTGTATTTTCTTTTTGCTGTAGTAGATTTTTAGCATATTTCCTGGTGTTTTCAAGATATACAATTATATTTCCTGCAATAGTTCCTCTCTTCTAATTTTTATACCACTAGTTTATTTTAATCTAGTTGATTCACCCAACACACCCAGTAAAGTATTAAATAGTGTTGACATGACCATCTTTGTTTTGTTGTTTCAGAATTTAATGGAGACGCTTCTAGTGTTTCCCCATTAAGTCTGATGTTGGTATTGGGTCGAGATAATTTTTTTTTTCATGTTAAGATGGTATCTTTCTCTACCTTATTGAATGTTTTGATCAAGAATATTGTTTCAAATGCCTTTAGTGTCTATGGAGGTGATCATATGATTTCCCTCTCAAATCTATAATATTCAAATTTATTGTGATTAATTATGTAAGTAGATTTCATAATATTAAACCATACTTGCACCCTGAAATATATCCCACTTGGTTATGATGTTGAAATCTGATTGATAGTTCTTATTGAGGGTTCTTAACTTATGGTCATAAGTGATATTGATCTATAGCTTGCTTTTTTGTGTACAGTATTAAGTTTTGGTATCAATGGTATACTTGCTTCATAAAGAATTTGAAAGTTTTTTTCAATGCTTTGGAACAATTAAAAAACATTGGAATATTTACATTTTAAAAGTTTGTTCAAATTTCCCTTGTGAAATTGCCTGGGCCTGCTGTTTTTTTCAGGGGTAGGGTAACTCTTTGACAGTCTTCTCTATCTCTTCCATATAAATTGGCCTCCATCATTTCTTTGTCTTGAGGTCAGTTTTGTGTACATGGCTCTTCTGCTATTTAGGAATCTTGGATTTTTCTTCTTGTAGTTGCCTTTATAATTATAACCTTCTATGATGTCCTTTGCTCTCCATTTCTTTTTCTTTTTTTTTTTTTTTTTTTTTTTTGAGATGGAGTCTTGCTCTGTCGCCCAGGCTGGAGTGCAGTGGCACAATCTTGGCTCACTACAACCTCTGCCTCCTGGGTTCAGGTGATTCTCCTGCCTCAGCCTCCTGAGTAGCTGGGACTACAGGTGTGTGCCACCACGTCTGGCTAATTTTTTTTGTATTTTTAGTAGAGACGGGGTTTCACCATGTTAGCCAGGATGATCTTGATCTTCTGACCTCATGATCTGCCTGCCTCTGCCTCCCAAAGTGCTGGGATTATAGGCGTGAGCCACCGTGCCCGGCCTACTGGCCGTTTCTTTAGGTAGTGTCTATGACTTCCTGGTTACGAGAATAATAAAACGAGCTCAGATCCTAATACTTTATTCTTGAGAACCTGTATCTACTCTTTCAACAAACCTTTTCTGAGTGTCTGCTGTGTTCCAGACCTAGCTGAGCCTGGAAAATGCAGAGGTGAATCATAGAGACCACATGCCCTTATGAGGCTCGAAGTCCATAACCTGTGAAGGCAGTCATGGACTTTGACGGCTATGACTGTATGTTGGATGCTATGATTAGAATTTGTGCAGCAGACTGTGGGGACACACAAGAGAAGTGTCCACCCCAGGCCAGGAGGGGGTTTGTTAGGAAAGACTCTGGGAAGGTGATACTACAGCAAGTCTCAAAGGATGAGCTGTGGCCAGGAAGAATGTTCGAGGTAGAGGGGCTGGACAAAGGCTTGGAGTTGTGGAGCAGTTTGGGAGGGCTGGAAATTGGGTGCACTTGTTTGAGAGATGGGGCCTCACAAGGCTTGGATGAAAGACAAGAGGCAGATTATAAGGGCTCTTGATGGCCAGGCACAGTGGCTCATGCCTGTAATCCTGATACTTTGGGAGGCCAAGGCGGGCAGATCACTTGAGGTCGGGAGTTCGAGACCAGCCTGGCCAACATGGTGAAACCCCGTCTCCACTAAAAATATAAAAATTAGCCAGGCGTGGTGTAGTCCCAGCTACTCAGAAGGCTGAGGCAGGAGAATTGCTTGAACCTGGGAGGCAGAGGCTGCAGTGAGCCAAGATAGCGCCATTGTGCTCCAGCCTGGGCAACAAAAGGGAAACTCCGTCTCAAAAAAAAAAAAAAGGAGGGGGGAGGGTTCTCGAATGCCATATCCATGAGTGTGGCTGGCTTTCAGAGTGTGCAACCTGTACAGCCAGACAGATAGGGCCCTGTTCTCAGAAGGGCCCCATGTTTGGTGTTAGGCCTTGCTGTTACCATCTTGAAATTTCTAAATTTCATCTTTCAACTTGTGTTTTGTAACTAAAGTCTGGTGGGACAATGGTACATGCACATGAGTAGTGGAGACACACCAGGTGACAGCACTAGCACACATAGGGACAGGCCTGGCTGCTGGCTGCATGTGTGTATGTTTCAGGAGAAGTCCACGGCACTGTAGGGCTCCGAGCCAGCTGAGCTGGGCCTAGGGCCCATCACATCAGCTAAGACTGTGGCAACAGCCACAGTGACCACAGAAGAAAGCGGGTCTCTGCATGGGGACAGTGCATGGGAAGCTGCTTGCCTGTTCACTCCCAGACTGTGTTCCTTTGATAGCTACACAAATATTAACTCTCTGGCCTGAGCACTGGAACAGGAATTGCTAGTACTCACGCAGTAAACTTAGTCAGTAAATTATTACAAAATAAAAGCAAACACAAGGATATTGCAATAAAGCATAGCAGCATGTTTCAGAATTTTTTGAAGAGTTTAGAATCTCTGGTTTTTATTTATTTTATTTTTTTTAGAGACAAGGTCTCCCTCTGTCACCAAGGCTGGAGTGCAGTGGCTCAAGCTATCCTCCCGCCTTGGTCTCCCAAGTAGCTGAGACTGCAGGCATGCACTACCGTACCCAGCTAATGTTTTTATTCTGTAGAGACAGAGGTCTTGCTATGTTACCCAAGTTAGTCTCAAACTCTTGGGCTCAAGTGATTCTCTTGCCTTGGCTTCCCAAAGTGTTGGGATTACAGGCGCGAGCTACCATGCCCAGCCTCTGATTTTTAAAACTGCTGCAACATAACAAAGCAAATATCTGCAGGCTTAGGGACAGAAACCGAATATAAAAATCATTGCATTAGATTGAAAAGAGCCCTATTTTCGTAGGAAGTTTCAGATTAAGCAATTATTAACAAGGAAGACAATTTTAAAATAAATTTTTCCTTGTAATTGAAGATACAGAAATATTATACATAAACAGGACTTCTGAATTACATACAAATCATGAAACCACTTTCAGCTTCTTATTTAACCTCCACATGTTACAAGAAGTGTCAAAGAAAACATTAAAATGACATTGTGTAAGTGTACATTAAAATTAAATTCAGATTTACACAAAAATGACTTGTATGAAAAGTTAAATCTTTTTAGAAAAATAATTCCACAAGAATTATCAGTTCTAGATGTACTAAAACAGATCCAGTAACAGGTAGATCCAATAAGAGATCCACTAGAAATTACATCCCTAGCAAGATCCTTCTGAAAATTGAAAATTATAAAAAATTGTCACCTTTAATTTGCCAAGAACAATTGATATACCTTCAATTATACTGACTAAAAATGAAGATCCTAAAAGTATACATTTTGACGACCTCTTTGATTTTTGCAGAAAATGATTTGTGGAAATGATTTTGTGGAAAAATGAGCCAGAAAAATCTTATGATGAATCAAGATACCACATGAATGGAGCAATTTTTTTTTTCGAGACAAGCTCTTGCTCTGTCCCCCAGGCTGGAATGCAGTGGTGCAATCATAGCTCACTGTTACCTCGATTTCCCTGGCTCAAGCGATCCTCCTGCCTCAGCCTTCCAAGTAGCTAGGACTACAGGTGGGTACCACCACACCCAGTTAATTTTTTTATCTTTTGGAGAGACAAGGTCTCACTGTATTGCCCAGGCTGGTCTCAAACTCCAGGGCTCAACTATCCTCCTGCCTTGGCCTCCCAAAGTGCTGGGATTACAGGTGTGTGCCACTCCTCTTGGCCTAATGGAGCATTTTTATTTGTTGTATTGCATAACATTATGACACCAAAATACTACCTTTTTGCAGTTTGTAAATTTATGTTTTTACTCGTGTTACCCCTATTATGTTTTACAAGTAATGTTTTTAAAAGAAAAAACTATTTTTAGTGCTCTTAATAGCATCTTCCCCCTGCATTTTGGTTAAGGCACCTTGCATTTTAATTTTGCACGGGGCCCTGCAAATTATGCAGCTGCTCCTGCCCCTTAGGTTGGTCTACGGTACAGGTAATGTAGGTGAAGGGGCTTTAAGGAGTTTTAAACCGACACTGTCATATTCATATTTTGGAAGAGGTGTGGAAGATGAACACCCATTATGTCTCACCTTTTTTGCTGGACTGTAAGCTCTGAGAGGGCAGAGTTTGCCTCTAATCTTTGTGTCTCCCATAGGGCTTAGCACAATGCCTGGCACACGATGGGCTGTAGAGCGCATTGGTTAGGCAGGGGGATCAGAAGCCAGGCTTCTTGGCATTGAGTCCTGGTCTGCCACTTACTAACAAATTACCTAACCTCTCTTCCCTTCACTGTCCATATCTGTAAAATACAGAGTGTGATGGTTCTATTTCGCAGAGTTTTTAGGAAGACTAGATAAATACATGTGAAGTATTTAGAATAGTATCTGATATTTAGTATTCATTCAAATGTTAACTATTATCATTTTAAGTAAATATTTATTGGAAGGATTTTTAAACTTCTGTAAGCAAAAAAGAATGTGGGTGCAGTTTTAGAAACATTGAAGAAATAGAGGGTCCTGGCATGCATGCCAAGATTGCATCAACTTTTGTGACTAAAATAATAATTTATTATTTCAGCCCCTGAGAGGATTCAACCCTACACAATTACCTTTCTCCCACCTTATGGAGAGGATTGCCTAATGGAGGCGTATATAGAACTAAATAGGAATACTTTTTTGGCTAAAACAATAGGAAACTCAATTCAAAAAACTCACAATGAAATACCACTTCATGTCTGTTAGGATGGCTATTATTGGAAAATTGGGAAATTACAAGTGTTGGTAAGGATGCGGAGAAATTGGAATCCTTATGCCCTGCTGGTGGGAATATGAAATGGTGTAGTTGGTAAGGTAAACGTTATGGTAGTTCTCCCCAAAATTAAAAAGAATTACCATCTGATCCAGCAATTCAGTATATACTGAAAAAAAAATTGAAAGCAGAGACATGGACAGATATTTGCACACCCATATTCATAGCAGCATTATTTACAATAGCCCAAAGGGAGAAGCAACCCAAGTGTCTGTGGACAGATGAATGGATGAACAAAATGTGATACATACATGCAATCAAATCTTATTTAGCCTTAGAAAGGAATGATATTCTGACACATGCTCAACACAGGAGAACCTTGAAGCCATTATGCCAAGTTAAGTAAGCCAATCATGAATACTTTGTTATTCCACTCATATGAAATACTTAAAGTAGTCAAATTCATAGGAACAGAAAGTAGAATGGTGGTTGTCAGGTGGAGTGGGATGGGGAGTTATTGTTTAATAGGTAGAGATTCAGTTTTGCAGGATGAAGGAAGTTCTGGGGATGGCTGGGCGCGGTGGCTCACGTCTGTAATCCCAGCACTTTGGGAGGCCAAGGTGAGAGGATCATCTGAGTTCGAAACCAGCCTGGCCAAAATAGCAAAACCCTGTCTCTACTGAAAATACCAAAAAAAGAAAAAAAAAAATTAGCTGGGCATGGTGGCAGGCGCCTGTAATCCCAGCTACTCGGAGGCTGAGGTAGGAACATGGCTTGAACCTAGGAGGCGGAGCTTCCAGTGAGCCGAGATCTCGCCACTGCACTCCAGCCTGGGTGACAGAGCGAGACTCAGTCTCAAAAAAAAAAAAAAAAAAAAGTTCTGGAAATGGATGGCCGTGATGGTTACAAAGCAATGTGAATGTATTTAATGCTAATAAGCTGTGCAGTTAAAAATGGTTAAAACAGTAAATTTTATGTATGTTTTACCACAATTTTAAAAATCAAAATAAACCCACCAATACAAACAATAAGGAAGCGTATTGGCACATATAACTGGAGGTCCTGAGGTAGGGAGTGTTTCCTGGTTGGCTTCTCAGGGTTTCTCTGGACTTAACCTCTTTTGGGGAGGGGAAGGAGGTGTCAAGACGGCTGCCACAGTTTCTCATTCACCACAACCACATGCCAAAAAGGAAAAGTCTCTCTATTCCAGCCTTTGAAGCAAAGGGCCTGAGATTCACTCTGATTGGAAAGCCGTCACGTACTTATCCTTGAACCAATGACTGTTGGAATAATAGGCATTATTGTCTTAAGCCAACTCCAGAGCCTGCAGTTAGAGATGGGACAGCTTCCCTCCTAGGGACACAGGCTGCCTGCGAGAGGGGTGAGTGTCTGTTAGGAAGGAGGGAAAGAACAGATGGGGACGGGTAAGCAACCAGAAAGATTTACTACCTCATAGCCAGCTCAGACATATTGAAAAGGTTTTTCCAGAAGATAAGGAAGCCATTCATGGGGAGAAATTAATGTGTGTGCAAGAGCAGATAGTTTTCCTTTATTTATTAGTTCTCAGTGCCTGCTAATCTGAAGACTCAATTTTTTTGTTTGTTTGTTTTTTTGTTTGTTTGTTTGAGATGGAGTCTCACTCTGTTGCCTGGGCTGGAGTGCAGTGGAGCGATCTTGGCTCACTGCAACCTCCGCCTCCCGAGTTCAAGCAATTCTCCTGCCCCAGCCTCCCAAGTAGCTGGGACTACAAGCACCCGCCACTTAGCCCGCTAATTATTATTATTATTATTATTATTTTTTTGTATTTTTAGTAGAGACAGGGTTTCACCATGTTGGCCAGGCTGGTCTTGAACTCCTGACATTGTGATTCACCTGCCTCGGCCTCCCAAAGTGCCGGGATTACAGGCGTGAGCCATTGTGCCCAGCCAACTCAAATTTTTTCATGCATGCCTCATTGCTTTTTGGGAGAACATCTCAGCAAATGTGTTTTTCCTTGGAGTATAGTGATATTTATTAATCTAGATGTTGTTGCATTTTGTTTTTTCAAATATTTGTTGAGACCCACTTCCTCATGTCTTTCAGGCAGAGGGAACAGTGTCAGCAAAAGAAGATATGTATAAGGAGAAAAATGACAAACTACTAGTATGTGAAGTTTGATGTCAGTGGAGCGTAGTCTGCGGGTAAAGGAGTGGTAGGAGAGAAGGCTGGAAAGATAGAATGGGATCAGATCATAAAGGTCTTGAGCTAGGCAGTACTTGCTTCAACTTACTGATGTAAAACATACATACAGTCAAGAGCATGAAGTGCATTAAGCTTAAGCCAACATTCCCGCAGATTTGTACATATGTATAAACCCATAAAATCACCATGCAGATCAAGATCTAGAACATTTCCAGCACTCCAGAATGTTCCTTCACATTCCTTCCCAGATAAACAAAATGTCAATATACATCCCTGGAGGGAACAGTAGTAGTAATTCTGGCTTCTGTCACTATTAATTAGTTCTGCCTGTTCTGGTTTTTTTTCTTTCTTTGAGACAGGGTCTTGCTCTGTTGTCCAGGCTGGAGTGCAGTGATGCAATCTCAGCTCACTGCAACCTCTGCCTCCTGGGCTCAAGTGATCCTCCCACCTCAGCCTCTGGAGTAGCTAAGATTACAGGCATGCATCAGCAAACCTGGCTGATTTTTTATTTTTTATTTTTGGAGACGAGGTCTCGTTCTGTTGCCATGACAGGAGTGCAGTGGTGCAATCTCAGCCTACTGCAACCTCTGCTTCCTGGGTTCAAGCTATCCTTCTGCCTCAGCCTCCCAAGTAGCTGGGACTACATGCTCATGCCACCATGCCTGGCTAATTTTTTGTGTATTTTTAGTAGAGACGGGGTTTCACCATGTAGACCAGACTGGTCTCGAACTCCTTACCTCAGGTGATCAGCCCACCTCAGTCTCCCAAAGTGCTGGGATTACAGGTTTGAGCCACACTGCCCGGCCCCTGGCTGATTTTTAAAAACTTTTTGGTAGAGATGAGGTCTCGCTGTGTTGCTCAGGCTTGTCTTGAATTCCTGAGCTCAAGTGATCCACCCACCCTGGCCTCCCAAAGTACTGGGATTACAGGTGTGAGCCACCACACCCAGCAGAACATCATAGAAGTGAATAGAATTGTTACGGGCGGGTCTTTGTTCTTAGAGCTCCCAAGATGGGGCGGGCCGCTCCCAAAATGGTAGCAAGCCTTTTGTTCTCTGACCTGGGGTTCTTGGCCTCACGGATTCCAAGGAATGGAACCTTGGGCCATGAGGTGAGTGTTATAGCTCTGTTAGAAGCCGTGGGTCATGGAAGAGAACCGTGGAACCAGCAACTAGTGTTCAGCTCGATTAGGACAAATCCTGGGCCCTTAGTCATGCAGGAACAATGGCGTGCCTTTAGCCTGATAGGGAGTGGCAGTGGGCGCCTCGCTGGATCAGGAGTGCAGTGAACACCCTGCCGGATCTGGAGGGGTGGAAGTCAGCGGCGGGTCTGCGACGGTGGCAAACAGCAGTGGTGGACTGCGAGCGAAAGCTCAGCTCGAGCCATAACAAACACGGACCAGAAGAGTGTGCAGTTGCAAGATTTAATGGAGTGAAAACAGAGCTCCCATATAATGGGAAGGGACCCAAAGGGGGTTGCCGCTCCCTGCCGGGATGCCTGGGTTTATATCCCGATCATTGTCCCTCCCCCTGTGCTCTCAGGCGATATATGATTTGACTATTTATTTACCTCCTGCTTTTGGCCTAATTTGTATTTTAGTGAGCACTCTTTACTTCCTGATTGGTTGGGTGCGAGCTGAGTTACCAGCCCTGTGTTTAAACGTGGGTGTGGTCACCTTCCCCAGGTAGGCTTAGGAATTCTTAGTCGGCCTAGGAAATCCAGCTAGTCCTGTCTCTCAGAATGATACTACTTGCACCCTTTTTAACCTGGCTTCTTTAACTAGGCCTAATGTTCATAAGGTGCCTCTGTGTGGCTGCCTGTATCAGAGTTTGTTCGTTTTGTTGCTTGGTGTAGTATTCCATTGAACAAATATCCCACAATATGTTCATTATCTAGTTGATGGACATGTGGGTGATTTCCAGTTTGGGGCTAGTGTAAATACAGCCGTTATGAATGTTCTCGTATATGAATTTGGTGAACATGTACACTCATTTCTCTTGGGTATATTCTGAGAAGTGGGCATGCATGATCCATATTAGTGTATACTGCCCGGCAGTTCTCCAGAGTGATTGTACCAAGGGAGCTTGGATGTTAGCCTGAGGAAGACTGGGAGTGATATGATGAAACTTACTTTTAACTCTGGCAGCCACTGTGTTGAATGTACTGAATTGGGATGAGATTCTAGACAGAGAGACCTGTAAGAAATCGCAGACTAGGTGCAACCAGAGTGTCTCCTGGTTGGCTTCTCAGGGTTTCTCTGGACTTACCCTCTTTTGGGCAAGGGAAGGAGGTATTAAGATGGCTGCCACAGTTTCTCATTTACCACAGCCACATCCCAAAGAGAAAAAGAGAGCCTTTCCATTCCAGCCTTTCAAGCAAAGGGCCTGAGATTTGCTCCGATTGGAAATCCGTCACGTGCTCATCCCTGAACCAATGACTGTTGCAGGGGGAATGGAATGAATGATATCAATTGTCTTAAGTCAACTCCAGAGCCTGAAGTTAGAGATGGGGCAGCTTCCTTCCTAGGGACACGGGCTGTCTGCAGGAGGAGTGAGTATCTGTTAGGAAGGAGGAAAGGGATAGATACACAGCCCCCAGGGGTGATGAGGGATGGCGAACCCCTGAGCTCAGGCAATGGGCACAGAGGAAGAGAATGGTTTTAAGAGACAATAAGAAGGTAGAATTTTCTTGATTGTTCGGATGTGGTGGGGAGGGAGATAATGGAGTCCCAGATGACCGCCAAACCTCTGACTTGGTGTTAACAGAATGGTGGTGCCCTTGTCTAAAGGAGAGAGCACTTGAGAAGGAGCAGGTTTGAGGAAGATGAGCTCCATTTGTTTGTTTGTTTTGGACAGTTGGCAGAGCTAGCTGAGATTTTATTTTGAAAAAAAAAAAAAAAAAAGCAACAATTGAATTGTTTTGTAGCTGGAAGCATGGCCAATGGGGGTGCCCCAGGCAGTAAACTCCCCCAGCAGGTGGGCTGAGGGCTAGGGCTGAGCCTCAGGTGAGTCTCCTGTTCCTGTGCTCCACTGCACAGCGGCTTCCTCCACGGGCCCTGGGGCAGCCGCAGGAGGGGCAGGCTGGTAGGGGCTGCCATGGCCATTCACTTGGGCAGGACATCAGAGGACTTGGACACTAGCTTGCCATCTCGCGTTTCCACCTTCTTCACAACCATGGACCTGGAGAAGCTGGCGCGGCTGAAGGAGCTGGAGCCTCCACCAGTGCCAAAGCTGGAGCCCAGGCTGTAGCTAAGGCCTGTTGTAGAGGGCTTGTGAGGTGCCCGTGGGTCGAGCTCAGCCCACCTGAGTAGCCACTGGTGGTCTTCAGATGGACACTCATGTTCTGTATCCCAGACCCCAGCTAGCTCTCCTCGCCCTCCAGCAGCTTCCTGTAGGTGGCGATCTTGATGTCCAGGGCCAGCTTGACGTTCATCAGCTCCTGGTGCTCCATGGCACAGCTGCTGCACCATGTCTTGCTCGGCCCGCTGCAGGGCGGCCTCCAGCTCGACAGCTTCGTGTTGGCATCCTTAACAGCCAGCTCCCCATACTGCTCAGCATCTGCGATGGCAGCCTCCAGGGAAACCCTCTGGCCTTTGAGGCCCTCAGTCTGAGCCTGGAGCCGGCTGATGTTCCTATTAATCTCAGAGATCTCCATCTTTGCATAACGCAGGTCATTCCTATGCTTCCCAGGCAGTGTCTGCAGCTCCTCATACTTGATCTGATGCATGCCCTCAGCCTCAGCCCAGCTGCCATTGGCGATCTCCTTGTACTGCGCCTTGACCTCAGGGATGATGCTGTCCATGTCCAGGGAGCGGCTGCTGTCCATGGACAGCACCACAGATGTGTCCGAGATCTGGGACTGCAGCTCCCAGATTTCCTCTTCATATAGCTGCCTGAGGAAGTTGATCTCGTCAGTCAGCCCTTCCAGAAGAGACTCCAGCTCTACCTTGTTCATGTTAGCTTCAGCCACGTTACCTTCTTGATGAGGACAAATTCATTCTCCATCTCTGTACGCTTATTGATCTCATCCTCATACTTGTTCTTGGAGTCCTCCACCAGCCTCTGCATGTTGCCAAGCTTCAGCTTCTCCTGGCCCAGAGTGTCCAGCTACCGCCGAAGTTTGTTGATGTGGCTCTCGAATATGCTGTCCATGTCGCTCTGAGCTGTCTTCTGCTGCTGCAGGAGGCTCCACTTGGTCTCCAGCATCTTGTTCTGCTGCTCCAGGGACCGCACCTTCTCGATGAAGGAGGCAAACTTGTTGTAGAGGGTCTTGATCTGCTCCTTCTCCTGGGCGCACACAGCCTGGATGTTGGGGTTCACCTCCAGCTTAAGGGGGCTCAGCAGGTTCTGGCTGACCATGATGGCTGTGATGCCCCCCATACCACTGGCCCCACCATAGCCTCCACCCAGAGCCATGCGGGTGCCCAGGCCACCCCGGAAGCTGCTGCTGCCGCCCACTTGAGAGAAGCTCCAGGAGCTGATATGGGCACCAGGCCCGCTTGTGTAGGAGCGGCTGCTTAAGGCCTAGGGGCCAGAGGTGGACACCCTGTAGGACTTCTGGGTCACCCTGATGGACATGGTGGAGGCAGTAGTGGAGGGGTGGGTGGGCTGAACCAGGCAGAGATTCGAGAAAGCAGAGAAGCTTCTTCTAGGTCATGAGCTTCGTTTTGAACATGTTCAATCAGAGGGATCTAGGGAAGATCAAGGTGGGATCTAGGGAAGATCAAGGTGGTATCTAGTAGGCAACTGGATACATGGGATTGAACCAAGGGGATGAATCCAGGCTGGAGATTGACATTATGGAATCAAGGGAATGAGTGAACCATCCAGAGAGAGGGTATAGAAAGAGGACTCCTAGAAGATGGTGGAGAAGGCATTTCCTGAGAGGTAGGAGGAAAACCAGGAGTTTGCCACGATGACAACCAAGGGTAAGGAGAGTTTCCACCAGGGAGAAGTAGTCCACATGTCAGAGGCTGCTGGGGGCGGGGGGGGAGTCAAGAAAGGTGGGCACTGAATGGTGTCCCATGAGTGCAGAGTGGCACCTGCTTATGTGTAGTTCAGGGGCACGCATGGCCGGCCACTACCAGGCTTTCTTCAGCCTCCTCAAAGGCCCACACCAGTGTGACTGGGCTGGCTGGACTGCCTCTTCGCACCCCTGAGGCCTGGTTCATGGCCTCTCAGCCTGTGGAGAGGAGACAGGGAGAGGAAGAGGGAGCTTTAGCCTCAGTCCAGGGACGGTGTCTGAGGCCTTTCTGAGAAGTTTGTGGGGACCTCAGCTGCAGAATAGAGGGCAGCCTGCAGCCAGAGTAGAGCCAACCAAGTTCCTCCTGACACCAAAAACACTGACATTTGGACACAGTTTTCCCCTGGAGCTTCCCCCTGTGGAAATTCCCGGTTGTAAGCCATATTGACTTTAATCTCAAGTGTCAAAAAGGTTGCCCAGGAGTCTGGGAGCCAACAGCTGAAAGCACGTTTGTAAGGATGTCAGCGCAAACAAAATAGGATACAGAACATTTTTTGAGATCTGTGCCAGTGGTGGACTTTTCTGGGAAACATGACAAAAGCTGACAGTCTTAGGCAAAAAGGCGCTGATTCTTGTCATTATTAATTTATGTCCTTACTGAAAGATCAAGTTAGGGAAAGGTAAAGGGGAAGAATAGCACATGTGTGATTTCTTTGCCAGGCACAAGGGCGCTGCAGGAGGCTCCCCCTAGAGTTTAATGGGCAGCTTTATGTATTTATATGCTTTAACTGGAGCTAAAGAGGTCTGTGCCACACAATGGGCAGTTTCTAGTTGGATTTTAAAAGAAATAACTTTGATCATTTCAAAAGCAATGAAGCCTGATGCAGTGGAGAGAAAAGAAGGCAGTAATTTATGGCTACCATTAAGGACACAAAGACAAAGGTGGAGAGAACGTTTCACTAACTGAAGATTTACAAATGTGTAAAAACCACCCTTATGACCAGAAATAGCTGAGTGTCTCTCTCAGCACCAAACAAAAGGGAGTGGGAGGGAGGCGCAGACAGAAAGAGGGACGCAACCTGCCTGCCTTCACTGAAAGGGTCAAAAGAAAAACAACTACAGAAAAGTTATTTTCTCAGATAGCTCCATCAAGCAGCTGCACTAGCCACAGCCCAAAGAGGCAGGCCCCCGTGGGCATGTTCGGGGGCTGGGGTGGCAGACAGTGGGTACTGAGGGTGCAGAGGCTGGGAGCTCTGGGCTGTGGATAGGCCCCAAGAAGACATAAGAGTTTTTGTGCATGAGCTAGGTGGGGATTTTTTGGTGACATCTATTTTTTTTCTGATCTCCAAAGGAATGGTGTGTGTGTGTGTGCGCGCGTGCGTGTGCCTGCATATATACATATGTGTATGTATATAATCGCAGGAGAAAATTGAATAAATACGGAGAAGCTCAGTGAAGAACATTACTATCCCTAAGTGTGATGTTTGGTTGCGTCCGGAAATTGTTACTATATTTGTTCCTGGAGTGATGGTGGGTGTATTGGGCTCCAGCCATCCGTGTCAAGTGTGATATGGGAAGACCCTGTGTACCTGTTCCCTTGCAAGGACTGTCTTTCATGGAAGGCTAGGTGCTAGGCCCTGCCTGTGTTTGAAGCTAGCCAGACCTGATGTTTATGAGTTCAGGTGATCGTAAATGCCACCTGTACTCCGGCAAAGTCGGGGCTGCTGTCTGTTGTCTCTGGTGGCTCACCTTTGACCTCTAGCCCCCTTCCCCTTAGGCTGCCCTGAGATATACATAAGTAGCTTGCAGGGATTCTAGGCCCAGTGTGCCCCACAGTGGGACAAGTGGACCAGTGCCCTCAGGGCTGTGGGATGGAGGATCCCAGAGGGCCTGGGGTGGGCAGTGTGGAGAAGGGTGCAGAGGGTGTGCTGGGGTGGGCAGAGAAGCCAGGGTCACCTTCTCCATTCAAACAGCTGTTTTCCCGAATTGGAAGTCACCCCCAATTCCTTCCACTCCCACCTCCCACCTCCCACGTGGAAAGCCCCAAGATGGCTTTGGGGTTTGGGGACTATACGGAACACTTTCTGGGCGCCCTGACCCCGAATATTTCAATCTAGAAGGGCTGTTTGTCCTCACATGAGGGCCTGGGTCGAGTTGTAACACACTGGAACAGGCGCGGCACCGAGGGCTCCGAGCGTTGGAGCGGAGCGGGGATGCGGGGGGCAGCGGGCTGGGTGCCAGGGCTGCGCGGGGCGCGAGGCACGGTGCTGCCGCCCCGCCAGGCTGACAGCCGCGCTCGGGCCACCGCGGCCGCGCCCCCTCCACCCGAGGCCGGGGAGGGGACGGGAGGAGGCCGGGCGGGGCGGCACTGCTCCCGCCTGCGCTTCCCGCCCCGGCCCGGGAGGGACCGTGTGAAAATGAGGCCGGGGCTCGGGGGGCGGGCGGGGCCGGGCCGGGGGTGGCAGCGGCAGCGGGCAGGGCGTCCGCGCACACCTCCCCGCGCCGCCGCCGCCACCGCCCGCACTCCGCCGCCTCTGCCCGCAACCGCTGAGCCATCCATGGGGGTCGCGGGCCGCAACCGTCCCGGGGCGGCCTGGGCGGTGCTGCTGCTGCTGCTGCTGCTGCCGCCACTGCTGCTGCTGGCGGGGGCCGTCCCGCCGGGTCGGGGCCGTGCCGCGGGGCCGCAGGAGGGTGAGTGTCCGGCCGCGGGGGCGCACCTGGCACAGCAGGCAGGGCCAGGAAGAGTGTTTAGGTCCCCGGCGGAGTCCAGAGCCGGGCGCGCGGGGCTCGGGGCTGGCGGCTGCAGCTCCGCGGGGGCCTCTGCTCCCCCCGGGACCTCACCCGCCGGCCGGGCCAAGGCGCCACGACCGCTGGGGCCCTGAGTCCTTCGGCCCGGCCTCGGACCCGGAGCTGCTGACGGTTCCCGCCCCGGTCCGGATGCCTCCAGAGCGCCTGCTAGTCAGACCGTCGCCGGCGAGCAGGCAGGAGGGTGCGGACCCTGGCCTTGGGGTCCCGCGCCTCAGCGTAGGCGGGGAAACTGAGGGCCGGGCCGGGCACATCCGCGAGGCGGTGGCAGCTTTGCCGTTTCTTTCTTTGGGGGCCGGCAAGTTCTGCTGATGGCTTCGGGGTGGGCTCCAGAGACTTTTCTGTCAGCGGAACAGCGCCTGTTCCGATCTGGGAATTACCCTGAAGCAGCAACAAGCCTAGGTTTTCAGCAGAGAACTTTGGTTTCCAGAGAGGACTCTGGACGTGCTGTGCTTACTGGACTTGCAATACTTTCAAAATGCTTTTGTTTTTAATTAATATCCTGGAGTAGTGTCAACCCAGGAAATACTTCTGCCAAGGCGGGTTTCCAGGTTGAGAGGATGGGCAGGGGTGGGAGTGCAGGGGGCCGGCCATGGGGACACCATCCCCGCTTCGCAGCATCTGAGAGCCCTGGATGACATCTGCTCCGATCCCGGGGCAGACTTCCCATAAATACTCTAAACCAGCGGGGTGCAATCTTTTGGCTTACCTGGGCCACAGTGGAAGAAGAAGAATTGGGCCACACATAAAATATACCAACACAAACGACAGCTGATGAGCAAAAAAAAAAAATAAATAAATAAATAAAAAAAAAATCTCATAATGTTTTAAGAAAGTTTATGAATTTGCATTGGGCCGCATTCAAAACTGTCCTGGGCTGCACGTAGCCCACGGGCTGTGTTGGACAAGCTTGCTCTGAGCTCCGAGAAAGCTGACAGACAGCTGCTTGGTGTTCAGAGCTTGTCTGTCCGTTTGGTCCTTTCCTCCTTTAGCGGGCATGTAGGTACTATTGCCTACTCACATGCCAGGTACTGCGCTGGCTTGGCATAAGGGACACAGACGCAGTCTGTTGTCAAGACATTGTCTAGTGGAGAGAGAGGAAGGAAAACAGTGACAACCCTGCCTGATGTGTGCATGCAAAGCCATACATATGCGAGCACTTGGTGAGGGCAGCTACAATGGGGGTCATGGCAGGCTTCCTGGAGGAGGTGGATTTGAGCTAAGTCCTGAAGGCCAGTAGGTGATGGTGGGGGTAATTTCACGTAGAGTGTCCGGGCTGTTCCTGGAAACAGGGACCCAGAAACAGTTTGGTTTATCCCAGGGATCCCAAGCAGCTGTAGCTTGTGAGGAGTGAAGCGGGGTGGGCTGGTGAGGATGATGCCAGACAGGGCCGAGGCCAGATCACACATGGCCTGGGAGCCTGTACCAGGTGTCAGCTGTGCTCTTTTGCAGATGTAGATGAGTGTGCCCAAGGGCTAGATGACTGCCATGCCGACGCCCTGTGTCAGAACACACCCACCTCCTACAAGTGCTCCTGCAAGCCTGGCTACCAAGGGGAAGGCAGGCAGTGTGAGGGTAAGTGCCTTGGGGACCATGTGGGGGGACTGTAGGGAAGCTCCTACCTCCTTAGCTCTTGCAGTGGCCACTTATGTTGGTAAAAGTACTGCCCCTCCTCTCCCTTTCCCCCAGCCCCTGAATCACATCACCTGCTCTCTGAAATATATTTCAGATCTTGGACTGGAAACATTAGGTCTTCCCCAGAGCTGCTCACACAGTTTTATCTGGCTCTGAAATGTCCTTTTGTCTAGCTTCTGGAAAAGAAAAGAGATGTGTTAGTATCTTTGGGTCCCACTCAGTTTTGGGGCAGAAAGTAAACATCCATGCTGATCAGGAGAGCCATGCCTGCCAGAGCAGGGCTGATCCTGCACCTCCCTGGGGCGGTTTGTACCTTTGCCCTGAAGTCTGAGTGCTAGAGAGTCCTGCCCTCCCCTACCAGCTCAGGAGGCTCCATCCTGTTTATGGCTTTGGCCACAATGTTTGGCATTGTGACGTGCCAAGCTTCAGAGTACACCAAGGACCTTCCTCGTTTGGAGTTACAGGTTCACTCTGGAGAGATGTGTGCAGAGGGGCATTTTAGCCCATAGAGCTGCAGGTCTGAGAACCTGTGGTTTGGACTCTGCCATTTTATAATCTGGACTAGAGTCATGAACTGTGAAGTTCATAGCTGGCCAGAGACTGGACACTCGAGGCTGTTCCTGGAGATGGAAATCATGACACATTGGAGCTGACTGGGCTATTCAGGTAGCTCTGGGCCAATGCTATTACTCATTTCACAGATGGGGACACTGAGGGCCAGAGGAGTTGTGGCCATGATCACACAAGTTGCCTGCAAGTGAAAGAAAGTCAGGTCTCCACCCCTAGCTCTGTCCCCAACCCCACGTTTCTCATATTTACTCAGCCTGCTGCTGTCCTTCTTTGGATGAGTGAGAAATCCCACTGTCTATAGTCATCCCTTGCAGGAAGAAATTAGATGAGGAGCACTGAACTCATCTCTGAGTATCCCTCCTTGCTCCTGGACCCAACCTTGACAAGTATGTTGGTGGCCCCTTCCTCTTCGAGAGGTTTTAAACTCTTTAGAACTTGGGCTTAACTCCCATGGGAATTGATCTTCTGAATACTTGCAGGATCTAAAGCTACACAATGAGTAAGAAAGTCCTTCCAAGTCTCTTTCCACTTCGAAAAACATATTAACTTCTTTAGATGAGGAGGAAAACTTTTTTGAGACAGAGCTTTGCTCTTGTTACCCAGGCTGGAGTGCAATGGCGCGATCTCAGCTCACTGAAGCCTCCTCATCCCCGGCCAGGAGTGTGAGACCAAGCAATTCTCCTGCCTCAGCCTCCCAAGTAGCTGGGATTACAGGCGCCTGCCACCATGTCCAGCTAATTTTTGTATTTTTAGGACAGACGGGGTTTCACCATGTTGGCCAGGCTGGTCTCAAACTCCTGACCTCAGGTGATCCACTGGCCTCGGCCTCCCGAAGTGTTGGGATTACAGGCATGAGCCACTATGCCCACCCAGAGGAGGAAAACTTTTAATGAGTGTCTATTCTGGTGCCATTTAATGGCCTAGTGTCCAGACCCTGATGTTTCAAACCAATCTGTTTCATACTGTGGCCTCTGAGTAATAAAGATTCTAAATATTGGAACAGTATATAATGCTCAGCAGTGCCTGGTACATGGTAGACACTGAATAGACATCCTTATTTTTGAATAAGTGATTGTGTAAGATGGGCTCAGTCTACTAGCACCTTGACACAAAGTCTTTTCCAACAAACAGACAAACCCACAAATGAAATATCTAGATACAGAATATACAGATGACCAAGTAGGTAAGTGACTGTCAGATGCTTTTGCAGTGTTGTAGCAATGACCTGATCCTCCCTATCCACCCATCTCCTTGTCTTAGCATAGCTGAGACAAGAAATGGGATCTTTACAATGAACTTTGTTACAAAGGAAGGGAAGACCAAAAGAAAATATAGACAGCAAATATGAATAACAGATGGGATTATGACGGGCAAGTTTGGATCTGGTGACACCCCTTGGGATATCATTCAGGGAGCTCCCCTTTGTGCATGAGGAGTGAGGCTCCCACCGCTCCCATTGGAGAAGGTGTGGTCCTGGTCAGGTGCATAGCAAGTGGGGTTGGTGATCCATCCATGAAGTAGCTCACGCTCTCTCTCTCTTTCTCTCTCTCTTCCCCCCTCCCCCTGCCATGTCATGGGAGGCCAAAAGGCTATCTCTCCCCAGAACATTTATCTGCTGATTCCTCCATACCACACACTTTCGGTATTAAATATTCTATTTGCTGTACTGGAATTCACACATGTTGGTACCCTGCTTTGGAAACAAATGTTCACTTCTTTACTATGTGGATAACTCACGTCCTCCAGTTGCTGTGTGCTCTCTGGTGGCACAAAACCATTCCACTGACTTTATTTAGATAAAGTACACTTTTAGTAAATGATGTTAAATGACAATTGGCAAGAGTTTCCTTACTCTTGGCTTTTGAGTTTGATATATTTCAAATGAAATTGAATTGCTAACAGTTTATAGTTGAATTGTTAAAAGTCTATTATTTAGTTTAAAATAAC
The DNA here is from genome assembly GCF_000001405.40 of Homo sapiens. Lineage (NCBI taxonomy): Eukaryota > Metazoa > Chordata > Mammalia > Primates > Hominidae > Homo > Homo sapiens. Next base: position 9,087,129 of record NC_000011.10, on the reverse strand, counting down.
TAATGATTGACTGGCATTGTGCCATATATATATATAAATTTATTTTAAAATGATATGTGATTGTTATAAAAAGTCAAATAATACAAAATGTGTAAAATAAAAAATTAAAGAGCCTCCCATCCATTTATCCACAGATAGTCATGGTTAACAGTGAGCATACATCCTTTGTACTGTCGTTTGGAACTCAAACCCTAGAAGAATTTGATCTTTTGAATATTTGTAGTATTTACAATACTAGTAAGTAAGGATGTCCCTCTTTTTTTTTTTTTTTTTTTTTGAGATAGAGTCTTGCTCTGTCACCCAGGCTGGAATGCAGTGGTGCAGTCTTGGCTCACTGCAACCTCCGCCTCCCAGGTTCAAGCAATTCTCCTGCTTCAACCTCCCTAGTAGCTGGAATTACAGGCGTGCACCACCACACCCGGCTAATTTTTGTATTTTTAGTAGAGATGGGGTTTCACCATGTTGGCCAGGCTGGTCTCGAACTCCTGACCTCAGATGATCCACCCACCTTGGCCTCCCAAAGTGCTGGGATTATAGGCGTGAGCCACTGCGCCCGGCCAGGATGTCCCTCTTAGTTTGGATTTCTTGGTATAGGAGTACAGAAATGGAAATTTTCTCCCAAGAAGGAAAAGGAGAGGAAATGAGGATTGCAAGGATTCAAAGATGTAGATATACAAAGATGTAACTCCTTTATCCATTTCTTGGCCTATTAATTTTTGAGCCTCTTGGGACCAACCTATGGTATCATTTGGGTTGTGATTATTGCCAGCTTCACTACTCATATTTAAGTTCAGGGATGAGGATCAGGTTTACTCAGAGTAACTAGAATTTTATCTTCCATAAAGTTTTCTTCTGCCAAAATGTTGGAGAAATGTGTGAGCCCTGAATAAGTGGGTTTAAAAATAATGTGATTCAGACGTTGCTTTAGGTAATCTTTTATTCTAAATGATCTTTGCTTATTTGCTTATTTATTGTATGGTTCTTACTTCTCAGTTTGAGGAATTGAATTGGCTCACGCCTGTAATCCTAGCACTTTGGGCGGCTGAGGCAGGAGGATACCTTGAGCTCAAGGGTTTGAGACCAGCCTGGGCAACATAGTGAGACCTTCTCTCTACTAAAGGTCAAAATAATTAGCTGGGTGTAGTGGTGCGTGCCTATAGTACTAGCTACTCCAGAGGCTGAGGTGGGAGGATCACTTGAGCCCAGGAGGTGGAGGTTGCAGTGAGCTGTGATTGCGCCACTGCACTCCAGCCTGGGCAACAGAGCAAGACACTCTGTCTTAAAAAAAAAAAAAAAAAAAAACTAAAGAGATTGAATAAAGTTTAACAGGGATGAATCTAAAGTTGGCCTTTGTACAAGATGCTATATTTTTCTTTTCTTTTCTTTTTTAATTTTTTTATTTTTGAGACACAGTCTCGCTTTGTCACCCAGGCTGGAGTGCAGTGGCGTGATGTTGGCTTATTGCAACCTCCGCCTCCCAGGTTCAAGTTATTCTCCTTCCTCAGCCTCCCCAGTAGCTGGGACTACAGGCGCCCACCACCACGCCTGGCTAATTTTTTGTATTTTTAGCAAAGACGGGGTTTCACCGTGTTAGCCAGGATGGTCTCTATCTCCTGACCTCATGATCCGCCTGCCTTGGCCTCCCAAAGTGCTGGGATTACATGCATGAGCCACCGCACCCAGCCTATATTTTTCTTTTTAAAAAACTTTTTATTTGGACATAATTTTAAATTTCAGAAAAGTTGCAAAAATAGTGCAGAGTTCATCTGTGTATATATATGCCCTTCATTCATTTTACCCTAATGTTAACAACTTACATAACTATAGTACAATTATCAAAACCAGGAAATCAACACTGGCACAATGCTATTAAGTAAACTACAAACTTTATTCAAATTTCACCATTTTTCCCTACCATTCTTTTTTTGTTCCAGAATCCAAGTAAAGTCCCACATTAGATTTAGCAGTTGTGTCTCTTGTCTCCTCCAGTCTGTGACAGTTCCTCAGTCTTTCCTGACATTGACACTTTTGATGAGTACTGCTCACTTCATTTGTCTTAATGTCATTATAAGAATTGATATGAGGCCAGGTGCAGTGGCTCATGCTTGTAATCCTAACACTTTGAGATGCCAAGGAGGGAGGCTTACATGAGGCCAGGAGTGTGAGATAAGCCTGGGCAACATAGTGAGATGCCTGTCTCTAAAACAAAACAAAACAAAACAAAAAATTGCTGGTGTGGTGATGTGTGCCTGTAGTCCCTGCTACTCAGGAGGCTGAGGCAGGAGGATCACTTGAGCCCAGGAGTTTGCAGTGAGCTATGATGGCACCACTGCACTCCAGCCTGGGTGACAAAATGAGACGCTGTCTCAAAAAACAATAATTGATATAAGAGAATGTCTTTGTTTTTTTCATGATAAAATTGAGGTTATGAGTTTTTGGCCAGGCTGCTACAGAGGTGCTGTTGTATCCTTTTCAGTGTAGCACATCATGGGCACATGATGTTAACATGTCCCATTCTTGATGATGTTAACCTTGATTGCCTGAGCAAGATGGGGTTTACTGGGTTTTCTCTGCTACAAAATTACTATATATTTTTTTTTCCCCTTTGCAATAGATACATTTCTTAGGGGAGATACTTTGAGGCCAATATCCTGTTTCTCCTCAAATCTTCATCCACTGATGTTAGCATCCAACTGTGGATCTTGCCTGCAATAGTTATTACTGTGATGTGTGTCTCCTGGTAATTTTGCATTTCTTTAATTCCTTAAACATGTGTTAATTGAAATTCTTCTGTAAGGAAGATCTCTCCCTCGTCCCCACTTATTTATTAATTTATACCACTATGTACTGATGCATATTTACTTTATTACATCTATATTTATTTTTGGCTCAAATTGTTTGCTTTAGCCATTGGAAGCTCCCCACACATTGTCTCCTGTGTCATTTTGACGTCACATTTTTGAGGACTTCCTAACTTTCTGGTACCACAACATGCTCTAGAATCATCTTATAGCTTCTCCTCCCTAGGCCTGGAATGAACTGCTTCTCCAAGGAGCTCTGATTCCTTTTAATGGAAGTGGTCTATAGAAACCAAGATCTGGATGTTTGGTGTTGTCATTGCTACTAGGGTGTCATCATTCCTACCTGGGAAATACATGTACGCATACTCATCCACGCATGCACACGTATCTATATTTATTCCTTTTATTTATTCATCTGTATATATATTAAAAACAATTAGTTAACACTGATACTTTGGATTCCAAACCATTACCACAAGATTCATTCTAGGCCGGATGCAGTGGCTCACGTCTGTAATCCCAGCACTTTGGGAGGCCGAGGCGGGTGGGTCACAAGGTCAGGAGTTCAAGACCAGCCTGGCCAAGATAGTGAAACCCCGTCTCTACTAAAAGTACAAAAATTACAGCACGCCTGTAATCCCAGCTACTCGGGAGGCTGAGGCAGGAGAATCGCTTGAACCTGGGGGGCGGAGGTTGCAGTGAGCCAAGATCGTGCCACTGCACTCCAGCCTGGGTGACAGAGTGAGACTCCATCTCAAAAAAAAAAAAAAAAATTCATTCTATTCTCTCTTTGCTTATTCGTAACTTTCTCCAACAGTGAGAAATCTGGCGCTCATTATCTGTAATGTGTTTACCTCTTTGTTCAGTCCTAATACACGGGAGAGATATTTACAGAATTATAAGTCCATAACCCTGTGAGTAAAGCAGATTTACTAACTAAAGTACAATATTTACTAGAGTATAGCATACAGCTATTTTGTTTTTAGCCTTAAAGCATCCAAGCAAGGTGTTGTTTTTCATAGTGTTATTTAGGTCAATATTTTCCTTCCCCATCCTCTTCAGTATGGTTATACTATTAGTTTATAATACATTAGGTTCATTTGTTTCTTTTCGTATTCCACTTTTATTCACTTCCATCCCCTCCTTCCATGCATTTCCCTTATTCCTTAAACATGTATTAATTGTATGTATACAATTAATTGTATTCATTCTTTCCACCCTTTCCCCGTGCCCTGTGGGTCACCAATCTCTGTAGTTTCTGGTTTTACCTTTCTATATTTATTTTGCACTAATAAGCAGATAAATGTATAATTTTAGATTTCAGAAAAGTTGCAACTTTTTAACAACTTTACTGAGGTGTAATTAACATACTATAATATTCACCAATTTTAATTGTGCAAGTCAGTGATTTTTAGTAAATCAGCTGAATTGTGCAACCATCACAATACAAACATTTTCCTCATCTCAGTAAGATTCCCCGTGTTCTTGTACAGCTAATCCTCATTCCCAGTCCCAGCCTCAAGCAACCAGTAATCTACTTTCTGTATCTGTATATTTGCCTTTTCTGGACATTTCACGTAAGTGGAATCATACAATATGCGGTCTTTTGTGTTGGATTCTTTCACTTAGCAAAATGCTTTTGAGGTTTGTCCATGTGGTAGCTTATATCAGCATTTCATTCATTTTTATCGTTTAATAGTAGTCCATTGTATGAATATACCATTTTTTTTGCCCATTTATCAGTTAATAGGCATTTTGATTGTTTCTACTTTGGGGCTATTATAAATAATATTGCTGTGAACACTTGCATGAAAGTCTTTGTATAGACATAAATTTTCATTTCTTCTGGGTATATACCTAGGAGTGGGATTGCTGGGTCATATGTTGTATTTGTGTTTAAATTTTTAAGAAACTGCCGAGGAGATAATTTCTTGGATATCACACCAAAGCCACATACAACAAAAGAAAAAATAGACAAATTGGACTTCCTGAAAATTTAAAAATTTTGAACATCAAAAGACAATATCAACAGAATATAAAGGCGACTCACAGAATAGATGAAAATGTTTGCAAATCATGTATCTTATAAGGGATTAATATCCAGAATAGGTAGAGAACTGTTAATGTTCAACATTAAAAATCAAATAACGCAATTAAAAAGTGGGCAAAATATCTGAATAGACATTTCAGCTAAGATGATATGCAAATGGACAATAAGCCCATGAAAAGATGTTCGACATCTCTGATGATTAGGGAAACGCAAATCAAAACTACAAATGGGAGCTACTATTCATATCCATTAGGATGGCTACTATCAAAAAAATAGAAAATAATAAATGTCTGTGAGGATGTGGAAAAATTGGAAGCTTTGTGCACCTGTTGGTGGGAATTTAAAATGGTATAGCCACTATGGAAAACAGTGTGGAAGTTCCTCAAAAAATTTTAAAAAAAATTACCATAGGACCCAGCAATTCCACTTCTGGGTGTATACCCAAAAGAGTGGAAAGCAGGGTCTGGAGGAGATATTCGTATGCCCATGCTCGTAGCATTATTCACAGTAGCCAAAAGGTGGAAGCAACCCAAGTGTCCATCGACAGATGAGTGGATAAGCAACATGTGTTATGTACAAAATAATATTTTTGGTTTTTTTTTTTTGTTTGTTTGTTTGTTTTTTTGAGGTGGGATCTTGCTATCTTGCTCAGGCTAGTCTCAAACTCCTGGTCTCAAGCGATCCTCTCACCTCAGCCTCCCAAGTGGCTGAGATTACAGGCATGATATAATAGAATATTAGCCTTAAAAAAGGAAATCCTGTCACATGCTACAACATGGTGGAATCTTGAGAACATTATGCTAAGTGAAACAAGCCAGTCACAAAAAGACAAATACTGTTTGATTCTAAATATATGAGATACTTAGAGTAGTCAAAATCATAGAGTCAGAAAGTAGAATGGTGGTTAACAGGGCCTGAGGGAAGAGAGGGAAGAGGAAATGAGGAGTTATTGTTAAATGGGCACAGAGTTTCAGTTTTACAAGATAAAAAGAGTTAGGGAGATGAATAGTGGTGATGGTTTCACAACATTATGATTGTTTTAATTATATCCAACTGTACATTTACAGAAAGAAAAGAAAAGATACTGCCAAACTCTTGTCCAAAGTGGCTATGCCGTTTTACATACCCATCAACATCCTGTCAACAATGTATGTGTTCCCATTTATCCACATCCTTGTCAACATTTGTTATTGTCTATCTTTTTAATTATTACCATTCTAGTGAATGTGAAATGGCATCTCATTGTGGTTTTAATTTGCATATCCCTAATAACTAATGGCGTTGAGCATTTTTTCATGTGCTTGTTGGTCATTTGCATATCATTGTAGCTGAAATGTCTATTCGAATATTTCGCCCATTTTAAAATTAGGCTGTTTATCTTCTTATTGAGTTGTAAGAGTTTTTTTTCAGTTCTTTATAAGGTGTGTGATTTGCAAATATTTTCTACCAATCTGTGGCTTGTCTTCATTTTCTTAATGATACCGTTTGAAGAGCAAAAGTTCTTAATTTTGATAAACTCCAGTTTATTAATTTTAAAAATTGTGATTGTGTATTTGGTATTATATCAAAGAAATTTTAACCTCATCCAATGTCTTAAAGATTTTTCTCTTTTTCTCCTTTTTTTTTTTTTGAGATAGGGTCTTGCTCTGTCACCCAGGCTGGAATGCAGTGGTGTCATCTTGGCTCACTGCGGTCTCAATGTTGGGCTCAGGCAATCCTCCTGCCTCAGCCTCCCAAGCAGCTGGGACTATAGGCGTGCACCACCACATCTGGCTAATTTTGTTTATTTTTTGTAGAGATGGGGGTCTCACTATGTTGCCCAGGTCAGCAACTCCTGGGCTCAATTGATCCTCCTGGCTCAGGCTCCCAAAGTGCACCCAAAGATCATGCCTAGCCATCCCAATATCTTAAAGATGTTTATCACATATTTTTTCTGAAAAGCTTTATATTGTTAATGCTTACATTTGGATCCCTGATCCATTTTGAGTTGATTTTTGTGTATGGGATGAGATAAGGATCTAAAGTCATCTTTTTGAATATGGATATCCAATTAAACCAGTGCCATTTGTTGAAAAGACAAGCATTTCTCCCAATGGATTACCTTAGCACTTTTGTTTAAAATCAAGTGGCCCTAAGTAGAAAGATTTATTTCTGGACTCTCAGTTCTGTTCCATTGATCTATACCTCTGTCTTTATGCCTGTACCATGCTGTCTTGATAACTGTAGGTTTATAGTGAGTTAAAGTCCCCCAAATTTGTTCTCCTTTTTCAAAATTGTTTTTGCTCTTCTGAGTCTTTTGCATTTCCATATAAATTTTACAATAAGCTTGTCAAGTTCTACAAAAACGTATCCTGAAATTTTGTGTGTGTTTTTATATCTTCTTATTTCTTACATGAAGATAACGTATTACAGATACTCTTTTAATTTTGATTTTTTCATTTAATAGTATATCCTAGAAATTACTCCAAATCAGTTCACAGAGATCTTCCTCATTCTCTCTTTTTTTTAAAATAGCTGCATAGTAGTCCATGGAGTAGAGGTACCATAATTTATTAAACTATTTTTCTATCTATGGAAACTTAGGTTGTTTACAGTATTTTGTCATTAGAAACAACACTGCAGTGAATAACCTTGTGCGTATTTGTTTTCCTATTGTTAGGGATGTATTTTCAGGTAGATTCCTAGAAGTGGAATGGCTGGAGGTAAGTGCATATGTTTTCACATCAAAGAAATAGCACCTGTCTGGTTTACTTCTGTTTTATTCCTCAGACATCGATGAATGTGGAAATGAGCTCAATGGAGGCTGTGTCCATGACTGTTTGAATATTCCAGGCAATTATCGTTGCACTTGTTTTGATGGCTTCATGTTGGCTCATGACGGTCATAATTGTCTTGGTAAGGAAGGCATTTGGAAATGGCAATTCTCCTTCACTCTCCCACCCCTTTCTTTCCCTTGGTGAAGACCTCCTCATGAAGACAAAAACGGGCTCAGAGCCTTGTGTTTTCTGCTCCCTTGGAAGTCAGACTCCGTGATAGAAAATGAGGTAAAATGTTTCAGTTTTATGTGATCATTCATAACATAAATCTTCTGTTAGTCCAAGGAGATGGGTGACATCGTCATTACTATTTATTGACTTTCTAGCATTGGCTTGTCACCTTTTAAGATCTTTGGTCTTGTGTTGAGAGTCCTGACTTATAACCATTTTTTTTTTCAATGCTGTAAGTGTTTCTGTTTTAGAATTTGGAAAAACTCCTTGTCCTGAAGACTCCAAATGTGTGCTGGGGTTACAGCCAGCTAGACCCCCCTTTTTTTCTTGAAAAAGAGAGAAACTAAAACAGAAATCTTCCATGAACATCTTCCTAGTATTCCACAAAACAGAAACATCTGTTGGAGTTTTAGCCCCTGAGTTAGAGACTACAAAGAGTGTTGTTTACATTCATTCCTTATGCCAGGAATAAAACAGAACTTAGAAGCAGCTAGCAGCTGCATGGGGTTGAGTGTTGGATAGTCTTAGAGGATGCAGCACTCCTGGCAGATAGGTATTTGTGGTTTGCTTTTTAAGGCTGGTATTAGTTGTACAGGAGAACATCATGGGAAAATATGGCATCAGCGTCCTTTGACACTCACGACCCTTCATATGGATAACCTGCTGAGGTCTACTTGGCCAACTAAGGAGCAGCGGAGCCAGGCCCTGGCTCTGTGGGGACAGCCATTCAGACGCCCCCTTATGGTGTGGTAGGAATGGCCCTTTGATTAAATGCTTTGAGATCTGCATAAAAGGAACTAGAAAAAGTCCAGACAGAACTTGTGTGTTGTGTGTTGGGGCTCTGGAGTGGAGGAGAGGTTATTTCCATTTGGGACTTAACCCTCATATGACCTTTATCCCACTTCAGTGTCTCCTGGAGCTCCATCCTGATGGACTCTGTTATTTCCTGTTGGTGCCCTGTGTGAGAGATCAGGCTTTGGGTGACACATCACGTGGCTTTCCAAGCCTGCAGCTGTCAGTAAGACTTGATTGCAGGTGAGGGAACCAGTAATCTTCTAGGCAGTCAGTACCACAAAAAGGCATATTTGAGAGACAATCCTGAGAGCAGGAATCAGTATTAATTAAAAACTCAGACAAATGGAATCACTTTCAGTGTGTGATTTGTTGGGAGGCATACCACATGGGTTGCTCTTTTTTTTTTCCATTTTCAGGGGGAAATTTCCCTTTGACTTGCCAATGAGGGCATTTGGAGGATGCATATCTGATGGCAGACTTCATCATTACTGTTGTGCTGTAATCCACAGCCCGGGGTGGCGGGGGGTAGTATAAGGTTCCTAAGAGCAAGAACCATCCAGGGGCTAGGAACCTGGGCCAGGGCTGGTGGGCGGCTCTGAGTATTGGCCTGCTTGGAAACCCTGAAGGCAGAGTCTTTTCTTGCCTTTGCCGATAACACAGATATTATCAGCACAGAGTATCTCCATTTCCCCTCTGTGGGATCTCTTTGTGGACTCAGTAGCAAGGATCTGCCTTGCAGAGAGACCTTGAGCATCTACTGAGTATTTCTGAATGGGGTAAGGACTCTTTAAAAGGAAGGCACAAGAAAATGAAGTACATTTGGAAGAGTAGGACCGGCACACATAGACACTTCCCCAACATTCAGATTTGAAAGGGCTGACCCAGTTTGTGGCAAAAAAGAAGCTCAGAGCCCTAACTTCTCCTGAGTTCTCTGGGATGACCCCTTCAATCTCCTCAGCCTCCTAACCACACATTAGCCACAAATATATTAGCTAGAAGACACAAGGTACAAACACCACTAAGCTTTGGCACTAAACACAGAGCACTTCAAGATCCTGAATGCCTGCAAGTCTGAAAAACGAAAGGCAGCTCTTCTATACAGCTCACCCCATCTGCCTTCAGTTTCTATTTTTGGAGTGTCTGGGAGCTCATCATAGCTGTTTGGCTTTGTAGCAGTTGTTCTTAACTCTGGCCGCACACTGGAATCACCTGAGAAGCTTAAAAAAAACCATCACCTAGACTTCATCCAAGACTGGCTCTGTCAGTATCTCTGGAGGTGGCATCCAGGCCTCAGGGTTCTGACACATAGCCAGGGTTGAGAACCACTGTTTTATGGTCTGGAGAAGCTCACCAGCTTAGTGATAGATATTTGCGTACGTGGACACACACTTTTGTATTTATCCAACCACAGAGCATCAGCTAGCTGAATGACACATTTCTGATTGCCTTGGGGAAAAGAAATTGGGGGTTAAACGTGGGGTGGGGGTGTGGTAGCTCAGAGGGGAGCACATCTTTACTCGCAGCCAATCCAGGAGTTGGTGTTCAGGGAGACAGACCTCTCCTGCTCACCTTGAGTCTTGCTGTGGAACACCTAGGCCAGGTGTGTTCCAGCACGGCTCATCCTCTGGAATGTGCTTCCTTCACCCTTTGGCATAGACAAGGGCAAGTTTGTTAGGCTTCAGGGGATGGCTTGAGTCCCATCAGTTTAGTCAGACATCTGCTCAGTAGTGTGGGAGGACAGAGGACTATAAGATCTGAAGCTTGAAACCAGATAACAGATATTTAAATGTGAGGTTTTATTATTATGATTATTATGGATATGCCCAGGAGCTAGTGATTAGCACATGAGAAATTAGACTGGAGAAAATAAATTGATTTTTTATATCAGCCTTCTCTTTGAGCCTTTGTTGTCTGAAACTTCTCTGGAAGTTTCTCTTCTCTGGCTCGGGTGATGCTATCCTCTCCTGCTTGTTTGTTCATGCATTGAATAGTTAATGAGCGCCTGCTGTATTCCAGGGCTGTGCTAATTAAAACAAAAATCTCTGTCCTCAAGGAGTTTGCAATCTAGTAGAGGTAGATGAGTAAAGGATTTTGAGGCTGCAAGTCAGTAAGTGTAGCAATACAGCTGTGCACAGGGTATCACAGGCAGAGTGGGAGGAAGGTCCCCTAAGGCCGCCCTGACAGTGTGTGGCAGAAGGCTTCCTCCCTCCCTACCTCTCTGCTGGCTCCTTCCCTGGAGGCTCTTGGGACTCCTGCCATCTCCTCTGCCTCCTCCCTGCCCCTGGCAGGGTCCGGGATTCTACCTCTGGCTGTCTCCTTTCTGCTCCCTTCCCACACTCCCGCCTTTGGCTCTCTCATCAAGCTCCACCACTTTATCAGGCAACTACAAATAAATGATTTCCAAAGCTGTGCTTACACCACCAGATTCTCTTCCAAGCTCCCCACTGAGGTTTGCCACTGCCTACTGGACCTAGCCCTACATTTCAGCATTTCAGACAGATCACCTGCCTGCCTTGGGGGTCAGGGGCAACCATATCTCCATTCCCATTTCTGTACCCAGCACTGGCCTTCCATGTGTCCCTTCCAGAAGGCCTTGGTGTCAACTTTCCATCCTCTAATGATGCCCACCCCATAGCCCACAAGGCTCCCAGCCCTGCAGGCACCTTGTCCGCCCAGTCTTCTTCTCTGGCTTGGTTCCCAGCATCCCTGGCAGCCGCAGTGCTGTCGCCACTAGCGCTAGCTGTGGCTGTTGCAGATGCATGTGTGAAGCTGGACTCCCAGACTGCCCATTCTTCCCCTCCCTCTGTCCTGCCCTCAGCTGCTGCCTTGTATTTCTCAAAGTGAAGGGCCAGACTCTCTCCCCTACTCTAGTGGTTCCCAGCTGCTTCCCAAATTAAGTAGGCACTTCATTGCCTGGTATTCAGGATCCCACAGTGTGACCCCAGTCTGTCCTCCCAGCTGTATCTCCTGTAACCTCCCTCATGTGCCCTATGCTCCAACCACATGGGCTGACCCACTGGTATCTGAATGTTCTTCATGCCTCCCAGCCTTTGTGCTACTGCTTACGCTCTCTTCCACCTATAATCCCTTCTTTCCTGATTTATAATTGGACAATCCTAAGGGCCCATCTTTTATTAGCTTATCCTTAATTCATCCCGATACCCCATGACCAGATGTGATTTCTTTCCTTGGTACCACCTTTTATACCTTATATCAGAATCATTTGTATATTTGTCTCTTGCTGAAGGGCATGCTCCTAGAGAGAAGGATTTTTTTTTTTTTTTTTTTTTTAGATGGCGTCTCGCTCTGAGGCCCAGGCTGGAGTGCAGTGGCATGATCTCGGCTCGCTGCAACCTCCACCTCCCAAATCCAAGTGATTTTCCTGCCTCAGTAGCTGGGATTACAGGCATGTGCCACCATGCCTAGCTGATTTTTGTGTTTTTAATAGAGACGGGGTTTCACCATGTTGGCCAGGCTGGTCTTGAATTCCTGACCTCAGGTGATCCGCCTGCCTCAGCCTCCCAAAGTGCTGGGATTACAGGCTTGAGCCGCCACACCTGGCCAAGGGAAGGAATTTTATCTTCCTTATCTATATTTTGCTGTCTCCTCTAGCACCATGCTGTGGAAAGAGAAGATGTTCAACAAATATTTACTGAGCTGATGACCTTGTGTCCATGTGGCGGTCCTGGCCAAGTGAGCCCCAGACCCGTAAGGACTGGGTAGTTGTCTGTGGACCTTACCGGCTTTGATTCTGAAAGCTTCTGTGGTGCAGGGACGTGAAGAGGAACCTCATCTTTGCTTAGCAGGGCCCCTGAGCTGCTGGGTGAGGTGGGGCATTGAAACAGTCACCAAAGCAAAGGCTAATCCCTCTCTCCTTCCAGATGTGGACGAGTGCCTGGAGAACAATGGCGGCTGCCAGCATACCTGTGTCAACGTCATGGGGAGCTATGAGTGCTGCTGCAAGGAGGGGTTTTTCCTGAGTGACAATCAGCACACCTGCATTCACCGCTCGGAAGGTACCTCTGCCCAGCTGTGGATGGGGGCAGAGCCACATCTGAGACCCTCTCCCTTGCACGCGCACACACACACTGACTCTAGAGGGGAAGCACAGGGTATAGAAAGTCTGGAGGCCTGAGGACGAGTCCAGACTCCACTGCCGGGTAACCGTGGGCAAGTTATTTGAACTTCAACTTCCTCACCTGGCAAAATAGTTGCACTGGACTGGGTGAGCTCTGAGGTCCTTTCAAACTCTCACATTTTCTGATTCTAATCTTTACATAGAATACATTTCAAACATGACTAGATGTCTCAGGAGCAATATAGTGGATGATCTGCCAAGTTTTTCAAAAAGGTGCTGAAAACCACAGCACCAGTATGAGCCTGCTCCCTGCTCTGGGTGGGTAGGGAGGAGGCTGGATCCTTCCCATGCAGACTTTCAATGAAGTGCCCTGTTTTCAGCCCCAAGCTAGATCCGGCCCTTCCATGTTTTGCATTTTTGAGCTCCGAGGGGCAGAAGGGCTCCCTCCCTGGACTTTCCGTGCTGTGGTTTCCTTCGCCTACGTCACCATTTATCATTCCTCTGTAAATTTGCCGGAAACTCTTCTCTTCTGATGTCCTTCTCTTCATTCTCTTTGCTTTGAGTTTATACCTTTTTTCATTCCTCTGTTACTTAGTAGATTCTTGAGAGGAAGGGGCATTAAGTACATGTGGCCAATCAGTTATTTTTAACTGAATGTCATCCTTTTAACTCTTCCCTGCTCTTTCTTAAGCTAAAGAGTCACATTTTGGTGGCTGTGTTCCTCTTGGAGTTGCATCTGCCTATTTTTAGGGGAAGTGCCCTAAATACTAGCCTATTAACCCCTTTGGCCATGTGCTGCTTATTCTTTCCCATTACTTAAGAATGAGGTCATTTTAATTTCTTCTACTATTTAATCACAAATTTATAGATTGTTTTAATCCTGGTCTTGGTAACTTTTCAAGGGTTTCTTCATGGAAGATGATTTTTGTCTCATTTTCCAAGGATGGCAGCTCACACCTTATACTTAACTAGAATACCTGTTTGGGTACCAAGAAAAATTGTCAGAGGAACCCCCAGGGGCCAATGGGTTTGATGGCTATCATCACCCAGAGCCTGCTCATTCTCAGCGTTTGGGGCGGGGAAGTCACACATACTGGCTTTGATCAGGCAGATTTCCTATCTTGTGCCAGGTGTGGCCCTTGATAAAGTAGCAGTTGGGTTTCATTTTCCTGCCAGGTTCTCTGGGGTCATTGGTGTGCCCTGCACTCTTGTCCAATGTAGGCCAAATTCGAGATGGGAATGAATTAGGAGGCCAGTGGCACAGAGTGATCCGAATCTCAGGGCATCTCTCCTTTTGATTGCTCAAAGCTGCTTCCTGGGAAGTCACTTTGGCTTCCTCTGCAGGTGGCTGGGGAGGGATGTGGGAACTGCAGGTTAAAGCCATCGCTTGAGCCCTCACGGTCTGGGTCCCACCCAGTTACAAAGCAGCTGGTAGCGATTAAGATCACCTCTTATCCCTGTACTTCCAGAGCCCTGGCTCAGCCCCACTCTCCCCTCCTGCAAGCCCCCGGACTGATTAGAGACACAGGCTCCTCATACCAGAAGCAAATACAAATGCAGTTCCTTTCTGCAAACTGTGTTTTCTAAATTTTCTACAATTCAGACATTCTTGGATCCCCTAAAGAGTATTTGAAGTGAACATTTTTGTCTGGAACTAAAACCAAAATCTAAGAATTTGCGTTGTGGTCTGGAAGTGCTCTCTGTGATTTTCTGTTGTGTTTCAACCTGATTGCTTGGCAAATTCATGGGAGTGTCAGCCAACAGATTATAGCAATTGGTAACGGAGAACCTTTGCATCCTAGGGTTTTGATTCTTCAAATAGAACAGCCTGTAAAAAGTTTTCTTCTAGGATTTCCTCTCTGATATGCACATTAAACTCTATGAAACTGTAGGCTTAAAAACCCACAGTGGTGCCAGACGTGGTGGCTCACACCTGTAATCCCAGCACTTTGGGAGGCCGAGGCAGGCAGATCACGAGGTCAGGAGATCGAGACCATCCTGGCTAACGCGGTGAAACCCCATCTCTACTAAAAATACAAAAAATTAGCCGGGCGTGGTGGTGGGCGCCTCTAGTCCCAGCTACTCAGGAGGCTGAGGCAGGAGAATGGCGTGAACCTGGGAGGTGGAGCTTGCAGTGAGCTGACATCGTGCCACTGCACTCCAGCCTGGGCGACAGAGTGAGACTCCACCTCAATAAAACAAAACAAACAAAACAAACCAAAACAAAACAAAACCCACAGTGGATACCTTCAAAGTGATTAAAAGAAGGTAACACAGGAAGCTAGTATTTTCTATTGCTGTTGTTTTTAATAATTATTTACCAAATGTTCTTTAATATAGGGCATCATAATCATTGACTCTGAGGGAAAGCTCAAGATACTGATTTTTTATTTTATTTTTTTTTATCCTTAGAGACTCCAAAGCTGTGATAAAGAGACTGTGTGTTTTCACCCATATAATGAGGGTAGGCTGGAGAGAAGCACATCACCCCCGGCCCGCCTTTGTTCCTATTCATGGGTGCTCAGGCTCTCAGAATGAGCACTCCTCTTTTGTTTTGTGTGTTCTGAGAATATTTAGATGGTGTACTGATGCCTTTTCAGGGCAACAGGGAAGGTGTCAGGGTGGCAAAGTGGAGGCTGTGCTTTCAGCAGGACCTGTTACCCGTTTTATGTCATGTTTTCCTCCCAATTCACAAGGCATATTTTTGTTTGGTTTCCAGAAATAATCTTCAGTGGAGCCCTGATCTTGGGGTGCACCAGAATGGGGGATTTCCAATGTTTCTGAGCTGTTTCCCTTCTGGTGAACGAACCATCCTGGACGTGACAACCAGACCAATTTTGGAAAGAGCTAGGGCCATTTGCTGGGCTGCCTAGTTTGGAACAGATTAATCTGCTCACCCCAGCAGTGGTCTTGCATTAAGTCAGAGTGCTACAAAGGCTTTGAGGTCACTTCTTGAAAAGCTGTCAGCGTTTCCAGAGCCATTTAAGTCTCTATTATGTCTTGGTAACTTCAGGTGTAGCTTGATGTGGTAGGACATTAGGTGGTAGGTTCTCTGTGTATCACAATGGCATCTGGCATACAGGCATTCTTACGAAATATTTCTTGTGTAGGTGAATTACTCTGAGGCAGTAAAGGTCACTTTGCAAATGTCTTAACAGTCTTGTAAACAGAGTGAAAAAGCAGCAGCAGCTGGCCTGTTTGGGAGTGTACTTTCCAGGTGTTCCTGCCCCCATTTCTTGGGCAGTATTATATTTACCCCCGAGCACTAGTTACTTCCCATGCTCGGCTGACCCAAGGACAAACACAACGCTTTCTGGGCCTTCTCAGACAGGACACTGCTTCTAGAGGCAGCTGTCACCTCCCGCGCCATCTCAGTACTGGGGTGCAAATCACATCTTCGGAATTACCAGCCAGAGCAAGAGAAAGCTTTCCACCAATCCAGTGCAAGTCTCTTTCTGTGTTAATTGACAGCCACCCTTGGCATGGATGAATGAATCCCAGCAACCAGCAGACTGAGTGCTGGAGTGCAGGCAGCTCATAACTGTCAGGCAAAAGAGCAAGAGGGTTTTAAGAGAGACTCCAGAAAGTATGGGATATATTAACCCTTGCACTGTCTTCTGGAATAGGAATGACATCTGTTTGTATTAAAACAATTGTTCCGTTTAAGCACAGTTTGACAGCTCTGGAGTGGGAGCTGGAGAGAGAACTTTGACTTCACTAGAACCTGTTGGCTAAGGTTTTAGGGGCACAATATAGAAGGGTGTTGGATTCTAGAGAAGTGAAAGCAACCTTTTTGTACTCGTGTTGAAAACAGTGCCCTACTAGTATTAGAGTGTCTCATTGATAGAGAGCCAATGACAACCAAGTCCCTACTCTCAGAGATGTTTTAGAGTTACATTGCACGAATGCAAAGAAGCAACATAGGAACAGGTAATTAATAATAAAGTATAAACTGAGCAGATGTCTTGAAAGTATTCTAGGGTATGAAAAGAATTCCTTCAGGATGCTGGTAGGCAGCAGGATCTCAAAGAATTAGTTTTGAGATGAGGCAGAATGCTGGTAAACCACACGGGCAGTTACCTTGCTGTGCCCCCTCATTTAGATGTGTGCCGAGCCCTGCAAGAACAGAAGCAGCTGTTCCCCTTCCCACCATCATACTACAAGGTTAAGCCTAATCAGAATTTACTGTATACCTCAAAAGAATTGTACAGCAGCTACCACACACGAGCACACTCCCTCCTTCTCTCTCTCTCTCTTCTCTCTCTCTCTGTCTCTTCTCTCCCTCCCTCTGTTCTTGTTGCTGTTGCTGTGTGATGCTGTCAGAGGCTTATGCCCTGAGGGAGGGATCAAGGGAGTGGCTGAGGGTGGTCACAGAAGACAGATCCCGGGGCATGTGGCCCGTACGAGGATGCCAAAATGCCACAGTCACACTCACCTCAGAAGGGTGGGATTGGTGGGGGCAGAGAGGGGCGTTGAAATGTTTTGAAAATTATCTTCAAGAGTATGTGAAAAAATTGAGAATCTTGATCATTCTATCTGAACATTTTCTTAGGAGGATTCTCCTTTTCTCTTTACATTCTTGATCAGCTCTTGGGTAAAGACATGGCAGAGATAAGAGCGTGAGTACCAGTTCCTGGGGTCAGCAGGCTCTGATCCTGCATGCAATAGAGAGCTCCAGTGTATTGGGAAGGCTCCCAACTCGTTAGGAGAGTTGAGACATCATATCTCTTGGGTGACAGAATAAATTTTTCATGTCTATTAATTGGCCTAGGTTGACTTTAATGACATATACTTTTCAAATGTGGGGCTGATGGAGACCTAAGCAGACAGATCTGTGGGCCACCCCTTAGCCCTTTGCCGCTCTCCCAGGGCTCAGGATTCTGACCACAGCCTAGTCACCTGTCGCACACTGCTGTTTTTCAGAGGGCCTGAGCTGCATGAATAAGGATCACGGCTGTAGTCACATCTGCAAGGAGGCCCCAAGGGGCAGCGTCGCCTGTGAGTGCAGGCCTGGTTTTGAGCTGGCCAAGAACCAGAGAGACTGCATCTGTAAGTATGGGCCAGTGCACACCTGCCATGGGAACCGTCGTATTCCACAGGCTGCCTTCTGTGGCCCAGCTCAGAAGCACCACCTCATGGCACGGCTGCAGCAGCAGGGAAGGCAGTTAGCACGGGATACCGACCTCTACCAAGTACTTGTTCACTGCAGAAGGGTGGTCTCCCTTAGGGAAGGGAAATGATATTTTAAAAAGGAACTCATCAGGAGGAAATGAAATTCAGGAGTAAGGAGTGTGAATGTTGGGGGGCAGTTCTCCCTGTTCCCACAGAATAAAACCAAATGTCCTCATCTGGCAATCACAGCTCTTTGCCACCAGGTCCTGCTTCCCCTATAAACCTCATCTGCCTCCTTTCCGCAGACACTACTCCCCTTGCCTTTGGAGAACAGCCCAAATCCTTTGATGCCTCCAGGCCTTTCCCAAGCCCTCCTGCCTTCCTGGCGTGGTGGACTCTCACTCAACCTTCAATATTCTGTTTAACTTCTAATAAGGATAAGCATAATAGCTACCTTTTGGTGGGGAATTTATTTTGTGCAAAGGCTTGTCTCAAGATGTGCCATATCCCATTTAATTCTTACAAGCACTGCACTGTGAGCTCAGTATTATTACACTCATTTTCAGTTGTCGAAGTTGTGCAGAAGGTGAAGCAACAAGGTCACACAGGGAGTGAGTGGCAAATGAGTGTTCAAACCCTGGTCTGTTGAGCTCTAAAGCTGTGCTCTTAATCCCATGCTACCATCCTCTGCTATCAGAAGCCTCCTGGGTGCTTCAGACAGGGCAGCCATCTTGTACTTTGGCTCCCACAGCACTTTCCTCAGCTGTATAGCTCTGGGTTGACTTGTGTGTTGATGTGTCTGTCTCCCCAGGTATGAGCCCCCTCCAAGTCAGGGACCTTGCCTCATTTTTCCTCTCAGTCCTCCCCTGGTACCTGCTATGGGATATGCTCAGTACACTTGTGTTTAATGAGTGGGTAAATGGGTGGCCTACACCATCGGGCCGCAGCTCCTGCACCACGATTGTAGTAACAAAACTCCACCTGGGAACAGGAAACCACTGGCAATTCATGGTGTTCCTAAACCACGATTTATGCCAGGGGAAGCACTGAGGAGTTCCCTTTAGGAACCTTCCCAAAGCCATGGACAGAAGACCCCTGCCATTTGGTGGGGATGGTGGTTTATGGTGAGTAGGAGATGAGGGGACAGTTTCACTGGTGAGGGACTTCTCTCCATTGTCTCCCTCACAAAGCAGACTGCCACCCCAAAGCTGTCCAAGCCAAGGCTGGTGCCACCATCACACTCAAGCAACAGGTTCTGACATGCTCTTAGGGCCCCTCGAAGTCAGGCTGTCCCTGAGGGCTTCCAGTGAGCTAGCAGAGTGGAGACCATTTTCCCACCTCCAGATCTTCGGAAGGAAGACCCAGACCCTCCAAGACTCACCTGCGGGGCGAGACCCTCAACATTTCATAGTCTTTCAGGGAACAGTTGCTGAAGGGGGCGGGGGGGTGGGCACCTGTAAGCTTGTTTTTAAAGATTTTAAATGTCTTTAAGATATCACTGCTCAAATAATATTGTTCTGTTATTAACTTTTTTTAATTTTAACATTAACATATTTTAACATTAACATTATTAACATTTTTAACATTATAACATTTTTAACATTAACATATTTAACGTTTGAGGAATTAACAAAGAAAAAAACTAAGACCTAGAATCTCACCACATAACCAGCTGTTTCAATTTTTCCATATTCCTATTTAGTTGTTGTTCATATGCATACACAATTTTTACACAGCTATAATCACAGGACAACACAAATATGTAATTAGTTCTTTTGAATTAGAAAAATTACAAAGGGCCTATGTAAAATGCAAACACTCCAAAGCATATAAAGAAAACATGCAGTTTCCCGCCTCCCGTTTCCCTTGCCAGAGGTAACCACGGTTAGCAGTTTGATGAATAGATAGTTTTGTAGTTGGCTTTTTTTCTTTTTGGCCTATCATCAATACATTCATATATAGTCTTGATAATTACCAGTTACTGTCACGTTAATTGTGTGCAGAATCATCCTGTGATTATCCTTCCTTCTAACTAATCTAGATTGAATCTGATGAGAGAAATTCTGACATATATGTACAAATTAAATATTGTCTGTTTTATTCCAGCATAAAGTGCTATAGCATTTCCCAAAGCCCCAGTACAGCTGTATTAATAGGTAAACTTCTCTAGATAGAACAAAGCAGTAGTCTAGAATCTCTTGGTATAATCTCCCTTATATAATAAAAGTCTCTCCCCCAACTCTCCCATCTCCCTCTTCCTGTATGACTTTGTTTAAACCCATGTTTCAGCATTTCTACAATTTGTATTGTAACTATCTGCATACACAGACACCACAGGGTCTGACTTGGAGTTATGTCTTTCGTGCACCATGCCTGGCATGCACTAGGTGCTCAAATACTTGCAGAATGAAAATCAGAATTTCTCTGGAGCAAACACAGCCCTGTGTTTGTGGAAATCTCAGTGCTTTATGTATTGATTCATTTTGCTGTCAGTGACCTGTAACCATGGGAACGGTGGGTGCCAGCACTCCTGTGACGATACAGCCGATGGCCCAGAGTGCAGCTGCCATCCACAGTACAAGATGCACACAGATGGGAGGAGCTGCCTTGGTGAGTGGCAACCCCAACACTGAGTGAGGGTCTGCACCAGCCTGCCTGTCCCTACCCCTACCCCTTAATGGTGTTTAGCACAGATGCAGGCTGTTTCCTGTGCATTTGCCCCCCCAGCAGGCCCTGTGCTGCTTCGCATGCTACAGTGGGAGTGGTCTAGGCCTGTGGGGAAGGCCCCTCTCTCCCTGTGTGACCTTGGGAAGCCCTTCCTCCTCTCCTGGACTAGGCTGCTCCTAACGCTGGTATTCCAGAGACTGGCACAACACCTCCCAGGAGGCCAGGGCAGCACGAAGTTAGAGCTGTTTATAATGATGCGGCACTTCTGGCCAGCAGGAGCCAGGGCCGTATATTTCTGGCGGGATGCCTGCCTTGCCCTTCACGGTGTGTCCTTCACTAGCTCCATTTTAGAGGTTTCCAGGCCCAAGGCTCTTTTTCTCCTCGACTCAGGGGACTGAAGCTTGCATTCCCTAGTGTCTCTTTGGTCAGTGCAATATACCTCCAAAATCTTTTCCATGTTTAATGTTTGCTAAGGATCTGTGGCCCTTTAACGGGCTGTGTCTCCCACAGAGCCTCATTACAACACATTTTTATTGCGTGAACAGAGTCACATATCTTTCATTCCTCTTATGTCTGGGATTTCAGCAAACACAGTTGTATGGGGATGAGCAATCTAACTCATTCAGTCTGAGAACCGTGCTCTTTTGCTTCTCTTGTAGAGCGAGAGGACACTGTCCTGGAGGTGACAGAGAGCAACACCACATCAGTGGTGGATGGGGATAAACGGGTGAAACGGCGGCTGCTCATGGGTAGGCACCTTCACTCCCTTTCCTTGGCCACTGCAATTGTCCTTTTCCCTCCCCAACTTATTGCATCAGACCTGAACTTGGGAGCCACATGCCCTCAGACCAGCTGGACTGGGGTGAGCAGCTCCTGTGAACCAGGGTGTGTGTCTGTTCTTCACCAGTGCTGTTGCTTAATCACCAACCAAGCAAGACCCTTGGTCTCGTGTCCATCAGAATAATCAGGTTAACGTCCCAATGCAGCCCCCACCTAGCTGTAAGACTTGGCAAACTGCCCTGAGGCTCTGTCTCTTGGTCTTTCTTTGAAATGGATGTAATAAAGTCTACCTCTTAGGGCCAGGGTATTCGCCCATTTTCATACTGCTGTAAAGAACTGCCTGAGACTGGGTAATTGATAAAGAAAGAGGCTTAATTGACTCACAGTTCCACATGGCTGGGGAGGCCTCAGGAAACTTATAATCATGGTGGAAGGCAAAGGGGAAGCAAGGTACCTTCTTCACAAGGTGGCAGGAAGGAGAATAAATGCAGGAGGAACTACCAAACACTTGTAAAACCATGAGATCTCATGATCTCACTCTATCATGAGAACAGCATGGGAACCGCCCCCATAATCCAATCACCTCCACCTGGTCTCTCCCTTGACACGAGGGGATTATGGGGATTATAATTCAGGATGAGATTTGAGTGGGGACATAAAGCCTGGCCATATCAGTTGGGATGCTCAATTAAGATAATAATATGGAAAGGTGCCCAGAGTCCAGTGCCTGGGACTGAGTGGGTGGTCAGTGAAGTCAGCTGTCTTCCTCTGAAGCAGCCTCTAGCTCAGAATGGCAGCTAGTCTTTTTTTGTGTCCACTGAGTCTTCTATTTCTGACTCAGCTGATGATAATAGTAGAAGAGATGAATGGAGAGGGGCAACACTTGGCTGTGGGACAAGGGAAGACCTGCCTGAAGGTCCAGCGGTCAAGCTGGAGATGAGCAGAAATAGAGGTGGTCATGGGGGTGGGAGTCAGACAGATCCTTTGGTGCGTTACTCCTTCTGGAGAAAGTCTGGCTCAACCTAAACAAAACCCATCTTTTGACAGTTTCTGGATTTAACAGTCAGGCAACATATCATACAGCCATTGGTTACCAAGCAGGTAACCTTTCCGAGCTCTTTTCTGCTCTTTAGAAATTATAAATTTTCATTGTCTTAAGTGAAAATAGTACAAATGAGTAACATAAACGCTTAATTACTTCTAGGCTTGTAATGAAACTCATCATTTCCTTGTCTCATAACTTCCCATTTCCTCATCCCATTTGCCAGAGGCAACAATAGTCAATTCTTCGAGCTGTTTCTTCTTCTGGCTCCTCCTCCCCCATATTTCTGAAAAAAATGAAGGGTATACAGTTATTTTTTTCTTCTTTTCTTTTCTTTTTTTTTTTTTTTTAAGACAGAGTCTCACTCTGTTGCCCCCAGGCTGGGGTGCTGTGGTGTGATCATATCTCACTGCAACCTCCGCCTCCCAGGCTCAAGCGATTCTCTCACCTCAGCTTCCTGAGTAGCTGGACTACAGGCATGTGCCACTGCGCCTGGCTAATATTTGTATTTTTTGTAGAGACAGGGTTTTGCCCTGTTGCCCAGGCTGGTCTCGAACTCCTGGGCTCTAGCGATCTGCCTACCTTGGCCTCCCAAAGTGTTTGGATTACACGTGTGAGCCTTCATGCCTGGCCCTACAGTTACTTCTTGATGTGTCTGTTTTAGATGGTAGCTTTTAACTTCCTATTATGAAAGACTAGGATTTAGCTCTCACTGCTTCCCCCCGCAATACACACACACACACACCTGACCTCTCCCTATACCCTTAATATTGTTGTCTCACAATTTAAATCAATATTATGTGCTTACATTATTCTGACTTTGAATATCTAAATACGATTCACCTGAGTCATGTAACGTGCTATGATTATATTTTCTTTGTTTGCTTAGTTTTCTAAGTACCTCTTACCAATTCTTTTGCAAATTTCAGACAAAGCTGTAAAATACTTTTCAATGTGTTCAAATATAGTGTAGGTAACTAATCAAATCAATTTTCTTGGTGAAAAAGTTTCCTCGGAGGCTTCCAGCCTGCCCTAGCAGGGCCTGGCTGTCTTGGCTGAGTGCATGTCTCTCATCTGGGCATTCACCATCAGCCTACAATTCCCTTTGCCGCTCTCCTGTTGGGTGGATCCTATGTCTTGTCTCTCATTAGTTTATCCGGCGAATGAGATAGAGGTATTTAAAAATTTGCATGCCTGAAAATGCCTTTATATTCTACCTGCACCCTTTATTGAGAATTTGGCTCAGTGTAGAATTCAGAGTTGGAAAGAATTTTCCATCACTGTTTTGAAGTTAGTGCTCCATTGTTTTCAAGAATGCAGAGTTGTTTTGAGAAGTCTAAAATCATTTTTATTCTTGATCCTTTGTGTGAAACCTGTGAAAGCTTCTCTCTGAAAGCTTCCAGGATCTTCTCCTCCTTCCCAGTGATCTGAAGTTTTACAATAATGTTCCTTATTGTGGGATTTTGCCCACCTATTTTTAGTACTTTTCAATATGAACATTCAAGTCCCTTTGTTCTGAGAAATTTTCTTACATTCTTTTCTTTGATAAATTTCTTTTTCTTTCTTTTTTTTGAGACAGAGTCTTGTTCTGTCGCCCAGGCTGGAGTCCAGTGGTGCAATCTTGGTTCACTACAACCTCCACCTCCCAGGTTCAAGTGACTTTCCTGCCTCAGCCTCCCCAGTAGCTGAGACTACAGGCACATGCCACCATGCCTGGCTAATTTTTTTTTTTGTATTTTTAGTAGAAAAGGGATTTTGCTATGTTGGCCAGGCTGGTCTCAACCTCCTGGCCTATGTGACCCACCTGTCTCGTCCTCTCAAAGTGCTGGGATTACAGGCATGAGCCACCGCACCCGTCTTCTTTGATAAATTTCTTCACTCCATTTTCTCTGTTCTTTCCCTCCGGAACTCCTGTTAGCTGGCTGTGGTAACTCCTGGATTGACCCCCTAATTTTTTTTTTTTTCTTTTCTCTCCCTTGTATTTTTATTCTTTTTCTTTTCTCTCCTTTGTATTTTTGTTCTACTTTCTAGGAGAGTTTTCATTTTTTTCTTCTAATCTTTGCACAGGATAAAGTTTTCGTTTTCATGTTTTAATTTTTCAGGCATTTTACTTTGGCCTTTGGTTTTAGGAACCTGCTCTTATTTCATGGATGCTTTTCTTGTCCCCCTGAGGAAATTAATTACGAGATTTTAACTCCTCTTCTGTTCTCTAGATTATCTTTGTTTCCTCCAGGTTTCTTTTTCCCCGTTGGTTTGATCTGGTATATTCATTCCGTATTAGAGGCTTTCCAGAAATGTCTAGTGATTCTTGACCGACTTTTCATATTTAACAGTAAAATACTAAAAAGCCAATTGGATATTCTATTGATTTGTGGGCTTCATGTTTGGGTGACGAGGCAGTGACATAGCCATTTCATCTGGAGATCCTCGAATGCTAATATCGTTAGGTCTTTTTGCTTGGGCAGGTCAATTTAGCCGGAGAGGAGTCCTTCAACCACCTGCCTGTAGGCTTGGCTGCTAGCATCCTGGGTTGCAGTGTTGTTTCAACATAGCTTTTTGGAACTTTCAATGGCTGTTATTTTAACATAGCTTTTGGAATTTTCAATGGCTTTAAATCTGCCAGTAGGGAGCTGAAGGAGTTGGGGGAAGAGGGATGAGGGTTAGAGATCTCTTTTTCAGGGTATAGACTTTCACCTGATGGTGACACCCTCTCCTCCTCTGCTATTCCTGGTGCCCTTGAGCCTGGTACCTCTCTGGTCCAGACTTCTCTGCTATAGCCAGAATAGGAGAAGGGTAGTCACATGACTATGTGGAGTTAAGGAGGAGCTCTGGGGTTTATCTCTTTCATATGTAGACTCTCCATAATCTTCCTGTTCTTAACTCCGTCCTCATTTCTGCCTCTAGAATAACTTGATACCTCCAATTCCTGAGTCTTTCTGGGACTCTGGGGCTCACAGGAGTTTACCAGCTGTTGGCACCCCCTCTGCAGACTGCTAGGATCTAGCTTTCTTCTACGCCAGATACTGCTCTCCTGCTAACATGTCACTTCCAGAATGTTTGACATCTTTTATCTATTGTCTTTTCTCCTATTTTCTTTGTCCTTAAGGATTTATACTTTAAAAAATCAATTGATTCTCATATTCGTGAGGTTTTGAAAGGAACAGAGATAAACATACATGTACTATCTGCATATTTAATTAGGATTAAGCTTGTTCCCTTTAGGGTTCCTTCTTTTTTTTTTTTTTTCTTTTCTTTTCTTGAGACAGGGTCTCGCTGTATTGCTCAGGCTGGAGTGCAGTGGCACAAACATGGCTCACTGCACCCTTGACCTCCTGGGCTCAAGTGATCTTCCTGCTTCAGCCTCCCGAGTAGCTGGGACCACAGGTGTGCGTCACCAGGCCTCGCTAATTTTTTAAAATTTGTGTAGAGATGGGGGTCTCACCACGTGGCCCAGGCTGGTCTTGAACCCCTGGGCTCAGGTGATCCTCCTGCCTCAGCCTCCCAAAGTGTTGGGATTACAGGGGTAAGCCACCACCCTCGCCACCACCCCCCACCCCCAGCCTTTAAAGTGAGGTAGCTATGGTAGAAAAATCATGTTTCTGGGTGCCTAGATGCTAACAATTCAATGAATGTTGAATAGCACTTGTCTATTACTTGGACTAACTGTATGAGATACAGAACTAGAAGGCTGTTTGCTTATTGTTCCTCATCTCCATTGTTGCAATTTAACAATTGTGGCTTATTTTTCACGTGGTTATGACAGGGCTTTCTCCTTTCAGGGAAAGTGAAACTTCAAATTTGAGTAAATTGGCAGTTGCAAGGATGAAGTCAGTAGTCTACAACAAGGCAGTGGTTGGGGCGGCGATGCTTACCCACTCTTGCTTTGCCCATTACTCATATCGAAAGGAGAAGGTTCAAGATTAAGAAAGGACCATCCCCTTTGCCCTGTTCTGCACTCACCTCTAGCCTGCCAGATGTGGTCCTACTTAGGTTGCTGGCTGCAGATCAGCAGGAACTTTCAGTGGCTTTAAATTTGCCAGTAGGGGGAGTGGCTCTGCAGATTGGGAGACATCTTTATCCCTCTGGTCACCCTGACAGTCTTCCTCAGAAACTAGAACTCATTTAGGGGGGTGGGAGGAGCTGCACCTGCTCTCCCTCTAGCCCATCTGCAGGTAGCAGAGACTTGGGGTATGACCATGAGTACCCCACCATGCTTCTTGGCTTCTGTGACCTTCGTCAGCTGTATCAGCACTTCTTTGGGAAGCTAATTGTCTTTTCTTACCTCCTTGCCAGAAACGTGTGCTGTCAACAATGGAGGCTGTGACCGCACCTGTAAGGATACTTCGACAGGTGTCCACTGCAGTTGTCCTGTTGGATTCACTCTCCAGTTGGATGGGAAGACATGTAAAGGTAGCCTTCACCTCCCCAGGGAGACTGGGTGCCCTGTTATGGAGGGAGGGCCCATGCCGCTAACATATGGGGATAAAGGCAACATACCCTCCATACCCCACGTGACTCGAGATTTGCTTATGATTCATATCAATGGGAGCTTTTTCCCCCTGGGCTAGTGGAAGGTTATAACTGAGTAAGCTTAATTAGAACCAACACTTAATTACACTAATTGTTGAGGAGGTCAGCCTCTACAAGCATCAAATAATTCATTTCAGACAGTGGCCTTATTAGAAAAAGGCAGTTAAAGGAAGCATTCATTTGCAGGAGATAATATCAACATATCATACATAATAGCCTAGAGATTATTATATAAATAACAGTCAAGATGATTATCCAGAGGACTTAATGAATAACTGTACCATTAACTTTTACTGATGAAGAGCGACCCCAATGACTTGCTCATATTTCATGGGCAAGAGTACAAAGGATTAGCCCTTTAGCATGATAAAAAGTAGATAACCAATTGCCAGACGAAACTGGGAAAAGATAAGATTGAGTATCAGGAATCATTTTAAAACATTGAGGCTATTTGATCATTGTGTAATTTGCCAAAACAAATGCTCTAGTCCTTTATAGCTTTAATCATTAAACTTGAATACATAGTGTACTAAAGAGACCCATCTTACCTTGAGAGAGCAATACAAAGATGAGAATATAACAGGACGTCATCATTCTTTCCCAGAGTTTGTTTCCTTAATGCCAATCAAGGGCATCATAAGTCAGCGTTCTCAAGACGATGAAACACTTGTCTTTCAAAACTGGTTAAGCCAGATAAGAAAACATGTATAAGGTTAAAAACATCAGCAAACATTCTTAAATGCTTTTGTGAGTCTTTTTCTTAATTTCAGAGACTAATGAACACACACAATGGCCCTTCAGGGAGTTGTGGGAAATGAGGCAAGTATTGCTCTCTGATATGCCCAATGCTTTCCTGTTGCAGATATTGATGAGTGCCAGACCCGCAATGGAGGTTGTGATCATTTCTGCAAAAACATCGTGGGCAGTTTTGACTGCGGCTGCAAGAAAGGATTTAAATTATTAACAGATGAGAAGTCTTGCCAAGGTATGTGCTGAAAACATAGCTGTGCTGCGCAATGGCCCACAGGTTGGAGCAGAGAGAACGTAGCACCCTCCTGGCAGAGACTGGCTTATCAGGCTTCTTGACAGGGCCACTAATCCAATCTCCTTCCTAGGCTTCACTCATTTCATCTATTAGGTAAAATAAAAACACTGATGTAGCTCACAGGTGTATTTGGAAATTAAGCTGTTAATGGTTAGAGAACACCTTAAAGAACCCATCGATGTGATGACAGCAGAGCTCACTGCTAGAAATGGAATGGAAAACAGAATGCAAATGGGGTTCCAGTGGGGTGTTGAGATTATGAATAATTTTCCTTTTCTAAAATTTCCTTTAATGTTATTGAATTTATCACAAAAGTTGGTGGCAAAGTCTGTAGATTTAGTTAACATACCTCCCTAGCAAAAACTTGGAGTTAACCCATGATCAAGATTATGTACCAATTGGTCTCTTTCTTATAGCACTTGTTTTTTTAATTTTTTAATTATTTATTTATTTACAGACAGAGTCTCACTCTGTTGCCCAGGCTGGAGTGCAGTGGCATCATCTTGGTTCACTGCAACCTCCGCCTTCCTGGGTTCTAGCAATTCTCCTGCCTCAGCCTCCCGAGTAGCTGGGATTACAGGCATCTGCCACCATGCTCAGCTAATTTCTGAATTTTTTTTTTTTTTTTTTTTTTTTTTTTTTTTTTTGAGACAGAGTCTCGCTCTGTCACCCAGGCTGGAGTGCAGTGGAGCTATCTTGGCTCACTGCAACCTCCGCCTCCCAGGTTCAAGCGATTCTCCTGCCTCAACCTCCTGAGTATCTGGGACTACAGGTGCGCACCATCACACCCGGCTAATTTTTGCATTTTTAGTAGAGACGGGGTTTCCCTATGTTGGTCAGGCTGGTCTTGAACTCCTGACCTCATGATCTGCCTGCCTCGGCCTCCCAAAGTGCTGAGATTACAGGTGTGAGCCACTGCGCCTGGCCAATTTCTGAATTTTTAGTAGAGTCAGGGTTTCACTGTGTTGGCCAGGCTGGTCTCGAATTCCTAACCTCAGGTGATCCGCCCTCCTAGGCCTCCCAAAGTGCTGGGATTACAGGCGTGGGCCACCGCACCTGGCCCAGCACTTGCTTTAAACCATCAGCCTTTGATCTTTGAAGAGAGGGAAGGCAGAGAGGGAGGGGGAGGGCTTGTGGGGAGGAGATGCTTGTTGATCCTTAGAGAGGATTTCAGACCCCTTCTCAAACACATCCTTCCCATATAAGGGCTGCAGCAAGGAGACTTCTCTAGGTAGCAGTTGTTGTTAGTATTAGCAGCTGTTTTGGGTGGGGGAAAGCTGTTTTCTATTTTTAGATGAGCACCTTCCCTTTGATATGCAGAAGAAGTTCTCAGGAAAGATGTGCTGTAATGTATTCTTGCTCCATTTTTGGGAATAAGGACTAATTTATTTTGTTAGAAATCTCAGAATTAGGCTGGGTGTGGTGGCTCACACTGTAATCTCAGCACTTTGGGAGGCTGAGGCAGGTCGATCACTTGTGGCCAGGAGTTTGAGACTAGTCTGGCCAACACGGCAAAACCCCGTCTCTACTAAAAATACAAAAATTAGGTGGGGGCATGGTGGAGGGCGCGGTGGCGGGCACCTGTAATCCCAGCTACTCAGGAGGCTGAGACACCAGAATCGCTTGAACCCAGGAAGCAGAGGTTGCAGTAAGTCGAGATCATGCCCACGCACTCCAGCCTGGGGGATAGAGCGAGACTCCATCTCAAAAAAAAAAAAAAAAAAATCAGAATTAAATAAAAATCAGAGTATCAGATTTCATCTTAGATAACAAAGATGTAGCATTACCTTTTTACAAAAATATTATGGTGTGATGTTTGTTTTGTTTTTCTCTTGGTTTGTTCTTAATGCATAATTTGTCAGGCAGTTCAAGTATATTCCTCTTTAAATTCAGTAAGTTAATTCTAGATAATTATTGTGTGGTTTTCTTCAGTTTGACTTGGAAAGCAAATTTGCTGTTCCACATAATGTTTCCTAGTGTATAGAGCAGGCAATACTGTTGAAGCTGTGTAAACACATTAAAAAGGAATTAGAAAAGTGATCTCATTATTTTTGGCAAAGCAAAAGCCCATACTGAGCAGCCAAAGTCAGCTACTGAACAAGTGCACTTTCTCGACAACTGGCTGATATTAATAACAGATTTCATAAAATGGCATCAATTCCTAGGGAAGAAACTAGGTTTTTCTCATTTTTCACTGATCGGTCTTGGTAGAACAAATACTTGCACAGAACAAATTTACTGAAGAAATGCCAGGATTTCTGGGAAAAGCTAGGGATGAAGAGGTTTTGCAAGAATTTGCCCTTTTTTATTTTGCTTTTTCATTCTTCCTGTTCCTTCCACATTTTTGCCTTTTATTAACATAGTTTCTCATGGCACACTCGGTGTTGAAAAAAGTGGTCTAGCAGTGGTCTAGTTGGCTTCGACTGAGTGCGGCACTGGTCCTGGTTTATCCATTTGGAGACACAAGTCGTAACTATGTTAAAATCCTCCAGAGTTCAGGGAGTGAAGCACTCAAATTCCAGCCTACAAGAAAGAGGTTGAGGGCCAGACCCAGGGAAAGAGATGCTGAGATGGACAAATGCAGCCTCCTGAGGCTGCTGTGCATGACCCCCGCTGCAGCCAAGGAGGCTTCCACACTGAACCAGGAGGCTAGCAGACTCATAGGACTGGCACATAGGGGAGGAGCAAAACCAAGGCATCGGCCAAAAGCATCCAATGTGGAGCTGAACTACCACATTTCAGGGCCTGCAAAGAGAAAATTAGTGAGGATATTAGTATTGATGCATTCTTTCAGTGCAGAGGGCATTAAAACCTAGGATTAACTGGCCTCTTGGGGCCAGAAGACTAATTCTGAGAAAATAAGAAAGGGATGGGAACTAGATTTACCTCCAAACCAAGTGTTTTCTCCTTTCAATTTGCCGTAGTTAATAAATTAATATTGCTGTTTTACTAATAGTTATATGACAATAAAAATGCATAGCTAGCACCTGTAGCTTACAAAACCCTTTTTAGGTATGTTATCTCATTTGGCTTCATTTAAACATTTTAAATTAGCCCTGCAAGTACGCATGGGTGAAAGAGACCAACTGAGTTTTGAGGGAAGTGCAGTTTGCAACAGAATGTGGAAATGAGGGCCGTGGCAGTCAGTATACTTCTTGTGGGCTGCTCCACACTTTCTTTAACACAAGTGAGTGAGGAAAATGGATAGATAATGTTTTTTACTCTGTGTGTATTGTTTTTGGTGTTGGTCAGCAACTGGTATTTATCATAAACCTATTCTTCACTCATCCCTCAGAGTGGGTTTCAGCTCCCCTCTCCCTTTGACCATTACAGATGTGGATGAGTGCTCTTTGGATAGGACCTGTGACCACAGCTGCATCAACCACCCTGGCACATTTGCTTGTGCTTGCAACCGAGGGTACACCCTGTATGGCTTCACCCACTGTGGAGGTGAGCAGACTGCCCCTGTCAAGTTGGGAGGGGAATGAGGCTGGGCCTGGAGGGGAGCAGGGCCTACCCCTGAGGTTTGCTTTCCTACATTGGGGTATGAAAGGTACATTGCAGTCCCTGAGCAATAGCGGTGAGTCCATCAACTTGAGAGCAGGATCTGCTAAAGGAAATCTCCCCACATGTATCCCTTTAACACACCGAGTGTGAAATGGAGCAGAGAGAAGAACTGAGCTCTTCCAGCTGTGAATTCTCTATCGACTTGATTGACTTGCGGCTGTATTCAGAGAGTGGAAGGGTATCTCAGGAGCTGATAACCTATCTATTGGAACATCTCAGCAGATAGTAAAGTCACAGTCCTCAGAGAGGCTTGGGGGGCACCCACCAATTCCACAGCCCTGCTATGCATAGGAACTGGCTGCAAAGCCTTGGTTTGAGTCCCACAACTAGGTCTTTGAGCTGGAAGCAGAACTATGAAGTTTCTCTCTCCACTCTGTGCCCATTTTGCAAAATGTTCTCATGTCTCATAACCTCATGGTCAAGCAGGCTATGCCATAAACTGGATTTGTTACCAACTAACTCCCACTCCACTCCCCCAGCCATCAGATTCACCCAGCAATCTTTGAGAATACAGGTTCAGATTCCAATTCAGAATGTCTAGGACTTCCAAGGTCATCTTCCTGAGGATCTATAGGATTTGGGAACCACTGGCTTAAATACTTCCTGACCAGTCCTGAGTCTTGTGCTTTAGAAGATTGGATATGCTGGGCGTGGTGGCTTACGGCTCTAATCCCAGAACTTTGGGAGGCCAAGGCGGGCGGATCACCTGAGGTCGGGAGTTCGAGACCAGCCTAACCAACATGGAGAAACCCTGTCTCTACTAAAAATACAAGATTAGCCGGGCGTGGTGGCGCATGCCTGTAATCCCAGCTACTTGGGAGCTGAGGCAGGAAAATTGCTTGAACCCGGGAGGTGGAGGTTGCAGTGAGCCGAGGTTGTGCCATTGCACTCCAGCCTGGGCAATAAGAGCGAAACTCCACCTGAAAAAAAAAAAAAAAAAAAAAAAAAAATATATATATATATATATATATATACACTAGTGCTTTGCTACTGACAGTTATCTCCCTTCTCCCTTTCAACACATCCTTGGCATGGCCAAAGACATACTACTCTTCCCAGTCCATCAGGAAACCTCGAGGAAATGTACCCTGAGTATGGATGTATGTCTGGGTTTAGGTGGAGCTACCTTTTGATCTGGACTCAGTCTCAGGTTGATGGGAATTAGTGTAGTCACTTCCCTTTCTCTGTGCCTCAACTGTGTAAATGGTTAAGCAGGGAGTCCCAGTTCTGTCTGCCTCCCTTGCTAGGCAGCTCAGAAGGATGGTAGAGTTTTAAAATAGAAGTCTGTGCAGTGTCTGAGTTTGGACATCTGAAAGTAGAGTGCGGATCCTTCTGAGTGTTGCTAATGGAGGAATGGATTGGTCAAGAATGGAGCTTGAGTCTGGGTGTGGTGGCTCACACCTGTAATCCCAGCACTTTGGGAGGCCAAGGCAGGTGGATCACCTGAGGCCAGGAGTTCCAGACCAGCCTGGCCAACATGGTGAAACCCCATCTCTACTAAAAATGCAAAAATTAGCCAGGCGTGTTGGCACATGCCCGTAATCCCAGCTACTTGGGAGGCTGAGGCAGGAGAATTGCTTGAAGCTGGGAGACGGAGGTTGCAGTGAGCTGAGATGGTGCCACTGCACTCCAGCCTGAGTGACAAGAGCAAAATTCCATCTCAAAAAAAAAAAAAAAAAAAAAAAGAGTGGAGCTTGAGAAGGCCCTATTGAGCCTCCTGCCAGGAAATTTGCTGGGTGGGGAGTGGGGTGTGCAGTCAGCTGGTGCCGAGCGCTCATGCTAAAGGCATTCAGTGTCTTCCTTTGGTTAGTGAGTTTCAACCTTGTGACTCCCCTGCTGCTCCTTCCTCAAGGGAGGGACCATGTCAGCCCATTCAGTGACAGGCTGCTATGACAGGAGAGTATTTTGTTCCACAGACACCAATGAGTGCAGCATCAACAACGGAGGCTGTCAGCAGGTCTGTGTGAACACAGTGGGCAGCTATGAATGCCAGTGCCACCCTGGGTACAAGCTCCACTGGAATAAAAAAGACTGTGTGGGTAAGGGGAACCGAGGCACAGACTCAGACAGCAGGCTGGCCACTGGCCCAGAGGCAGTGCAGCTCTGCGTGCTCCCACATCCCACCTGACCGTCCCTCCACTGACTTCCCCACCAGCTGCAGCAACTGTTCTTTAAATAGTTCAAAAACAGGAGATACTTTGCCGGATCTTTGGTGTTTCCTTCTGTGCTTCTGTGTAGGTTGGAACTCACTTCTGTTTTCCTGGTTGCTTTTCTGCATGAAGAAATGGCATATCAGGGGCTCCTTTCCCTTGGTGGGAATAAGGCCTAGCATCTATGTTCTGTGCTGGGCATGAGCTCTACCTTCTTTTCTTGGGGCCTTTGGTGCATGGGACTCAACCATCCTTGTCACACTTGGAAATGTCCTTCTCTTTCTGTAAGTGTCTGTTTTGTCCTGTCTAGAAGTGAAGGGGCTCCTGCCCACAAGTGTGTCACCCCGTGTGTCCCTGCACTGCGGTAAGAGTGGTGGAGGAGACGGGTGCTTCCTCAGATGTCACTCTGGCATTCACCTCTCTTCAGGTGAGTGGGGCCCAGTTCCCGGGGCAGGTCCTCACACTGGGGCCAGGCCTCTCTGGCCTCCAGGTGTTAGATTCCCTCAAAGGGCTTCCAGGTCCTCCGCCAGATGCCCCGACCACCGTGCTTTGAGAGGTCCATGCTTCGAGACCCCATATGCTGGGCATTTTTCTAGTGGCCCATGTGGAGTGGGGTGGGGGGACAGTTTAGCTGCTACCAGGATAGCCTGTGACCTTGCTTATGCATTTGACAATTGACATTCTGTCTGTCAGGACTGCAAGGGGCCTACTCTGTCACCTGTGGCTCTTCCTCTCCTCTCAGGAACAAACAACAAAAATCAAATGACTCTGCTTTTGGGGGTAATTACCAAATCTGCGTGTTCTCTCTGGGGGCTCACTGTGTTCAAGGGGCTTCATTCACGGGGTGCTGTTCTTGGACATTGGCTTTGTTTTTTTTCTGTTAATTTCCTTGATGCTGTGAGCATGTTCCAGGGTGTTGTTGCCTGCAGTCCTGGTGCCCGGAATGTGACTCTCCCATGTAACAGATACTTACTGTGTGGCCACTGTGTGTCAGGAGGCTGTGGTCAGCCCTGGTGGGTCATCACCCTGGGCAGAGGCCCACAGAACCCCAGGACCAGCAGGCTGTACTCCAGAGCACCTCAAAGGCCCAGGGAATGTGCCTGGAGCACATGGTGTGGATAGAAATAGGCAAAGCAGGGGCAGCAGGGATTCTGTGCCGAGAAAGGGGCCCAAACCCTTTCCTGTTTGTCAAAAGATGAAGAATGAAATCCAAGGTTTTTAGGAGGCTGTGTCCTCCCGGATATAGACGCCTTTGTCATTATGTCATTGGAACACCTGAATGAGGTTCATATTACATCCTGATGTTCATATTACATATATGAGCAAAGCTAGAGACTCAAAGCAAGACAGTACAGCTTGTATGTGTTGACTGAGCAATTCAAATATGCCAGCTACCATAGTACACGAATTAACTGACTTAAGCCATACTACAACCCTCTGAGGAAATTTTACTATTATTCTCATTAACCAGATGAAGAAACTGAGGCTCAGAGAGGTGAAATAACTTACTCAAAGTGGTTTAGATAAGAAATAGGGGAGCTGGGATTTGAACCCAGGCAGTCTGGGTCCAGAGTCTCAAGCACTATCCTTCACTGCCCCTTTCAATGCACGTTTGGACTCAGCCAGGGCATACATCATGGTCTGTTTCGCCAAATCCCTCAGTGACAGTTCCTTGGTGATTTGGGCCACCCCAAGGTGGGGCAAGCAAATAGCTAATGGCTATGCAGTTATTACTACGTACCAGGCAAGGAGCTAAACATTTTCCTTTTTTTAAATGCATTATCTCATTTTATCCTTACAACAGCCTGGTAATATAGGTACTATAATTATGCCTGTTTTACAGATGAGGACACTGAAGCTTAGGGAGATTAAGTAACTTGCTCAAGTTCTCACCACAACTTAAAAGAGCTGTAGGGCATTGACTCCAGATCCTACCGGATGGTTAAGACTGACTGACCCTGGGAGGAGAACAGAATTTTGCACATCAGGCTCTCACAGTGGGACCCTCACTCCCTCTCAGACCTCAGAGCCTAGCCATGTTTAGTGAGTGCCATCTGTGTCTGGAACAACAGCTCCCTCAGCCCTGTCCTCCCACGACGGGCTTGTTTAGGAGAATCTGCCCTTCACCGTTTCGCCAAACGGGCTTATCCAGATTTGAACTGGGGGATTCTGGCCTTTTTTTCTCAGGAAGGCACAAAAATGACTTCATGTTCTATTTCACCGTGGAGGCTATTTTTGACCCTCAGTTTTAGATAGATAGATAGGTAGATAGATAGATAGATAGATAGGTAGGTAGGTAGATAGATAGATAGATAGATAGATAGATAGATAGATAGATAGATAATTTTTTGTTTTTTTTGAAATGGAGTCTCATTCACTCTGTTGCCTAGGCTAGAGTGCAGTGGTGCAATCTCAGCTCACTGCAACCTCTGCCTCCTGGGTTCAAGCAATTCTCCTGCCTCAGCCTCCCGAGTAGCTGGGATTACAGGCATGTGCCACCATGCCCGGCTAATTTTTGTATTTTTAGTAGAGATGGGGTTTCACCATGTTCGCCAGGCTGGCCTCTGTTTTATTTGAACACTGGATTTGCCTCTCACATGAGGGGGTAACTGCAATTTTAGGAGGCTCCTGGTGGCCCCAGTCCAGGGCAATGGGCACTCCATGATCCAAGCCACTCTTAGCCTCAGGGTAGGAGAGGGTCTCAGGGTGTGCTGTGTGTGGTGGAAGCCACCAATGGACAGCTTGCTGCTTCCCATCTGGTGTCTCCATTCCTTTGCCTCTGAAGGTAACATCTCTCACTTGTTTCTTTCTGAAGATGTCACCACCATCAGGACAAGTGTAACCTTTAAGCTAAATGAAGGCAAGTGTAGTTTGAAAAATGCTGAGCTGTTTCCCGAGGGTCTGCGACCAGCACTACCAGGTATGGAATCAGGTGGTTGGTGTAGGGAGCTTGCCTGCATGTGGGAAGGGGCCTGCAGCCAGCCGAGCTGGAGGTCCATGGGGGCCAGGGGCTGTCCAGCCGATCCAAGCACACTGCAGATGGAACTGAACCATCCCCAACTTCCAGGGACTCATCCCAAGAGGAAGAAGAGCATAACCTAGCATGCTTGTATAGTTCTGGGGTCACACTTCGGGGCTTCCTTTGCATGGTATAGTTGGTGAGGCTCTGGGGAAACCCACGAGTTCACAGAAGTCAATAAGGGCTTCAGATGAATTAGCAATTTGTGATCATATTGGGTTAAATTTTCTAGATCTCAGATTTTGCTTGAAATATAAGCCAAAGAAATGAAAAAAGGTTTGGCTCAGAAAGGATAACTTTGATGAACAAAGATCTAATATCCAGCCTTCCTGCTGGGTCTAGTTTTTGGAAGCGGTGACCCCATTGGCTTCAGCAAAGCAAATACCATCCAAGTAGAACTGGCCTTATTGAGAAGAGCAGAATCTAACATTCCTTTTTCTTTCCCAGCACACATTTCCAGTATTATTTTATAGAATTCTTTTGGAAATTAAAAATAAAAAGGATCAGGATTCATGTATTAGGGAGGCTTCTTTTCCCAATCTACTCTCAAATCACACAGACAAATAAACCTAAAGCTCACTCTAGTCACTTTTGACTGCCTATTTTAGGTAAGTATTTTTAAGAAACTTGGTACCTCCATTTGATGGAATATTATGCAGCTA
This sequence comes from Homo sapiens, assembly GCF_000001405.40. Taxonomy (NCBI): domain Eukaryota; kingdom Metazoa; phylum Chordata; class Mammalia; order Primates; family Hominidae; genus Homo; species Homo sapiens. Next base: position 9,049,844 of record NC_000011.10, on the reverse strand, counting down.
TTAATTCTATGTTTTCAAAGAATGTTTAATGACACAGGAAAATGGTCTTGTTATAATGCTGAGATGTAAAGCAGGAGAGAAACATTTTGTATATCTAATACAATCCAAATTGTGTAAGAAAAACTGTGGTAGAAGAAACAAAAAGAAAACTCACCCTATCATTAGTAGTGGTTACATCTGGGTGGGAGGCATGGGTAATTTTAATTTTTTTTCTGCATTTGCCAAATTAACCATAGTGAGCATTTATACTTTTAAACCTCAGGGGTGAAGGGAGGGGCCATTGCTTAAAAATAGATTTGAACCAGTTGTGGTGCCTCATACCTGTAATCTCAGCACTTTGGGAGGCCAAGGCAGGCAGATTGCTTGAGTTCAGGAGTTCAGGAGCGGCCTGGGTAACATGACAAAACCCCATCTCTACAAAAACTATAAAAAAATTAGCCGGGCCTAGTGGTTTGTGCCTGTAGTCCCAGCTACTCAGGAGGCCAAGGCGGGCGGATCACTTGAGCCCAGGAGGTTGAGGCTGCAGTGAGCTGTGTTGACACCACTGCACTCCAGCCTGGGCGACAGAGCGAGACCCTGTCTCAAAAAAATGAAATAAATACAATGATAAAAATAGACTTGGCCTATAGTTTACTTAATGGGATTGTACTAGTGTTAATGTCTTAGTTTTGATAAATGTATGATGTTAACGTTAGGGGAGACTGAGTGAAGGTTATGTGGGAACTCTATACTATCTTAGCAACTTTTCTATAAATCTACTTATTTCAAAATGAAAAGTTAAAAAAATATATATGGAAACATCGAAAGGGAAAAAGATTTAAAATGAGAATCTGTTCAGTTTAAGATCTGAAGTTACCCTTTTGAAAAAGTAAGATAAATCTTTAGGGGAAAAATGTAGAGAAGAAATAAATCTGCCTCCTTCCTGTGGCCCCTGTTGACCTATGGCTTGAATGTCCTTGTAATGTTAAAGAAGAATCTGATACAGGCAATACTTCATTTCAATAAAGATTTTGAAATAGAGACAAATTCATGGAGTGGATGATATGTGGACCTGCTCTTTGGTGAGGGTTAACAGATTCACTGGAAACCATGGTGAGAGGGGAGACAGCCAAGTCAGGAAGAAGGATGTGCAAAGCCCTGTCATGCAACACTTCCACTCTCATCCTAGATGCCTTCATGATATTGTTAGGTTCTGTTGATGCTTTGTACCATTTATTGCTCCTGGTTATTTAAAAATGAGACATCACTGCTGACGGGTGTTCCAGCTTTCCTTTCAGGTTAGAATGACTCCAAGGTCAGTTTGCCTGAAAGCAGTAGTTGGTTTCCTTTCCACTCTTGTGCTCATTCCTTATTTGAAGCCTCAGCCCCTGCTCGGCACATCCAGCTTTATGCAAACCAACTGTGAGAGTGTAAGCACACGTTAGCAAACCGTCAGTAAGGAATGCAAGACAATCCCTGGTTCTTGTCTTCCACATATGTGGCTAGTCAGTCGGAAACATCTCCCATTTATTCATGAAAAGAATTTTCAAGAGCTAAATTGTAAAGTTATATAGGAGGCAATGCTAGCTCTTCAACATTAAAATGTCGTTGTGCTCCAAGTTAAGGGCTTGCAGTGTCTTGGCATCTGGAGATAATCACTTAGTCCCTTGAGAGTTGTTTTAATGAAATGTTTACTGAGCTCTAGCAAATGTTCAGCTGAGTGCTTTGCCAGGATTTGGCTTCCGATAATTTTGTTTCTTCATACAGAGAAGCACAGCTCAGTAAAAGAGAGCTTCCGCTACGTAAACCTTACATGCAGCTCTGGCAAGCAAGTCCCAGGAGCCCCTGGCCGACCAAGCACCCCTAAGGAAATGTTTATCACTGTTGAGTTTGAGCTTGAAACTAACCAAAAGGAGGTGACAGGTTGGTTTGAAAACAGTCTGCATTGCCAGGCTTCTCACGGCTTGCTCCTTATTTCTTTGCCTTTCACTTTTTATTATTCTTGGGGGAAAAGTAATGCAAACACTGAAGTATCTCCTGTTTTTTTTCACCCCGAAACTAAACTGAATTGGTTTGGAACCTGATGGTTTTCTCTGCTTCATAAAAACCCAAAGCTACCATTCTGATCCACAAATTTCTGTTTGAATCAAATGCTGCCCAGCCTGCTAGGTGCCCCCTCCAGGTTTCTCCCCATTCGGTCCACAGGGAGCTCGGGGTGTTGGTAGGGCCTGCAGTTGATCTGGCCATTGTCACACGCTGCAGCCTGATCTCCTCCCGCACTGCTGTCCCTCTTGTTTCTGTAGCTTCTTGTGACCTGAGCTGCATCGTAAAGCGAACCGAGAAGCGGCTCCGTAAAGCCATCCGCACGCTCAGAAAGGCCGTCCACAGGGAGCAGTTTCACCTCCAGCTCTCAGGCATGAACCTCGACGTGGCTAAAAAGCCTCCCAGAACATCTGAACGCCAGGCAGAGTCCTGTGGAGTGGGCCAGGGTCATGCAGAAAACCAATGTGGTGAGTGGCCTGGGACATTCTTGCTAACAGAACAGCCTTGGGCTCCATAAACACTCAGGGTAACCGAAGGCAAGTCTGGCCCATCCTCCCTTCTCAGGGCTCACTTTAGAGAACACTCCGGGCAGTGCTTCTGTTTCAGTAACTGTTGCGTTTGTGTCTGTCGTCCCTGCTAGGCCCAGAGCTCCCCGGAGTGAGACTGACCTCATTCATCTCCCTGTCCTCAGCACCTGGCATAGTATCTGGCTTGTGGTGGGCACTAAAATGTTGGTTGACTTGAGGAACAGGAAAGAAGTGGCTGATGTTCTGATTCCAAAGCCTGTGCTCTGGTCCCAAGCAGGGTGAATTTCAGTAATTAGATTTCTCCAGGATAAACTGATGTCCTTTTCCTAAGTATCAGTAGAATCATGAGGCCCAAGCTTAGCTAAGGAGTAAGAATCCCATTTGTATTTCTAAGTAAGCAAAGCTGAATCCAGGGGCACTTGTTCCAGAGAATTGTCAGCCTTAGGCCCACAGCTCAAATTTGTTGCTTTGCCAAAACTTAGTGAAAATCAAGTGCAAAATCAAGTGTAACTGTCTACAAGAGGCTGGTTTCCAGATAGTCTTGATTTTCATTCCAGCTGATTCTCTTAAAAAGAAACAAAGTGGAAAAAAGTAAAAACAGCCCAGCTGGTTGATCTGTTCTCATTTAAAATTCTAAGAGTTCCAGTTTCCGTACTAAAATAGTGGGGAGAGTTGGCTGTGGCTGCCCTACTTTCCAGGATGAGTTGCAGAAACTGTCAGGGCCCTCCTGGCCTCTCAGGGTTACACTGCACCCCTCCCCCGTCTGCTATCCTGTTGGGGTTAGGCCTCACGGACGGGCCAGGGAGTCTTTGTGGCCAGTTAAAAAGTCAAGAAAACCTAATGTCAAGGGCCCCATGGACTGGCTCCCAGTGAGGGTATCACTAATACTACCATGGGTATGTTCCTGGGGAGTAAAGGCCCAAGGATAAGGAGCAGGAGTTACTTAACAGGGGCTTCATGACCACAACAGCCTACGAAAGACACTCGGGGCCAGGCATGATGGCTCACACCTATAATCCCAGCACTTTGGGAGGCCAAGGCGGGCAGATCACGAGGTCAGGAGATCGAGACCATCCTGGCCAGCATGGTGAAACCCCGCCTCTACTAAAAAAATACAAAAAATTAGCTGGGCGTGGTGGCGCGTGCCTATACTCCCAGCTATTCGGGAGGCTGAGGCAGGAGAATCCCTTGAACCAGGGAGTTGGAGGCTGCAGTGAGCCGAGATCGTGCCACTGCACTCCAGCCTGGGCGACAGAGCAAGACTCCGTCTCAAAAAAAAAAAAAAAAAAAAAAAGAAAGAAAGACACTCAGTAGAGGGTTTGTGTAGCTGTGGTGGTGTGTGAATGTGTCCCTGAGATGCTTGTCATGCTAAATTAGGTTTGATTTGTTTCTAGGGGAGCCAATGTGTCTTGTCTCAGGAGCTCCCAAACACTGGATGAATTCTGTAGCCCTCACAGCATCAAATCAGGTCCAGGTCTGACAGCAATGTTGAAGATTTTACCATGCAGAGAAAACGGCTCAAGCAGTTACCAGTGACATTCCCTCTTGCTGCTGAGGGAGGAAGTGGGTGTAAAGAAGTGTCAGGTGTGTTAATTAGAAAGGCTTTTTATCCAGAAGGCAGCATGTGGCATAGACAAGGCTGTGTGTGTGTGTGTGTGTGTGTGTGTGTGTGTGTGTGTGTGTGTCTGTCTGTCTGTCTTCTAGTCCTGGTCTATTTGATGGTGTTAGGACTTCATAAAGACCAGGCTTGCTGATGTTTTCTGAGCTCTGGATGGTACAGTGGAGACAAGCTTAGGATAGTTCCTTTTAGAAATGATTTTCGGTATTTGCAGAAAAGAGCTCAAAAAAAGAAAAATGGAGTCACTTCCATCTCTCCTGGGGGGAGAGATGGAACCATTATGTTTATCTTTTTAAATATTTTAAATTTAGTTTTCAATTATGAAAGTAGTGCCTGTTTCAAATGGCACAGAAATGTATACAGTAAAGATGAAAGTTCTCTCCACAGCTCCCTAATCCAACTCCCCAGCAGTAATCACTGTTATAGTTTGCTGTGTGATTTTTCCACAACTGTTTTTATGCACATATAAAAAGGAAATTTTATATAGTCATTCAATAAATATTTATTGAGCACCAATTGTGTGCCAGGTACCATTCTAGATATCAGGAATCCAGCAATAAAGAAACACGCAAACATCTCAGCCCTCACAGAGTTTACAATTTTAGAGGAAGAAGGTAGACAACCAACCAATAAACGAGGAAAGATACTACTATCATGTAGCAGAGGGCGACAGGGATATGGAGAGCAGGGCTGCAGGGAAGTGGAATGGAAAGTGCCAGGCCAAGGTGAGGGGTGAGGGATGAGGAGCGTACTCCCCCAAAGTGCAGACTGTGGTCAGGGAAGGCCTCATTACAAAGTGTCATTTGGGCAGAGACGCAAAGGACAGCAAGAAGCAAGCTATGGAGATATCTGGGGGAAGAGAGTTTCAGGCAAAGAGAACAACAAATAGGAAAACCCCAAGGTACTGGAAGGAAGGCCAGAAGGATGAGAGCTGAGAGAGGCAGGGAGGGAGAGCAAGGGCAGAGCAGTAGCAGAGGGAACTCGAAACCAGGGAGGACCCTGATCCCGAATCTGATGAGAAAGGAAGCCAGTGGAGGGCTTTGAGCATAGGAGTAACTGACATGTTTTCAAAAGATAACTTTGGCTACTGTGTTGAAAGTAGACTGTAGGTTTACGTATGAATAGATATATCTTTTTAAAAAAATAGGCTGGGTGCAGTGGCTCACATCTGTAATCCCAGCACTTTGGGAGGCCGAGGTGGGAGGATCACTTCAGGCCAGGAGTTCAATACTAGTTTGGGCAACATAGTGACACTCTGTCTCACTATGTTGGTTGGTAGCACCTGTAGTCCCAGCTACTCGGGAGTCTAAGGCGGGAGGATCATCTGAGTCCAGGAGTTCGAGGCTGCAGTGAGCTATGATTGTGTCACTGCACTGCAGCCTGGGTGGCAGACCAAGAGCCTATCTTAACAAAATAAAAAACAAATATCAATACAATTTGAATAGTGCTATGTGTTGTTTTTAACTGTAGTTAGATCAAGAACATCTCTCTAACATGATAGCGGAGCAACCTCATTTCTTTTACAGCTTCCCAGGCTGTATTTGTTTGAAGACACCAGTATTGATTAGCCCTACCCCTACTGGTGAACATAGAAGTTATTGCTAATTTTTATATGGCAAATAGTGCTCAATGAATATCATTCTTTGTACACATGGCCAATATTTCTGAAGGATAGACTTGCAAAAGTACAATGGCCGACTCAAAGAACTTGCATATTTAAAACTTTAATAGATACTGCCAAATTACTTTCCCAAAAGATCATGCCTATGCATGTCGCTTCCAACGTTGGAAGCATCCTACATCTTTGCTAACATGGATTATTTATCATTGATCCTTTTCATTTTTGCAAATCTGGTAAGCAAAAAAAAAAAAAAATAGTCATTTTAACTTGGTTTTCTTTATTAGTAAGACTAAGCATGCTGTCTTATGCCTGTGGTCATTTGGATTCCTTCTTCTGAAAACATCTATATTCTTTGCCTATTTTTGCATTGAACTGTTTGTCCTTTGTATAGCATTAAAAAATAAATTTTAAAGTCCCAATTTACACCAGAGAAAATAATCACTTCTGACCAATTGTATATTTTCTTTCTTATCATTATTTTATATAGTAAAGTTTCATTAATTTGGCATTTGGGGACTTTGGGGACAGCCTGCTCTCCAAGTGACCTTTGTACCATCTGTGATCAATTTTAACAAGATGGCAAAAAAAAAAAATGATTATAGGGTCCAAGGAACAAATTTCTTAAGCTCTGTAGTACTTCATAAAGTTCTTCATGTCTAAAGAAAATTAACTATATGACATGGATGTCTAGCTATTGTACTTTCATAATACCAGCTAAAAGATAAATTATTTAAGAAATACACTGGATAATATATATGTGTGTGTATGCATGTGTGTGTATATATGTATGTATGTATGTATGTATTATATATACTGTATTTGGTTGTTTTGAAAACTTGCTGAGATTTTTAGAAGAAACAATCCAGACAACTGGCAAACTGGGAAGTATTTTAGTGCCTGGGTTCTTGAGAGACTAGGAACATTTAATTCCTTTTGTAACAGCTTACTGCTGTTCCTCTGCAGCAACCTTGGATATGTTGCTAAGGAGCCTCAACTTTATCTCTAGGTGACATGCTGCCATTGGAGGATTTACTCGGGAAGTGTCCAGGTCATATGTGTATTCTAGAAAGATCTCTCTGACTTTACTGGAGGGAGCAGAATTAGAGGCAGAAAGACCAATCTGGGGGCTTTTGAATGTGTTGCCTATGAGATACTGAGAACATGCAGGTCCTAGATAGAGAAACAGCAATGGGTTAGAGAAATATTTAAGAGGGAAAATGAGCAGCATTTGGGGATGACATGGATTGGGGACTGAGAAGGGGAAAGAGGTGGGCTGAGCTCAGAGGATTCTGATGTGGCCTGTGATCCTGGCACTTGCTTCCCATACATCCCTCATCTCACCATGCCCTGTTTCATATGCAGGAGGCACTGAGAAAACGCCAGGGGGTTGGTTGAATGATGAAATGAATGTGATCACTGGGGAAGAAATAATCAGAAGAGATTTATAGGAGAAGCAGGAAAAAAATAGGCTCTTGAGAGAGCATGAGAAAGGATGAAAAAGATACATAAAAGGAGGCTAAAGCCTGAATATTGAGTCAGAGAAACTGAGAGGAGTGCAGGAAGGCAAGGCAAGGAGGTTTTTGAGCCAGGGAGTGAAGCAATCAGAAAAAGAGTTTAGAAAGGTGCATCTGATGGTAGAATGGAAAGAGTGGAGGCAGGGAGGGACAGAAAGCCAGGGGAATCTTGGAAGGTTACTGCGGCAATCCAAATAAGAGACGGTGAGGATCTAAGGGACATTCATGCCATGGGGACGAAGAATAGGGGATAGAGAGAAGGGACACAGCTGTAGGATGCTGCCGCTGAGTGACAGGGCAGTGAGGAGAGAAGCCAGGGAGAGCTGTGATTTGGAGCCTTGGTGCCTGGGAAAATAGAGATGCTTCTGTAAGAGGAGTAAAGCCAGAGGCCAGGGAGAGAAGTGCTCCTTGGGCAACAAGATTTCTAGGCAGAGGTGTCCATGGGTGTCTGGGAGTCTAGCGAAACAACTTCTTCTCTTCATGTCCAGCCTAACTTGCCTAATCCCGAGTCTGTCCACACAGGCTCAGACCTGCCTCCTGTTAAAATGGATGGGCAGCCCATGCCTCTAAGGCCCCCCTCTATCTTGCACTCAAGCTGGAGCCTGTTCTCTCTCAGCTTCTTAAGAATGTTGCCCATGCTGTCCCCATCAACCCCTCCCATCTCAGAATTCTTCTCCTCTGCTAGATCATTTCCAACATCACACAAACCCATCTCCTGTCTTAAAAACCAAACAAACCCTCCATTGACTTCATGCATCTCTATAGCTACTGCCTCATTTCTGTGTCCCCCATTCTGTGTAGAACGAAGCTCTTTGAAGGAGCCGTAGTCATACTGTCTTTGCCTCCTTACCTCCCATTTCTCTTCAGTCTGATTTTCATGCCTAACCTCTCCACAGAAACATTTTCCAAGATTCCTAACCACCTCTGTGATGCCGAATCCAGTTGCCTTTCCTCACTCCTCATGAGGCATCCTCTCTGCTGATCACTCCCTCTCCTGGAAACACTTTCTTCCTGTGGGTTTCAGACACAACACACTTCTGCTTCTCCATACCTCACTGGCTGCTCCCTTTTCATTTTCAATGCTGGTTCCGGTTCCTCCCCTACTTTCTGATTATCCTAGGGTTGAATCCTTCGTCCCTTCCTCTGTCTTCACACTCTCCTTGGTGACCTTACCCAGTGCCATAGCTTTAAATACCACCACATGCTGGCGATTCTGAAACTGCCCTCTCCAGCTCCTTTGTCCCAGAGATGCTGAACATTTAAGAATGCACACACACACATTCTCTCTCCCTCTAAGTAAAATATATATGAATGTTTACTTATTTATAAACTATATACTTACACTATTGGCTAGTACACTATGTTCATCACAAAAGACAGAACAAGATAAAGATTAAACAAATTTAAAAATAACTGGCTAGCATCTTAAGGTAGAATCTTTACAATTGGGCGAAGTTCATTATTGATAGTGGTGGTTGCAAATCCATTTGTCCTATAGTCTTTTTGACTATTGCTAGTGCTTTAGGTGAACTCTTGACAGACCAGATTAAATCGTAACTGTTTCTGTCTCATGATGTAGTTTGACAAAGAGGTAATACACTAGTGCCTCCTTATAGGCAGTTTTGCTTTCTGTGGTTTCAGTTACCTGGGTCAACCATGGTCCAAGAATATCAAATGGAAAATTCCAGAAATAAACAATTTGTAAGTTTTAAATTGCCCACTCTTCAGAGTGGTGTGATGAAATCTCGTGTTGTCCTGCTCCATCCTGCCTGGGATATGAATCCTCCCTTTATGCTGCGTACCCACGGTGTATACCCTCCCCATCCTGCCTGGAATATGAATCCTCCCTTTCTCCTGCGTACCCACACTGTGTACCCTCCCCATCCTGCCTGGGATATGAATCCTCCCTTTCTCCTGCGTACCCACGGTGTATACCCTCCCCATCCTGCCTGGGATATGAATCCTCCCTTTCTCCTACGTACCCATGCTGTGTACCCTCCCCATCCTGCCTGGGATATGAATCCTCCCTTTCTCCTGCGTACCCACGCTGTGTACCCTCCCCATCCTGCCTGGGATATGAATCCTCCCTTTCTCCTGTGTACCCACGGTGTATACCCTCCCCCATGTTAGTCACATAGTAGTCATCTCAGTTATCAGATTGACAGATCACAAGAAGGGTGAGTACGGTACTATAAGATACTTTGAGAGAGAGACCACATTCACATAACTTTTTATTATAATATGTTGTGATAATTGTTTTATTTTATTATTATTGTTAATCTCTTGCTGTGCCTAATTTATAAATGAAACTTTATCATGAATAAGCACGCATAGGAAAACCCCTAGTGTATATAGGGTGTGGTACTCTCCGAGGTTCCAGGCACCCACTGGGGGTCTTGGATGGGAAACCTCCGCTCCACTGTGGACACGGGTGGCTGCTGTGCTAGGAGCAGAAGATGCACCCACGGGCCCTCTCCTGTGGTGCGGACGCGCGTGGCTGCTGTGCTAGGAGCAGAAGATGCGCCCACGGACACTCCTGTGGTGCGCATGGGCTCGCGTCACGTTTACGCCCTTCAGTCGGGTGTTCTTTCCGGGAATCCATCAAAGCTGCTTTCTATTTTGTGATGGTTAGTTTAGTTAAAAACACGATCATATAGGTCAGGACATCTCATTACCCAGGCATAGCTAAGCTGTAACTATTCTCTATGTATTGAGAGGCGAGAGTCAGTCAGTGCCCTGCGCCCGAGTTGTGGGTGCCAGTGCTTCTCTTTTCTTGGCGACCCTGGCTCCTCACATGTGTCTTGTGCCTCACAGAGATGGAGACTGGCTGGGAGGCTGCTCTTACACCATATTCTAAACCAGAGGAGCTTCGTTTGTTTCTTATTTTAGGTGAAAATTCGTAGGCATGGGTGTAGAAACGTGCTCCCACCCGGTGGATCATCTTGTCAACCCCCGAGGTGTAGTATTCCGCCTCAGAGACCAACAGTAGAACCCGTGCCTTCCTAGTGTCCGCACTTGGATGGCCAACTGGCATCTCAAACTCAGTGTTTCCAAACAAAGCTTCTTATCCTCTCAAGCTTCAAATCAAATCAAACCAGCATCTCAGTAAGGGGCACCTCGCCTCACCCAGTTGCTCAAGTGGAAAGCCTGAGTCATCTTGACCTCTCCCTTTCTGTTGCGTTCCTCATCCAGTCCGTGTGCAAATCCTGTCAGCTCTGCCTTCAGGTAATTTCCTTTATCTGACCAGTTTTCTCCTCCTCCGTTATTATTACTGCTCTGTTTCAAGCCACCGTCATCTCTAGCTCAGTCTGTTGTACCAGGCTCTGAATTGTTCTCCTCAGCCTTGCCTGGCCTCCATCTGTTCTCCACACAGCAGCCAGGACATCTCTTAAAAACATAAATCAGGCTGGGTACAGTGGCTCACTTTCGGATGCCGAGACAGAGGACCACTTGAGCCCAGGAGACCCTATTTCTACAAAAAGTTAAAACATTAGCTGGGCATGGTGGTGCAAGCCTGTAGTTCCAGCTACTCAGGAGTCTAAGGTGGGAGGATCACTTGAGCCCAGGAGGTTGAGTCTGCAGTGAGCCATGATCACTCCAGCCTGGGTAACAGAGCGCAACCCTGTCTCCTAAACGAAAAAAGAAAAGAAAAGAAAAGAAAAGAAAAGAAAAACATAAATCAGATTGTGTCACTGCCCCATTTCAAACCTCCAACATACTTTGGGTAAGGTCTAATTTCCTTACCATGGCCTTCAAGCACCCATGTGATCTGGCCCTTGCTTGCTTTTTAAAGTTCCTCTCTTATTGCCCTACCCCCTTATGCTGTGTTCCTACTACACTGCCTTTCTTGCTATTAGGCAATCTCATTGCAAGGCTATTTCCTGTTTTTTTTTGTTGTTGTTTTGTGTTTGTTTGTTTGTTTGTTTTTTAGACAGGGTCTTGCTCTGTCACCCAGGCTGGAGTGTAGTGGTGTGATTTTGGCTCATTGCAACCTCCGCCTCCTGGGCTCAAGCTATTCTCCCACTGGCATGCACTACCACGCTCAGCTAACTTTTTAAGGTGATTTTGGAAAGACGAGGTCTCACTATATTTCCCAAGCTGGTCTTGAACTCTGGGCTCAAGCAGTCCTCCTGCCTCAGCCTCCCAGTGTGCTGGGATTACAGGTGTGAGCCACAGCACCCAGCCTGTTTCCCACATTTTATTCTGGTCTCTGTTCAGAAAGGCCTTTCTTGGCCACAGTTCTAAAATAGCATATATACAAACTCCATCCCTACCCCCTCTTTGTAATCTTCCCCTGTTTTCCTTTTCTTCATCATACTACTACTTGCATTCTATTACATACTTATTTGCTTGCTCATTGAGATTTATTGCTCATTTATTTACTGCCCTGAGAACCCCATTAGAACAGGGTCATGTCTCTTCTCTGCTGTGTCTCCAGCTCCTAGAACGGTACTCAGCACATAATGAGTGCTCAATAAGTACTTATTGAATGAATGAGTAAATGAATCTTCACAGGGACAACAGATGAAATCCCAAGGATAGTAGATAACATTAAGAGAAAAGAGGGCAAAGGGCAAATCTTTGGAGAAATATTTAAATTGAGGGCAAAAAAGGCACTCTAAAGGAAGTGAAATTTCAGCTCCAGTTAACTAGGCATGAAAAGAACATAGTGTGCATTTGGGAACCCAATAAGGAAGAAGGCATCAAGCTGGGCTCATTTCTCTGCCTCAACTACAGGAATGTTTTTAAAGAGCAAACCTGAGCACAGGTCAAAAACCTGGACAATGAAAAATCAATCTCTCAGCCCAAGAAGGACTGTCCCCTGTTATCATGGGGGCAGTCATTTAAAGAGAGCTCAAACCAGGATCCTGAGGCCAACTCTGCCTGGGGCATCAGCACCTCTGGACTGGGACAAAGCAGCAGCCCTGGGGCACCCTGGGAATCCACGTGGGCTGCTTATGGCTCTTCTTCAGAAGTCAAGGCGTGATTCTTAAGAAAGCAGTCAAATACTAGAGGGTGACCCCTTTTATTAGGTTCATCATCTTAGCCACAGAGAGACCATAGTGTTTGTCTATAGCCTGAAATACTCAAAGGCCACAGTGCTGAAAAGAGGCGGAGGCTTCAAGCTTCTTTGTCGCCATTAATCCTCATCCTGCTGGTCTGTCCCTTTTGCATCAGAAAAGCTTTCTCGTATCTTTTTTAAAGAAGGAGAAAAAACAGCTGTGTGGGATTTGAGAATGAGATTTTAATGGTCACTGAAGGCACACAAAAGCTTTGCTGTGATAGTGAAGTGTTCTGGGGGCAATTGACTCCTTTGTCCTGGGCAGCAAAACAAGCTGGCTGCTGAAGGAGAAGAGAGAAGCCACTGGAACGTGTGATTGAGGTCTCTGCAGGCCAGATTCTCAGCACATTTGCAAAGAGCGGTTTTCAGGCATCCCTTCATGATATTTCAGAGTTGCCTTTTAGTGTTTAGCTCATTTTTACCTTGTGAAAGAATCAAATATATTTGGGAGGTGCTTGGCATGAATTATTTCTGCAGGTCTTTCTCTCTGGAAGGAAAATGGACACTGTGACTGACAATATGAGTTTGTTTATGTGAAGCAGGCCTTTCATTGTGAGGAAAAAGAACTGGTGCCCTCTTTTCCACAGGGCAGCCTGAAGGGTTTCTTGGCACTTCGAGCAGTTAAGAAATGGCACAGAGGTGGGATATTGTGAGGTCTCTCTAAAGGTCACCTTGCAAAGGCTGTGGAGGTTGAAAGAGTTCTCAGCAGCAGGGACAGCAGAGCAGCAGGAGCCCATCCTGGTCCCTGGCTCAGTGAGAACCAGGCCTGGTGTTGTCCACCTGCTGAGGACATCTGTTTTCTGCCAGAGGAACCATGATGGAACAGACCATGGTGATGTGACTCTACGTTATGATTAATGGGGCTGTTGGAATCATTGTCACCATATCGGCACTTTCCCTTCCGTGGATGAGTATTGTAAAAACAGCTCTTCTTCAGATAGAAATGGCTGAGCAGAGGGGCTCTGGACAGCCTTGGTTTTACCTGCTTCATGACAGGTGAGCTCCTTAGAGCCATGAAGGAGTTATTCTCTGATATACTGGCCTGCTACAGACACTGAAAGAGTCAAGTGGGACACAGGGTAAAACGTGAGTTCGTAATACAGAATTCAGCCCAGCTTTACATGAGAGATGGGCTGGAACCAGAGCGATATGGAAACCATTATCCAGTAGGGCTGCATTTAGAGAAGAAGTCTGGAATTATACTCTATTTGCCATCAGTCTCATTATAATATTGTTTGCCAATAAAACAAGAGTTTGGTTCACTTTTAATTTTTTAAAAATATAAAATTGTAGTCGGCCATGGTGGCTCATGCCTATAATCCCAGCAGTTTGAGAGGCTGAGGCAGGTGGATCACCTGAAGTCAGGAGTTCGAGACCAGCCAGGCTGGCATGGTGAAACCCTGTTTCTATTAAAAATACAAAAAATTAGCCCGGCATGGTGGTGCTTGCCTGTAATCCCAGCTACTTGGGAAGCTGGGGTGGGAGAATCGCTTGAACCCAGGAGGCGGAGGTTGCGATGAGCTGAGATCGCGCCATTGCACTCCAGCTTGGGCAACAAGAGTGAAAACTCCATCTCAAAAAATCTATATATATAAAATTGTATTTAAATGATACATGAATGTTGTAAAAGAAAATCCAAGAAATATGAGTATTAAGATTTAGATATTTGGATAGACTTTATTAATTGGTTACATTGAATTGTAGAAATAATATTTAAAATGTGGCATATTTTTTGCTTACCATGATCCAAAAGCCTGATTTTTTTTTTAAGATTTTGGAATGAATAATGAAAAGACATTTTTATTTCTTATAACAGAGAACGTTCCCATGTTTAACCCTAAGAATATATATGCAAATTGCATTTGTAGAATAGGATGAAAACCGATCTCCCTTGTTACAGACACTGGAGAGCTGTAATAGTTAACTTTATCATGTAATTTTTTTCTATTTCTTGGCAGCTTACATATAGAGAATGTTTGTTCCAGTCAAACTCTCCTAGCCCCATAGAGAATCCTTGATAAAGTCTTCAACTGCACTTAAATCTGCCCGTTTGTTAAATAACTTTTTTCCCTTTTAAACTCAAAGCTCTTGATCTTACAGTACCATAGGAGTATTTCACAAATTAGCTGTGGGACTTTGGCCAAATTATTAACCTCTCTAAGTCTCTGTTTCTGTAAAAGGGTGCTAATAATAGTACCTAGATCCTTAGGGCTGTGTTGAGGAATAAATGAAATACTATATGTAGAGCTTTTGACATGGTGTCTGGTATAAGTACTCAACAAATGTTAGTCATTAGAAATGCGATGACTCTGATGATGTTTGAATAGTAGGGAGCCAAATTTGGTATGTTTGCTTCATATTCATAGCCTAACATAAGGTACAAATCTACATTTAACAGTACTAGAAATAGAACCAGAAGCAACATTGATGAATTTCCTTATTTACCAGCATTTACACTTTGTTGTATTGATTTTTTTTTTCTTTGAGACAGAGCCTCACTCTGTGGCCCAGGCTGGAGTGCAGTGGCACCATCTCGGCCCATTGCAACCTCCGCGTTTGCAGAGCTCAAGCAATTCTCCTGCCTTGCCTCCCAAGTAGCTGGGATTACAGGTGTGCACCACCACACCCAGCTAATTTTTCTGTTTTGTTTGTTTGTTTTTTCAGTAGAGACGGGGTTTCTCCATGTTGGCCAGGCTGGTCTGGAACTCCTGACCTCAGGTGATCCGCCCACCTTGGCCTTCTAAAGTGCTGGGATCATAGGTGTGAGCCACTGCGCACAGCCTGTTGTATTGTTTATTATGAACCTGAAGTGTGCTATTTTGTAAGGGTCTTGAGATCACCACCCATCCCAGCCGGCCACCAGAGAATGAACTTTTCAAAACACAGCTTCTGGACATCTTCCTCTTCTTTTCTTTCTTCTTTTTTAGAGAAGGGGTCTCATTTTCACTATGTTGCCAAGGCTAGACTCAAATTCTTAGGCTCAGGTGATTCCATCTTAGCCTCCCCAGTAGCTAGGACTACAGACGCACACCACCATGCCTGACTCCTGTCCTTTCAATGATTCCTTTACCTGTGACAATAAAATCCAAATGCCTGGCACTCAAGAACTTTTGCAGTCTATTCCCAATCTTTTCTTTCCTCTCCTCCTGATTTAATGCATGAACTTTTAGAACCTGCCCCCTTTCCCAACTGCGAAGATCCTATTCATCCTTCAAGGCCTGACACAAATGTGACCTCCTCTAGGACACCTTTCGGGATGCCACCAGACAGAATTAATAACACTCTGTTCTTCCAGCACTAGACCTATGTTCAATGAATGATTTTAACCTCTATAATTGTGTCAACAGCCCTGTGAAGTAGGGAGATCCAGGATTTTTAAAAATCTCTCTTCAACCATCAAGTGCTTGTGCTACAAAAATAATTCGAACCCCTGTGATCCCTATTCTCAAGGAGCTCATGGTCTAGGGAGAGACAGAGCTGTAAACACCTCTAACGGGGCAATGAGGATCAAGCTGTGCAGAGGTGTGCAGAGAGAACCAAGGCAGGGCACACTGCGTATTCAGGGAGTTTGCATGCCGTGGGTGGTGTGGTCAGTGCCATCTATTTGCCTTCATCTCTAGAACTCACATCATCCTTCCTTGGCCTTTGTGTCCACACTGACCAGGTTGTTTCCCTTTTGGCTAGTCAGTTGCAGGGCTGGGACCTATTATGATGGAGCACGAGAACGCTGCATTTTATGTCCAAATGGAACCTTCCAAAATGAGGAAGGACAAATGACTTGTGAACCATGCCCAAGACCAGGAAATTCTGGGGCCCTGAAGACCCCAGAAGCTTGGAATATGTCTGAATGTGGAGGTAAGGATGCTGTCTGTTCCTTCCTACTCCTCCCATCTCTGATGTCATTGTTTAGACAGAAGGCATCTCAAGGACTCCAGACAATGCACACTCACCCGGGGCTTCCTACAAGCAGGGACCACGTTGGCTCGATTCATCTTTGGCTCACCAGTGCCTAGGTCAGTGCCTGACACATGCTGGGCAGATACTCATTTGAGCAAATAAATGAAGATGGGGTAGAATACACTAGCAGAAGAGCGTAAGTGTTGAAACTGCGTGCTTTCTTCACTGGAAATATATACACCTGAAACCTGAGTGATTTCCCTATCTATAGGTACTGTTTTGAAAGTGTTAAAATGAAGAGAGGAGGTCTGGGTTTTTCTCCAGCTTTGGTCTCAAATTCTTAGCTTTTTTATTTAAAACAAATATATCCGTTTATTTTGTTAAAACTGGGACCTCCTCTGTGAAGAGCTTTTCATTATCTCTTATAAAATGTTAACTTTGAAGTCAATCTCAAGCTCTGTGGGCTTTCCTATTTATTTTATTATTAAATGTCTTCCTTTTATTAAATGGGAGAAGGGCTGGCTGTATTGACACTCTGTGGGCTCCAATGGCAGGTGTGATCTGAATGGTGATTTATATCTGATGGCCACGGCAGAGTGAAGACCCCTCGTGCTGCTCCCACGGCTGTCCTTGGAGTGACTCCCAGCCTCAGCTTTATTTCCCACCTAAATAACTCCAAACTGAACTGCAAGGCTGTTTCTGGCTTAAAAATCAAATCCTCATATTGACTGTGTGACTCCTATCATCTCTTTGGTCTGTTATAAAACTCCAAAACTAACTGCAAGGTTGATGAGGGGTGACATTTTGGCATGAATTTACCCTTGTATGTGACATTATTATTATATTTTCTTGAGACAGAGTCTCACTCTGTCACCAAGGCTGGAGTGCTGTGGTGCAATCTCGGCTCACTGCAACCTCCACCTCCTGGGTTCAAGTGATTCTCATGCCTCAGCCTCCAGAGAAGCTGGGATTACAGGTGCGTGCCACCATGCCCTGCTAAATTTTGTATTTTAGCAGAGATGGGGTTTCGCTATGTTGGCCAGGCTGGTCTCAAACTCCTGACCTCAGGTGATCCACCTGCCTCGGCCTCCCAAAGTGTTGGTATTACAGGCGTGAGCCACTGCACCCGGCCTATGTGACCTTATTAAGAAAAATTTAGGCCAGGCATGGTGGCTCATACCTGTAACCCTAGCACTTTGGGTTCAGGATCACTTGAGCTCAGGTGGCTAACCCTAACCCTAAGACCAGCCTGGGCAACATAGTGAGACCTCGTTTGTAGAAAAAAATTAAAAAAAACAAAAAATAGCTGAGCGTGGTGGCACATGGTAATCTCAGCTACTTAGGTGGCTGAGGTGCAGGGACAGCTTAAGCCCAGGAGGTCAAGCTGTAGTAAGCTGTGATTGTGCCACTGCACTCCAGCCTAGGCAACAGAGACCCTGTCTCAAAAAAAAAAAAATGACAGCAATAAGAATATTAGTAATAATGGTTATTATAGCTACCATGTATTGAATATTTACCTATGCCAGGCATTATGCTAAGTATATTATATGAATTATTCACAATTCATATAATCATTACAACTCCACGAGGCTACAGTGACTCTTTTAAGGTCACACAGCCAAGTGGAGGATGTGGAATCAGAACCCAGGTCTGACAGGCTCCAGGCTCCTCCCAATGGTGTGTGTTCTTGAAATGCCATCATATCTATAACTTATGGGGGAAAATGAGACCACTATGATTAATAGAGGAGAGATGATTAAGAATATAAGAGATAGATAGCAGATTTTGATAGCATCTTGCCAATGACTAATTCCTGAGGAACATGTGCTTTTAGAAATCCTTTTGTTTGTTTATGACTGTGTTTCTTGTCCCAGGTATAACATGTGTAAGATCTAACTTAGTAAATATTATTGTTAAAACAGGGGAGACTCTTTGGGTCACTCTTTTTTTTTTTTAGAGACAAGGTCTTTCTGGATCACCCAGGCTGGAGTGCCGTGGTGCAAATATGGCTCACTGCAGCCTGGAATTCCTGGGCTCAAGTGATCCTCCTGCCTCAGTCCCAGAGTAGCTGGGACTACAGACATGTGCCACTATGTCTGGCTAATTTTTAAATTTTTTTGTAGAGATTTCGCCATGTTGCCTAGGCTGGTCTTGAGCTCCTAGGCTCAAGTGATTCTCCTGCCTCAGCCTCCCAGAGTGTTGAGATTACAGGCGTGAGCCATCAAGCCCAGCCCGGATCACTCTTTATATCAATAGGCTGTAATCAGCTGGGTAAAGGGGTACTTCTGGGTCTAATTACCAAATTGGTCCCAGGGCAGAGAACTCTCTCTCCTGCATTGCAGGGGATGCCTAGGCAGTGTGTAGGCCTAAGCCTGAGAACTACCCAGGCCTTCCCATACTTTGGAAGCAGTTGACACTTGACTTCTTGGTTTCCATCTTTGCACTGTGCTGTGTAGCCCTGTGTGTAAACAGCAGGCACTCATGTGCCATTGACTCAGGGTCAGAAGCACCACAGCATTGACTGTGTGCTCTCTGACTGAGGTGGGAACTGCGGTCAGCACTGGGTAACAGGTTGGACTGAAGTTGGTCTCATTTGGAGAGTGGGGAGCAAGGGTCTGCCTGGAGGCCTTGCTCACGTAAGGCTATTGGTCCTTCCAGGTCTGTGTCAACCTGGTGAATATTCTGCAGATGGCTTTGCACCTTGCCAGCTCTGTGCCCTGGGCACGTTCCAGCCTGAAGCTGGTCGAACTTCCTGCTTCCCCTGTGGAGGAGGCCTTGCCACCAAACATCAGGGAGCTACTTCCTTTCAGGACTGTGAAACCAGAGGTGAGTACTTGGCAGCTTGCCTTTTTCTAGGACTGGATTTCCCTTCTAAGTATCATGGGAGTCTCGTGAGGCTCCAGTCAAGCCCAGCCTGATGCAGTGCCCCAGTGGCTGGGGGTTCAGGTCCCAGCTCCACTCGCCCCAGCAGGATGTGCAGGGGGCACTGGAACTCACTGGACAAGCTGTCCTCCAGCCACCTTAGCCCCTTTGGACAGGCTGACAAGGGATGATCAGGCACTGATGAGCCAGTTGGTACACAGGTTCCCCTGGTTCCTTCCTCTAGCCCTCCTCCATCTCAGTGCCCTGACCTAGAGCTTCCCCCCAATACCCCTTCTCCAGAACCCCACTCCAGCTGCCTTTTCCCAGGGAGCCCAACTCTAAACCCAACCTCAGTTCTGCAACTGCCTGCCCCCTATACTCACAGACGTGCTCTGCATGAAGACTGGAGTTGTGATCATTGATGCCTGACTCTGCATGAACCATAAACTCTTTGGAGATACACACATATCTTGTTCCTCTATATTTCTCTATTTCATGAGCCCCATCCACACTGCCTATTTAGGGAATTAAGTGTTGATTAGCCCCAGATTGGTAGGAAAGCCCTACTTCATTTGCACATAAACATTTCTTTCACAAACTTTAAAATCTTTGTGCTGCATTTGATTAAAAATAATCTTTCTTTTTTTCATTCTTTTCACCCTCCCTTGACCCACAGTTCAATGTTCACCTGGACATTTCTACAACACCACCACTCACCGATGTATTCGTTGCCCAGTGGGAACATACCAGCCTGAATTTGGAAAAAATAATTGTGTTTCTTGCCCAGGAAATACTACGACTGACTTTGATGGCTCCACAAACATAACCCAGTGTAAAAGTAGGTCCCTCTCTAAGGCTTTTCATAGTTCTGGCTAAGAAGATAGGTGTCTGGGTCCACCTCAGAGCAGGGGGCACGGGGCAGAGGTCCCAGGTTCACTCAGAACCATGTAGATGTTATGAGCCCAGCTCACAGCCATGCAGACCAGCATGGAGAGAGAGCAGGGCCTGACTGTGCAGAGCGACTCATCTTTATTGATCCTGGCTACTTCCTCAGGCACACTTACAAGCTGTACTTGCCTTAATTTCCTCCCTGGGGCATAATTTTAGTCCAGCCTTGATCAGCATGCATTGCTTGAGGACCTGTTACGTGCCCAGCATTCTGCTGGGACTTGGTTGATATTAGGCAGAATGAGTCGGCATCGCTGAACCTGCAAGGAGCTCAGGCAGTGAGGCTGCAGAGGAAGGAGCGATTGACTCTGTCTCGAGAGATGAGGAAAGGCTTCTGGAGGGTGTGAGAAGGTTTTGATGGAGAGGGTGGGGAAAGAGTAGGAGAAAGAGCCTTATGTTTGAGAGAGCAGCTGGGGGAAGCACAGATCGAGGCAAGCAAAGGCCTTTTGGGAGGAGACCCCTGGACCTCAGGCTAGAATGTGCCGAAGGGAGTCTCAGGCAGACCAGGAGGCAAAGCCTCGGATGGATGCTGAGGAGACCGGTTTGTGTTTTATAGGAAGGGGGAAGCAAATCATTTAAGGACTTGCTGTCTAGGCTTTTTTTTTAAAGCCACTATTTATAACCAAAATTACAACAAAAACTCTGTAGTAAAGGCCAAAAGTAAATCCCAGCTAATCTTTAAGATAGCAGTCAGAGGAGCAAGGAGGCCCCCCCTAAACTGGAGGAGCTTGGGACTGAGGGGGGCAGTACATCATTAGAACTTTATGATTGAAAGATCATCTGGTTTTCTCTCTATTGCAAGGAAGTCCTTTTAACAACATCTTTATAAGTAGCCTTCCATCTAGTCTCTTCTTGAATACCTGCTGTGACAGGAAGCTTGCTACCTCATGATATCCTAGCTTGTTGGTGGATTGGACTTTAGAAAGCTCACAGTGTTAGAACAAGATGAATGTTCCCTTGTATTCCACCACCTGGCCCTTGGTTGGCCCCATGGGAGCCTTATGGCACAGTTCCTAGGGCAGCCCTTCAGGACTGAAGGCAATTCTCCGCCCCATGGCTCCCCCTTCCTCCTCTTTTCTTCCAAGAAGAAAAGCCTATTTATTTTTTTTCTAGTAATAATAAATCCCAGTTGTAACTAGAGAGGGAAAAAGTAATCCCTTCAACATCTTCTCTTGCACAGATTTACCTGACAGTATTAAATAATGAGCTCCTTGAGAGCAAAGACTGTGTCTTTCTCATTTCTGAGCTCTCAGAGCTTTGGGTGACACTTCTGGGATGAATGAAGATGCAGCTGGGTGCTGTGGGTGAAGGAGGGGTCTGTGCAAGCATGTGCACATGTGTGCAGCCTCTGTCTTTGGTGCCAGACGTAGGTATCCAGCATGCCCTGTACCTACTGATAGCTAATTAGAATTTTCTTCCTTCCTTAAAAATAAAATGTGGGTTGGGTGCAGTGGCTCATGCCTGTAGTCCTAGCACTTTGGGAGGACAAGGCCGGGATAGCTTGAGCCTGAGTTCCAGACCAGCCTGGGCAGCATAGACCTTGTCTCCACAAAAAAAAATGAGGAAAAAAAATTAGCCAGGCCTGATGGCACTTGCATATGGTCCCAGCTTCTTGGGAGGCTTGAGCCCAGGAGGTGAAGGGCGCAGTGAGCCATGATCGCACCACTGCACTCCAGCCTGGGCAACAGAGAGAGACCTCATCTCAAAATAATAATAATTTTTTTAAAAGATGAATAAAAAATAAAATGTGGTCTTAACCAGAGAGAAAAGTGAAAAATATATGTCTGTCTTCATCAAAGTTCTCTGAAAAAGGGTCAGATAGTCTCTGCAGAGCAATGAGCTCTGTTCCCCCTATTTTGAGAGACCTAGAAGTTCTGTCTCATGGGTTCTTCTGGCACTTGGACTTGGTAAACAAAATACTGAAAGCTAAATTTATCCTTTTGTTCACAATTACCTGCCCTGACCGTGAACACTTTCGGGCTAATGAGAAAACAGTGCCTCAGGAACTCAGAGGGGTAGACTCCTTGTGGGGAGCTAATGGTTTGGCTCCCACAGGGGGCCCTCTGGGAAGGACAGACTCATTCCCAGATGGTGTCATTTTCATGCCCCATTCCTGGGTGGCAACAGGGGTGCTGCGGGGCTCGGCAAGCTAGCGGTGGTCAGGACAGAGATGACAGTGTCGTGCCATAACTCGGGGCATCTCCTTTTTCAGACAGAAGATGTGGAGGGGAGCTGGGAGATTTCACTGGGTACATTGAATCCCCAAACTACCCAGGCAATTACCCAGCCAACACCGAGTGTACGTGGACCATCAACCCACCCCCCAAGCGCCGCATCCTGATCGTGGTCCCTGAGATCTTCCTGCCCATAGAGGACGACTGTGGGGACTATCTGGTGATGCGGAAAACCTGTGCGTCTCACTCCCTCCCTCCCTTTCTCAGGCCAGCTGGGAAGCCTGATGACCTGCTCCTCAGGCTTTCAATGTGAGGAGGCAGGCCTAGAACGTCACCTCCATATTAGAGCAGAGGTGAACATGAGTTTATAGAGTTGGTGAGAAACAAAATTTAAATGAAAGCCACACACTGAAGCGTCTTGCTGGGCCCCAGAGGTAGTGATCCTGCAGGTCAGTCTTCCCCTCTGTGCTCACTGGGGCGTTTTGGACCCTCTTCCACAAGGACCCAGAGAGCCAGTGAGGATCATGCAGTGTTGGCCCCAGACAAGGCCTCATACTGAGTTGCAACTGATGGCTTGGAGACTGACCGAGCCTGGCCAGGTGGGGACCTGTCCTCCTATCCTGATTCATGGTCCAGTGTCCATAAAGGAAGACTGCTGTCAACACAGCTTATGGGCAGTGTAATGAGGGGCTCTCTGCAGCCAGACTGCCTGGATCTCTGTCCCAGTTCCACCTCTTACTAGTTCTATGATCTCGGGCACACATTCTGAATCTTTCTGCACTTGTCTTCTCATCTGTTAAAATGGGGCTAGTAACAGTTGCTACCTTATAAGGTTATAAGGGCTAAAGGAGTTCATAGATGTGAAACACTTAGAATAGGCCAGGCACAGTGGCTCACACCTGTAATCCCAGGCTGAGGGAGGAGGCTGAACCAGGATTTTGTGACCAGGCTCGGTGAGACCCTGTCTCTATACATTTTTTTTTTTTTAATTAGCTGGGCATGATGGTGCATGCCTGTGGTTCCGGCTACTCGGGAGGCTGAGATGGGTGAATCGCTTAAGCCTGGGAGGTGGAGGATGCAGTGAGCCGTGATCATGCCACTGCACTCCAGCCTGGTAGACAGAGCCAGACCTTGTCTCAAAAAACAAACAAACAAACAAACAAACAAACAAACAAAGAATGATGATGACACATGGAGCCACTATATAAACGTTTGCTCTTCTTATTAGTGGTTAAAATGTCTGAAGTCAAGTATAGGTTTAAATCCTTGTTTTACCACATACTGGCTATATGACCCTGGGCAAGTATTTAATCTCTCTATTAAAAAGGTAACGGTTGCACCAACTTTCTGTGGTTTTCAGAAGATTAAATGAGACAAAGTCCATAAATTGCCTAGCATGCTGCCTGATCTTAGGCAGCAAATGGTGGTGATGACAATTAGATGACAGCAGGTCAGTTCTGGAATGGGAGGCCCTCACCCAGCTCCTACAGTGAACGGTACAGCCTGGGCTGCTGCTGCTTGCCAAGCCCCAGGTCTTTCAGGTGTAGCCTCCCCTGGGGGTCCACAATTACCAGCTGAATCTACTCTGTTTCCAGGACCTTTGACTTATGATGGCTCAGCTGGGCCTGAAGAGCTTTTGAGCATAACTTATTGTATGGTTTGAGTGTTTAGAAAGATGAGCATCTACTCTATGCCTGATCAGTGATGAGTCTTGAACCCCACCCTTCTCCAACTTCCCTTGGCAGCTTCATCCAATTCTGTGACAACATATGAAACCTGCCAGACCTACGAACGCCCCATCGCCTTCACCTCCAGGTCAAAGAAGCTGTGGATTCAGTTCAAGTCCAATGAAGGGAACAGCGCTAGAGGGTTCCAGGTCCCATACGTGACATATGATGGTAAGCACAGCCTGCAGCACATGGAAAGAGCGTCTCTGCTTTGAACAGAGCCAACTTCGGAGCCAGCTGGCAAACTGCTGACAAGCACACATGCTCAGAAAGGCAGGCAAGATGAGGGGAAAAGACATTGCTGACTCACAAGTGCCAAATTTTAACAGGCATTTGGGGACACTGACAATAGGAGGAAAAGATGTTTTATAAAATATATTAAAAGTGAGCATAGCTTGGTGAGTAAGAACATGGGCACTGGAGTCAGACTGATTAGCCTGGCTATGATTTCTCTGTGACTGTGTATGCCACCATCTCTAAGCCTCAAGTTCTTAATGTGCGAATGAGGATAATCATTAGACTTATTTAAGAGTTCAGTGAGAGTTCCTAAAGGACGTGAGGCAGTGCCTGGCACATAGCAATTGTTCAGTAAATATTAACTTCTGATGATTGTGGCTTTTATTAGGTAGAATCCTGAGGCAGGGAAGGACCTTAGTTCTGGTCCTGGCTTTTTCACTGACTCACTGTGGGATCTTGGGCAAGTCAGATGACTTCTGTTTTAATTTTCTTCATGTTAGATGAAGAGGTGGCCCATCTGAGCCCTGGGGCTCTACCTAGCTCTGAGACTTGGTTGGAAAACATTGACTAGGAGCATAAAATGAACTGGATCTTTGTCCTGGAGGACTACACAGTCCTGTAGGAGAGGAGTCATTTGTTTCTTCCTGAGCTTATTTGTTCACCTAGCCAACAAATATTTAATGAGCATCTACTATGTCAGGCATTGGCCTAAGTGCTGGAAACAACATGGTTAGTGACAGAAACACAAAATATATATATTGTTATAGCTGCTATAACAGCCCAAAGCCCTATGTGAGCATGGAAGCAGCAGCAGCAGTTAATTTTACATGAGCTTTTAGAAGGAATAGAGCAAAGTCTTGAGAGATGTGGGTCTTGAAATAACATATACATTTTGAGCATAAATGGGGGAGAAGGACATTCAGAAAGAGGGAAGGACATAAGTCAAAGGATGAAGTACCCCGGTGTACGTGTGGACTGACGAATGGTCTTATTTGGTCAGTGGGTTGGGTGTGTGGGGCTTGGCAGTGAGAGAGGAGACTAGAAGGGAATGGGGTTCAGCTGTGAAGAGCCTTCAGGGCCAAGCTCTGGAGGATAGACTTAATCTTAGAGGAAGCCACTGAAGGATTTTAGGATGACAAGTGCCAAAATTGTTTGGGAAGACAATATTCTATGGCTTTCCTAAAAAGTAACAAAAGCACGGATCATCATCTTTGTCCTACAGATGCCTGAAATAATGTCAAACAAACACCCAAGACAAGGAGTTTTAGTATCTCTTGGGGTGGACCCAAATGCCTCCCACATGGCTCTGCTGAGAGAGACAGAGAGCCTCATCTACCCAAAAGCAACCAACTGGCAACCTCTCCTATCTGGAATCAGGAAGAAAGCAAAAAGACACTGAGACTTCAAAATAAATATGGCTGTTCTCAACTCTGCCTTTGTGACACATGAAAATGTCTTGATTTTTTTTAAAATGAAAAAGAGTTGTAGCTCCAACTGGGGAAAATTACGCATAATGCAGTGTATGCCCACGAGAGTGAGTCTTGCATGTGTCACAGTAGAGAATAGTTGGAAACTGCTATTTTCCCCACAGAGAAGCTCCCAAGGCCTTCACTCAGAGTTTTTTTTTTTTCAAACATATATTTCCAAAAAGTTTGATATCTTCTTTTCAAACCCAGAAGGATAGAAATCACATTTAGAAGGTGCACATGAGGCTGCTACAGACGGGCCCTCTGAGCGCTGGACAACGGTGAGAACTGTAGCTGGGGCTAACACACATTGAGCATTGCTGACTGCCAGGTACATGCTGAAGTGACTTTTACATGGTGCTTTCCTCACAATCACTCCATAAAGTAGACTTGATTATTTCCTGATTTTATAGATGAGGCCATTCAGGCTTAGAGATTTAAGGAACTGACCTAAGGTCCCAGCATGGCAAGGTTGCAAAGCAAGGTTTGAACCAGGACTGTGGGACTCCAGAGCCTGGATTCTTACCTGTAACTTTCCTGCGTTTCTAATGAGTTGGAGCAAGTAAGGAAACACAGTAGTTCTTAAAAGCAGAAGAAATATTTTTTTTAAACGATAGCAGTCGGGAAGCATTTGGTGGAGTGGCAAACAGCTGTCTAGTTTTCTATTACACCAGAACGCAGCACAGCAACCGACATTCTTAATGGTAAGTCCCATCAACAAAAAGAGGAGAGATACTGCCGCAGAGGAATTCAAGATGAAAAGAAAATGTATTCTCATATTTTATATTCACTAAAATAAAAGAAAGACACCACACTAATGGAGTACCAATGCTATTGTAAACATATCGAATTAGTAATTGTGACTATTATACCATTACTTTCCATTTGCCATCCCTTAACTGAGAGAAACTTTTCAAGAGTTCCTCTCACACAATTTCAATGATGTTCTCATAATGTGTTTGGCTTTGTCGCACATGATATGCATACAAAGAGGCATTTTTTCTGTGTCTGGAATTTGGAAAAGATTGTGCTTTGCATATGCTTAATTTGAATGATGCCTATAGGAAGTAAGCTAGACTTCAAAGGGGGAAGATTGGCATTTGGAGAAGTACAGCATGCACTGCATTTAATGTGTATATCAGGACAAAAAATATTAATGAGAGAACACACACAGTTTTCTTCCTCCCCGACCAGCCAAATTCTCCACCCTCCAGCCCCATTCAAATAAAGGAGAGAAGAGTCTTTCTTGGTGGATAAGAAGCTTGATTGTTTTACATAATACAAGAATAGAGAAAAAAGCGGGAGGTGGGGAGGTGAGAGGGAAAGGAGAGCCTGATGAGCTCAACAGGAAGTGAGTATAGACAGAGAAGAGAAGACCAAGGACTAAGCCCTGGGACCCTCCTTTGGTAATAGGTCAGAGAGAAGAAGAAAAGCAAAGAAGCCTCAGAGAAGTAACCGGTAAGGTAGGAGGAAAACCAAAGAGCATGGTGTCCTGGAAGCTCAGTGAAGAACTGGATCAAGGAGGAGGAGTGACCAGCCAGGTCAAAAGCTACTGATGCATCAAGGAGGATGAAGACCAAGAACTGGCCGTTGGGATTTAACAACATGAAGGTCATTGCTGGTCTCACCAAGCAGTTTTGGAGGAGTGATGGGGGCCAAAGCTGATTGGACTGGGTTTAAGAGAGAAAGAAAGGAAAAGAATTAGAGACAGTGGGTGCTGACAATTTTTTTAAGGATTTTTGCTGCAAAAGGGAGCAGGTAAGTGAGATGGAAGCTGGAGGGAGAAATGAGGTCAAGGGAGGGATTTTTAAAGTCAGAGACATACAGCATTTTTGCATGCTGGTGGGAGAGACGAATAGAGAGAAAAATGTATCATGTAGGAAAGAAAGAGCAGAATTACTAGAACAATGCTTTTGATTTGGGGAGAGAAGATGGACCTGGCATGCTAAGTGGAGGGATGAGCCTGGACTGGATGCACAGAGGCTCGTCTGAGGGAAGAGGGGACGGGGAAGATGGGTGCAGATGCTGGTAGGTGAAGAGAGGTGGTGGTGGGAGTCTGTGGAAGTTTTCTTCTGACTGTCTTCTCAGTAAGCAGAATGGTAAGTGATAGCAGCCACAGAAGGGGCATTTCTCAGAACCTTATCAAAAAGTGAAAGAGTGAGTTTGGAAGCAACTAAATCATAAGAATGCAAAACATGTTCTTTATTCCAACAGAGGACTACCAGGAACTCATTGAAGACATAGTTCGAGATGGCAGGCTCTATGCATCTGAGAACCATCAGGAAATACTTAAGGTGAGTGCCTGGCTCAGGTGGACATGGCAGTTATCCACAGAGCTTCCCGAGTACTGTTGGAGAAGGCTTCTCCTCCTGCTCCTTGTTGCCACCTTTCAGACACGGAGCCTGTCCTGGGCCAAGGTCAGTTTTATACCTTCACCAGACTTAATTTTTAAAAAAATCAGGTTGCTGTCTTTAGTGTTGTCAAGTGAAGTTGTATTTTTCAATTTGGAAACTTGTGGAGGGGCAGGGAGAAATTTGCTTATAAATCCAAACCAACAGCAAATAATGTTTTTCTATTAATTCCAAATAGTTGAGGATCCTTGGCTCTTTATGTATACTTCAAGCCTAAAATTCACCAAAGTTTAAATACTTATAAATAATTAGCAATAAACACTTGTGGTATCACTAATCCTACAAATACTCCCAAATCCCAGTGTTGCATTCATCTGGTTGGGAAAAAGAAAACAGGATTTTACATATTAAAGTTTTATTTATAAAAGTAATTCATACTTCTTAAAACTAATTAGGAAAAATAAAAACTGGAAAGAAGATAAAAATCAGAGGAAACAATTTTTGCAAGTGTTTTTCAGCTAAGCAAGCTACGGCCTAATACTGGGTCATTATAGTTCCATGGGCAAAATGTCAGCATATTTAAATATTTTGGCCCAGTAACAAAAATTCTGTTCTTTTTAGGATAAGAAACTTATCAAGGCTCTGTTTGATGTCCTGGCCCATCCCCAGAACTATTTCAAGTACACAGCCCAGGAGTCCCGAGAGATGTTTCCAAGATCGTTCATCCGATTGCTACGTTCCAAAGTGTCCAGGTTTTTGAGACCTTACAAATGACTCAGCCCACGTGCCACTCAATACAAATGTTCTGCTATAGGGTTGGTGGGACAGAGCTGTCTTCCTTCTGCATGTCAGCACAGTCGGGTATTGCTGCCTCCCGTATCAGTGACTCATTAGAGTTCAATTTTTATAGATAATACAGATATTTTGGTAAATTGAACTTGGTTTTTCTTTCCCAGCATCGTGGATGTAGACTGAGAATGGCTTTGAGTGGCATCAGCTTCTCACTGCTGTGGGCGGATGTCTTGGATAGATCACGGGCTGGCTGAGCTGGACTTTGGTCAGCCTAGGTGAGACTCACCTGTCCTTCTGGGGTCTTACTCCTCCTCAAGGAGTCTGTAGTGGAAAGGAGGCCACAGAATAAGCTGCTTATTCTGAAACTTCAGCTTCCTCTAGCCCGGCCCTCTCTAAGGGAGCCCTCTGCACTCGTGTGCAGGCTCTGACCAGGCAGAACAGGCAAGAGGGGAGGGAAGGAGACCCCTGCAGGCTCCCTCCACCCACCTTGAGACCTGGGAGGACTCAGTTTCTCCACAGCCTTCTCCAGCCTGTGTGATACAAGTTTGATCCCAGGAACTTGAGTTCTAAGCAGTGCTCGTGAAAAAAAAAAGCAGAAAGAATTAGAAATAAATAAAAACTAAGCACTTCTGGAGACATAATAATGTACATTTATTGCCAGCCTTCCTCGTTGCAAGCTTCCACCCTGCAGCAAATGCACTATGCTGACTCTCGCACCTTCAGCTGTGCCCTCTGACACTCTGCTGGCCATTGCCTGAGGGACTGGGGAGTTCAGGTGAAATGTAATTTCCTCAGTGGATGAGAATCATCAATTGTCATGAAAAGGCGATTTCACCAACCCTGAGTCGGTATTGCCAAGGGTTCTACTCCCCAAGTGGGCTTCCCATCACAAGGGATCTGAGGTCCAGGTGGGTGTGGTGAGGCCCAGCCTGTCATGTATGCCTTCCTTCCCCAGTCTCAAATGTGAGAGACGGACTCTGCTCCGTGGACATGAGCAGCCCCTTGAAGGGTGGTCTCATTCTCTAACAGTAACAGCACTGCCAGAAACACCCCCTGAATGCCACACGATCATCTCACTTTGGGTCAGGCCAGCAGGGCCTCACGATCATTTCTTGAACTTGAATTTTCAGTGTTATTGAATCTTTAAACATTTAAATCCCCAAGCAAAAATCTCATTACAGTGAATAAAAAGGAATCCAATCAAACAAGCCACCACTTCCCTAATGGATGGACTACCTACAACTATAGTGTTTTGTTATTTCAATAACAATTCTATGCACAGCCAATTCTCCATACCAAAGTACTAAAAAAATGTTTAACAAGCATTTTTGAAGAAAACAAAGAGAACTTCATTATGGTTAAACTTGCTTTTCATCTCAGTGTTGCTTTTTTTAACCTGTTAATAACATTGATTCTTAAAAAGTCCTAATCAAACTTCTTTATTTGGATGGGCCCTAAATATTCATTTTCAGATTTCTCTTCAAAAGTTTGAACATCATCATTAAAAAAAAAATAGCATTAAAACAAGCACTTGGACTTTGTTATACTGGAGCTTGGCCTATATTTCTGAGTCTAACCATAAGATGAAAATTCGAATGTCACATAAACCCGAGTTAGTGACCGCACTGATGTGAAGGTGAGATGAGCTGAGCTGCACCATTCTGTCCAGGCATGTTAGCAACTTTGTGCTCATGACTGTGTGATCCTGTCTTGCTGATTTCACAAGAAGGCTAGGGATGGGAATACTCTGGGGGTTGGAAGGAGGCTGCATAAACCCGGTCACTATGGAGGAGCATCCTCCACGGGGCAGCCCCATGCACCAGAGCTGTGTTGCTGGTACACGCACAAACCACTGACGCACAGGAGGTATAAAGAGGAGCTTCCTCTCTATTCCCTCAACTACCTTAAGAGATGCTGTGATCCTGTTGGGGGCTGGCTATCTGGAGATACTATTTCTACCTGCTACATCAATATTTATCAAACTTCTGCCTGGTACTCTAGGCCCTGGGGATGCGGCGATAAGACAGACAAGGTCCCTGCCCTCATGAAGCTTACATTTTAGAGGGAAGAGACAGACAAAGAACAGATAAATCAACATGAAAAGTAGCAGCTAGTGGTAAGAGCTATGTTGAAAATTAAAATAGGTTACTGTAACAGATGATTGTGTGGCTACTTTAGGATTGGGGATTATAGATGGCCTCTATGCGGAAATTACATTTCAATTGAAAACTAAATGGCAAGAAGAAACCAGTCTTGGGAAAATTAGGGGGAAGAGCTTTCCAGAGAGAGGAAAACCAAGTGCAAAGGCTGTCAGGCAGGAGCAACCATTTGTGTATATTGTAGTCTAGTGAGAAGGCAGGTCGTACAAGATGAGGCTAGAGAACCAGACACGGCCAGATCACATCGGGCTTTGGAATCTATAATGAGGGGTTTGAGTTATTTCTAAATATGTTGCAAACTTTTGAATGGATTTAAGCAGAGGAGTGAGATAATCTGATTTATGTTTTAAAAGGGTAGCTGTGGCTACTGTGTGAATAGGAAGCCAGCACGGAGGCAGAGAGAGTTATTCACAGACTACTGCAACAGAACAAGCAGCCATCCAGTTGGCAGATGAAGGTATTGTCTGGATTAGGGTGTTGTAGTGGAGATGAGAGAAGTAGAAGGATTCTGGATGTGTTTTGGGGGACAGTCAACAGAATTTGCTGATGGGGATTGTATGGAAGTGCTGAGGGAAAGAAGGAAGTCAAAGATGACTCCTAGTTGCCTAAGAAACTGGTAGATGGAGGAGACTAGGAGGAGCAGGTTCGGGATATGCAGCAGTTTTAAAACATGTTTGCAAATTCTTTGAGGTTCCTTCCATGGACAGTTGGGGTCTGTGTCACCTCCCCTTGACTCTGGGCTCTGTGACTGCTTGACCAATATTAACATGGCAGAAGTAATGCTTTACGAGGCCCAGGGCTTAAGACACTAGCAGCTTCCACTTCCTCTCCTTAGGACACTCACACTTGAAACTCAGTCACCACGTCATGAGGAAGCAAGCCATAACAGCCTGTGGAGAGGCCATGTGGAGAGGAACCACAGTCCCTCCACCCACCGGCCAGGCTGAGCTTCCAGGCGACAGC
Organism: Homo sapiens; assembly: GCF_000001405.40. NCBI lineage: Eukaryota > Metazoa > Chordata > Mammalia > Primates > Hominidae > Homo > Homo sapiens. Next base: position 9,017,904 of record NC_000011.10, on the reverse strand, counting down.
CAGCAAAACTTGCCAGCTGCGTGAGTAAGCCATCTTGGAAAGGGATTCTCCAGCTGCTCCAGCTGACACTTCATGGAGCAGTCCTCATTGAACCACAGAAAAATTAGAGATTTGTGTGCAAAATTAATGATTATTATCTTAAATGATTGATAGGTTTTGAGGTGACTTCTTATGCAGTAATATAACAGTGAAAAGGGGAGATGGTTAAGAGTTCCATTTTGGCCATTCTAGGTTCTAGGTGCCTATCATATGTCCAACTGGAGGGTTCAAATAGGCAAATGGTTATACAAAGCCCCAGGAGAGGTCAGGGCTGGAATATAAGTTTTAATGTCACAGAGTAAAGGCATGAGACTTTACCCCGGTTAAGGTCACCTGGGAAACATGTAAATAAAAGAAGACCGGGGAACTCTTAATTCTGGGATTTCCTGTGTGGGCACAGGAACCAGGACTTTGAGGAGCTGCGTATTAAGTAAACAGGAAGAGGTCAGAGCTGAGCTTCCATCTTCCCTCCAAGAGAGCTAGTTCTATGGGTGAACCCTGAATGGGCATGGATCTGTACAGTCCTTCCTTCTAGCTGTAGATATTGTTCTTTAGCCATTTACTGAAGTGCTGCATCTATGGATTTAACAACATCTCCCTTGAATTTCCAATGCTAATAAAAAAGTGTTTGCCTTTTCACACTAACAGACAATTATCTTCACTTTGGAAAATTGCTTCCTCTGAATCATGCCCTGAGCTGTTAAGTGTGTCGTCTGTAGGCACTCACTGGATTTAGGTTTGCAGGTGATATTAAAATGTCATGTGGCAACCTGGAAAAGGCAGTGGCTGCACAGCACAGTGCAAGGACTTGCTTACCCTCCGGCAGATCTTTGCAGGAAGATGCACCGGAGCTGTTGCCTGCAGCTGACCACCACAGCTGGTGGGCCTATGTGCTGGAAAACCCAGGGGTCATTCCAGGCCCAGCTGTAATCTTCTTAGCCCTGAAGAGATGCCTCTTACTGTCAGCATCTCTGCTTCTTTTCACACAGCAGGATACGTCTTGGAGCCTTACTCAAGTCTGCACTACTTCTAGCCAGCATTTGGGAGGCAAATGGACTAGCTGAGGCTGGAGTAAAGCAGTTCCTCACCAAGTTGAGGGAATCTTGTTGCATACGGCCCTCTAGCTAGGCAAGCCATCAGCTGCCTACAATTTAAGGTCCTGGGAGTGGCCAGTAGGGGCCCATCCACAGAAACTTAGAGGCCTTGGTGAGGCTTCATTTCTGTGACCATCTTCCATTCCAGGGGCTTGTGAGCCCAGCTCAGAGGTGTCCTAATATTTGTAGTGCCCTGCCTCCTTCTCCCTTCAGGCAGTCTCGATCAGCCTGCAGGAGACCACCCTTAGGGACCTGTTAACACAGCAAGGCTGCTCCTGTGATCCATGTCAGTGATATAGCCATGAAGATATCACTACTCAGCAGGGAGCACTTTCCAGAGAACACAGTGGCATCAAAATAGATTTAGAAAATGAAACCACTCTAATATAGGCAGTTTGCCTTAGTTGAATAAAAGCGATACAAATTAAACCTACCTACTGCAAGCAATGACAGTAACTCAGTAGTGCTTGGTTTTCAGAGTATCTCATAAAGGGGATGCAACTACAGACCTTAGTTACTAATAATTTCTTATTATGTTTTTGGTCATTCATTCATTTATGCAACATATATTTATGGAGAGCCTATTAAGTGCTAGACATTGTAGGAGCCAGGGATACTGCAGGGAGCAAAAGAAGCTCCCTGCTCTTGTGGAATTTAGGTTCCAGTCTGGGGAGACAGACAATAAACAAATGAACATATACTGTAAAGTCAAGTAGTGATGAGTGGTATAAATAAGGAAGGGCTAAAGGACAGAGAATGAGGAGGTGGTGGGAGGGAGCTGCTGTCTTAGGATGAGCTCATCATTAGAGTCATGAATCCAGGCCCCTCCTAGAGCACTGGCTCCTCAAACCAAGCCTGGCAGCACTGGCCCTGGCAAGCTCCTTTATCCGCCCAGCAAGACCTTGGCATTTCATGTCAAGCCAAGCTGACCAAAGCTTCAAGCTGTGAACAAGCCATTTGGCAGTTCCTCGAACAGGTGCCACCTAGTGGTTGCAATATGGAGTCGACCTGTGTTTCTGTCTCCCGTCCCACTGCCTCAGACCTTACATGCCCATAATTCAAGACAAGATCTTACCCAAGGGGCCCTGGGGACTAGGGCTGTGATTTGACAACTGATTGGTCGCATGTTGTTTGACACAGCCCTCGGAGTTTATTTTGTTTAGATATTTTCCTTTTTTCTCTGCTTGGCAGAGAAAAACTAGTGACCAAGTCCAAACTCATTGATCTAGGTCATTTCAAACTATCAACAACGCTCTGAATCTCACATACAAACACCGCATATTCATGCATTCACTGTTACGGTCTAGGCACCAGGGTAGGCTGGATATATAGTCCTGAGTCAGAAGGGAAAAGGAGTTGAAGGAATGATGAGGACAAAATCTACTCCTCAATTATAATCTTGCATGTTTTACCACTTTGTAGTTCCAGGAGCTCCCTACCACACTCCCCTGCCTTGGATTGTTCTCTGATCCTACACAGTATCCTAGGACTGAAGGATAATTTTGGGCCACAGGTTGAAGTTTTCTGTCTTTTCCCTACAAAACGCAAAAAGTAGAAATACAAGCCTACCTCAAATTTGAGCTTCGGTGCTGGCTTTGCCTTATTACATGTGTGGCAGTTGAAAAAAATTAACAGCTGCTAAGCAGGAATTGGAACCAATGCCCCAGAGAAGACAGAGCCCAGTAATGTCTGAAGCAGCATGCACAGCAGAACAGCATGGAGGTACAGAGTGTGAGCTTGTGGTGAACCCTGGCCAAGCCTGCTAAGTGCGGCCCTCTGCAGCCTTGTGGGTAACCTATCCTGTGTGACCACAAATTGGTCATCAGCACACACTGTCAATGCAGCGGTGTGTGTGTGATGCCTGATCATGCTATAAAACTGTGGACAGTGTAGCACATTGGAACCCCAATGTTACTTCCAGGTGACTTGGCTTGAAGAAGTCAGCTTTTAGCAGCCACATCAGGTACCTAAACTGGAGTTTTAAGTAATGCAGGTGCCAAGTATAAGAGGTTTGATAGGGCCAGGCACGGTGGCTCATGCCTGTAGTCCCAGCACTTTGGGATGTCAAGGCGGGTGGATCATTTGAGGTCAGGAGTTCAAGACCAGGCTGGCCAACATGGTGAAACCCTGTATCTACTAGAAATACAAAAATTAGCCGGGCGGTAGTGGCGCATGCCTGTAATCCCAGCTACTCGAGAGGCTGAGGCAGGAGAATTGCTTGAGCCTGGGAAGCAGAGGTTGCGGTGAGCCGAGATCGTGCCACTGCACTCCAGCCTTGGCAACAGAGTGAGATGCTGTCTCAAAAACAAAAAACAAAACAATTTAAAAAAAGAGGCTTGATAAACCATCACTAAGGCTCCCCATGAGGAACTGGGATGACTCAAACAGCATCACTCACCCAGTACCCCCCGGGCCCAGTATTCCTAATGTACTTCTCTGAAAATGCATTATCTACATTTATCACACTGATAGGTGCCTTCTCTAAGATTTATGATTCATAATGCTCATATTCTCCAAGACTCCCATTATGTCCTTTACGGTACCTGGATTTGTATCCCAGTTCTGCCACTTATTAGCTATGTGACCTTGTGGAAGTTATTTAACTTCTCTGTGCCTCAGTTTCTTCATGTGGTAAATAAAGATAATGATAGTACCTACAAGATAGAGCTGTTTTGAGAATTAAATGAGTTAATACCTGGAAAACTCTTGAAACATTGCCTGGCATGTAGTAAGGGCCCAATAAACGTTAACTGTCATCCTCATCGTTACATTTCACTTCTTGAGACTTTAGAAGTTAAACCCAAGAAACATTCTTTAAAGGGGTTCACTCTCTGCTGGGTTTCCCCATTTCACTGAGATGGAAAGTTCTTTAGTCACAGTTTTTCTAGTGGGGTATGTCCTAGCAACAGAAAAATTAAAGCTTGAAGTAGGAATGAAAGGCTATGATGCCTGATTTGGGTTCTCACACAAGGCCTTCCAAACACCCGTGTCCTCCTGAGCTGGGAAGGTAAAATGAGCTCTTCCAATCGCCTGAGCTTCTCTTAGGTCAGGGACGGCACAGACACAAGTGCACATACACAGCGCAGCCTCTCAATCCTTCATTTTTTCTGAGTTCCAATCCTCAGCCCCTGGTATGTGAGGATCACAGTACATCTCCTTGCTGAGCCCAGAAGCACATGTTTTCCAGAACTGCCTATTTCTATTCGATGTTTCCAGCATGGCAACATCCAACTTCAGAGTCCAAGAAGGCAGTACTCAGGTCTCTAGGCAGGCAAGGTCAATGAAGACACTCACTGTGGCAAGGTGTGAATAATTTGCATGAAACCTGTGGTCATTGAAACAAAGCCCCTTTTTGAGACATGAGGACACAGGCCTGGCCAAGGTGGGTCTGACCACTGTGCAGCATGTGCCAGGGAGAGTACAGAACTCAAAGTGCAATGTGCTAACGGAGTGTAGACAGACTGAAAAGAGTGAATTTCATTTTTTTAAACATCATGAATGAGATAGGAAAAAAGCCAGTAATTATACAGCAGAGAAATCAGGCAATACCTTGACCAGATGATCAAAATTAGCATGTCCAATAAAGGACAGATGGATATCATGTGCCTACAGATGTGATAGCCTGAGAAGAACGTACCATCACCTATACTGTACTCAAGCCAAAAATGCATCACCTCAATCTCAATACAAGGAAAATGCAGACAAACACAAAATGAAGAATGCTCTATTTTAAAAAGGGGAGGGAAGTTGAAAAACAACTTGCACATCAGTGAAATTTTAAAGCTTGTGTGCTTCAAAAGACACTATTAAGAAGTGAAAAGGTAGCCCATGGAATGGTAGAAAATGTTTGTAAATCATATATCTGACAAGAGACTAATAGCTACAATATGTAAAGAGTTCTTACAAGTCAATAATAATGAGACAAATCACTCAATTAAAAATGGACAGAGGAGGCTGGGCATGTTGGCTCACACCTGTAATCCCAGCACTTTGGGAGGCCGAGGCAGGTGGATCATGAGATCAGGAGACTGAGACCATCCTGGCTAATACAGTGAAACCCTGTCTCTACTAAAAATACAAAAAATTAGCCAGGCGTGGTGGTGGGCACCTGTGGTCCCAGCTACTCGGGAGGTTGAGGCAGGAGAATGCCGTGAACCCAGGGGGCGGAGCTTGCAGTGAGCCGAGGTCACGCCACTGCACTCCAGCCTAGGCGACAGAGCGAGACTCTGTCTCAAAAAAAAAAAAAAAAAAAAAGAAGATGGACAGAGGATTTTAATAGACATGTTTCCAAAGAAGACAAACAAATGACCAATAAGCACCTGAAAAGATGCTTAACATCATTAGTCATCAGGGAAACACAAATCAGAACCATAATGAGATACCATCTCAACCTCACTAGCATGGCTATAATAAAAAAGACAGATGGTAAAAAGTGTTGAAGAGGATGTGAAGAAATTGGAACCCTCATACACTGCTGGTGGAGATGCAGAATGGTGCAGCTGCTTTGGAGAGTAGTCTGTTAATTCCTCAAAAGTCACACGGGCTACCATGTGACCCAGCAATTCTACTCCAGGAGATGAATAAAAGGCACAAAAAGATTTCCACATGAGATTTCTTAGCAACATTAGTCGTAATACCTTAAAAGTGGAAACAGCTTACATATCTATCAACTAATGTACAGCTAGACAAAATGTGGTAGATCCATACAATGGAATATTATTTGGCCATAGTTAAATACTGATAGATGCTACAGTATGGATGAATTTTGAAAACACTGTGCTACGTGAAAGAAGCCAGTCACAAAAGACCATGCATTATATGATTCCAGTTACATGAAATGTCCAGAATAGGCAAATTCATAGAGACAGGAAGTGGATTACAAGTTAGTTGTCTAGGGCTGGAGAAATTGGTAGGCAATGGGGAATGATTAATGGGTACCAAGTTTCTCTTGGGACGATGAAATGTTCTAGAAGTCATTGTGGTGATGGTTGCACAGCTCTCTGAATTTATTTAAAACTTGAATTGTACACATTAAGTACAATTGTATGAATTGGGTGAATTTTATGGTATGTGAATTATATCACACACAGAAACCAGTAACTAAAAAGGGTTAACTGGTTTTTGTGTTAACCAGTTAACCCTTTTTAATGACACTGACAGTTTTGAATTTTAACATTTTGAATGTCAAAAATGTCTGTGTCATGGAGGACAAAGAAAGCTGTGGAAATGTTCCAGATTAAAGGAGGCTAAAGAGACATGACAACCAAATACAATACCTGCTCCTAGCCTGGATCCTGTACTGGAGGAATGTGTTATAAATGGTCAACTGACAAAATTGGAACATGAATAGTAGCTTAGATAAAAGTATTGTATCAATGTAAATTTATCAAGCTTCTATCTGTATTGTGGTTACATAAGAGAAAAATCTCTATTTTTAGGAAATATACAATGAAGTATTAGTGGTACAGGATCATAATGTATGAGTAATCTATCCTAAAATCGTTCAGAAAAAAGTGTGTGTGTGTGCATGTGTGTGTGTGTGTGTTTTGCAGGGAAGCAAATGAAATTGAACATTTTTATGAGTCAAAGGAAGCCATCAAGAAAGTGAAAAGGCAACTCATAAAATGGGAGAAAAATTTTGCAAGTCATGTGTGACAAGAGACTTGTAGCTAGAATATATAAAGAACTCTCCATTTGTTTGTGTCCTCTCTTATTTCCTTGAGCAGTGGCTTGTAGTTCTCCTTGAAGAGGTCCTTGAAGAGGAAGAATCAATATTGTGAAAATGGCCATACTGCCCAAAGTAATTTATAGATTCAATGCTCTCCCCATCAAGCGACTATTGACTTTCTTCACAGAATTGGAAAAACTACTTTAAATTTCATACAGAACCAAAAAAGAGCCCACATAGCCAAGACAATCCTAAGCAAAAAGAACGAAGCTGGAGGCATCACACTACCTGACTTCAAACTATACTACAAGGCTGCAGTAACAAAAACAGCATGGTACTGATACCAAAACAGATATATAGACCAATGGAACAGAACAGAGGCCTCAGAAATAACACCACACATCCACAACCATCTGATCTTTGACAAACCTGACAAAAACAAGCAATGGGGAAAGGATTCCCTATTTAATAAACGGTGTTGGGAAAACTGGCTAGCCATAAGTGGAAGTCTGAAACTGGATCCCTTCCTTACACCTTATACAAAAATTAACTCAAGATGGATTAAAGACTTAAACATAAGACCTAAAACCATAAAAACCCTAGAAGAAAACCTAGGCAATACCATTCAAGACACAGGCATGGGCAAAGACTTCATGATTAAAACACCAAAAGCAATGGCAACACAAGCCCAAATTGACAATTGACATCTAATTAAACTAAAGAGCTTCTGCACAGCAAAAGAAACTATCATTACAGTGAACAGGCAACCTATAGAATGGGAGAAAATTTTTGCAATCTATCCATCTGACAAAAGGTTAATATTCAGAATCTACAAAGAACTTAAACAAATTTACAAGAAAAAAACAACCCCATCAAAAAGTGCGCGAAGAATATGAACAGACACTTCTCAAAAGAAGACATTTACGCAGCCAATAAACATATGAAAAAAGCTCATCATCACTGGTCATTGGAGAAATGCAAATCAAAACCACAATGAGCTACCATTTCATGCCAGTTAGAATGGCAATCATTAAAAAGTCAGGAAACAACAGATGCTGGAGAGGATGTGGAGAAATAGGAATGCTTTTACACTGTTGGTGGGAGTGTAAATTAGTTCAACCATTATGGAAGACAGTGTAGCAATTCCTCAAGGAACAAGAACTAGAAATACCATTTGACCCAGCAATCCCATTACTGGGTGTATACCCAAAGGATTATAAATCATTCTGCTATAAAGACACATACACACGTATGTTTATTGTGGCACTGTTCACAATAGCAAAGACTTGGAACCAACCCAAATGCCCACAATGATAGACTGGATAAAGAAAATGGGGCACATATACACTATGGAATACTATGCAGCCATAAAAAAGGATGAGTTCATGTCCTTTTCAGGGACATGGATGAAGCTGGAAACCATCATTCTCAGCAAACTAACACAAGAACAGAAAACCAAACACTGCATGTTGTCACTCATAAGTGGGAGTTGAACAATGAGAACACATAGACACTGGAGTGGGGGCATCACACACTGGGGCCTGTTGCAGGGTAGGGGGCTGAGGGAGGGATAGCATTGGGAGAAATACCTAATGTAGATGATGGGTTGATGGGTGCAGCAAACCACTATGGCAAGTGTATACCTATGTAACAAACCTGCATGTTCTGTACATGTACCCCAGAACTTAAAGTATTAAAAAAAAAGAACTCTCACAATTCAATAATAAGAAGACAAAGAACTCAGTTAAAAATCGGCAAAGGATCTGAATAGACATGTTTCCAAAGAAGATAAACAAATGGCCAATAAGCACCTGAAAAACACATGGAGTAAAATGTTAGTAACAGGTAATCTGTGAAAAGGATATACAGGTGTTTTTTCTACTATTCTTATGTTTGCAACTTTTTGTAAGTTTCAAATTTTTTTTACAAATTAAAAGTTTTTAAATAATCCTGAATGACTTTTCTCTTTGGGCAGTGTAGATCTGTGCGAAAACTGGTCAGACGGAACACTATGAGTGTGAGCGCATGCACATGTTTGCACACCTGGGAGTCTACACATGTTCCACAGAGCACTTCACCTCTCTGCTGTCACTGGCCCCCAGCCCCTGTGGCTTGCCCAGCATGCACACCATCACATCTGAGCAACATGCTTAGTTAACTGGGGGGAAGGAGGTAGAGCCCTCAGTGCTCCTGAGGTAGACAGAAGTTACCCATCAGTGTGAGCCACGCTGCAGGCATTGTCCCCTTTGGCTGGGGCTGACATAAAGAGATAAGGAGCAGGTGGGTTAGGCCTATGCTTTGCTGTATTCTGAGAGACTTGCCATCTTCAGAGTTCTTGTTTCTATACTGCAGAGTTTCCCACTAGGCTCAGAAGGGCCACTCTTTTTCTGGGTTCTCTACCTATGTTGGAGAGGGGAAGGAAAGAGGAACAGGACATATTTATTGAGAGCCCACTTTGTGCCTTTATATATTATTTCACTCAAATGAGACAGAACCCTGCAAGATGGATAAACTGAGGCTCAGAGAGCTTCAGTAACTTGGCCAAGGTCCCATAGCAAGCAAGGGGTGGAACCAGATTCAAAGCTAAGCCTAGACTCCTCACTTCCCCACTTCCACCAGACACACGTCCTTCAGATACTGGTGTTTGTTTTCTTTCCATTATTTCTCCTCTTTTGCTGTCTGAGTTGAGGTCAAAGCCTGTTCTCATCCCGGGAAATGAAACCAAATCACTGGTGACTGTAATGGATCCAAAAGACCCAGGCAACTTTGGAAAACACCAGCAGGGCTGCCATCAGCCCTGTTTCTTGAGGTCATGGTGATGTTGGCAATCACTCTGAAGGAAGAGGACAGAAATATCTCTTATCTTTGCTTTAACTGCCAAAGCAGACACAGTTTTTAGAGCTGGGTGCCAAGTCAGGGGTACCATGTAGCCAGAGATCCTGGCACACATCTGGATAGCTGTTCGAAGAATCTTCCTGCCAAAGGGGGTTGGGGTAGTGGTGAGGACATCTGAGGAGGAAAGGGATCCTACAGCTATAAGGATGGGGTGGTGCATGATGAGGGTCCTAGGAGTGGCCATTCTGACTTCAGGGTATGGCCAAGGGCAATATGCATGGGTAGGGAGGGAATGGGGAGGAAAATTTCTTGGCAGTCTCCCCTTTATCCTCTGCTCTTCTCCTCTACTTTTTAGGCCTCCAAGCCTCAGCACTCATCCTGTTTCTCATTCTTAAAGGCCTCTCTGTTAGCTGAAGACCCAAAAGAGGGTTGCTAGGAGAATAGGTTGTAAGCCTAGAGTCACAAATAGCCATCAGACAGGAAGGGTCTGCCTACAGGGGCATCAGCTCAGAGGAAAGCAGAGCTGAAACACAGTGATAATGTCATTTGAGTCTTTGGATCCAGCCATGCCTGAAGCCCTGCACTTTTAAATTAAGGGGACCAAAAATTTGCATTTTCACATAAGAAATTTTCAACTGGGTATCTGTCACTTATAAGAAGAATAACGTGAATAGCATTCTAACACTGAAACAGTACTGGATTTTCTAGTATGATTTTCAAGTACAGGTCTTCTATAACAGCCAAGGGAGGATGCAGAGAACTTTAGGATAGAGCCATTGCACATGGAAAGTCCAGAATCTGGAGACACTGAGGAGAGGAAGAGAGCTGGCCAGCCCCTGCCTCAGCAGGCCTCTGCTCTAGGGATAGGGTAAGATACTCAAGTCTGGCTTCATGTCTGAAGCTCTGTAGGGAAGCCTGGAGAAAGGATAGGCCAGCCCCAATTCGAGGGTTCTGCAACCTACAGTTTTTCCTGAAGTTGTTCCAGGTAATGATGGTTGCTACCTTCTGCTGAGCCTATGCTACATGACCAATGTATTACACTGTCTATCGTTTTATTTCTCACAGCAGCCCTGAGAAGTAGAGATATTGGCACAATTTTCTAGATGAAGAACTGAAAGCTCACAATGGTGCAGTAACTAACTAGTCACATAGCTAGTAAGCAGCAGAGCAGGGATTCAAATCTAGTGTATTAGACTCCAAAACCTGTGTTTTTAACAACCATATTGTATGTTACTTCCTCCAAGATGGGTCAATGAGGCAGGGGACGTTGATTGGCTATATGGAGAATTAATAATAATCTTTTCTGTTGGTACAGCCCTAGAGAGTTTACAAAGCACAATTGTATATGCAGTCTCACTACATCCATTTTACAGATATGGAAACTGAGGCTCAGAGGTAGGAAGTGATTTACTCAAAGTCATTTGGGCAAACAGGATAAACCACCCAGAGATAACTCTCCTTAAATTAAGCAGGCAGTCTGTAGTCTGCGAATACTCATAATGTGTGGGGGGAGGAAGGAGCTGGCCTCACCACACTGAACCTTGAGGGCAGTGATGGTATCAGTCTGTCCAAGGAAGGTCTCAGACAGGTGAGGGGACCAACAGGTATTGCAGCCACAGACCCAACTGCAGAACACAAATCCCACTACACCAAAGGGCTCTGAATTCACAAAAAGATTCCCAGTTCCAGTCGGGCACCATTTATTTTTCAGCAACACTTGATATGGGCAAATTCCAGTTCAACTAGAGAGATTCAGCTTCCTGGTGTTCCCAGGGGGATCTAGCTCTGAAAAGAGCCCCTTTCTTCTGTCAGGACATCCTCAGCAAAAAAGGCTGCAGGTCTGAGCTGAGCAGCCTGGAGAGTGGGGATTCCAACTCCCCCCGAGAGTGTCTACCTGCCTGGCTTCCTCCCTGAGGAAAGTCACTGTCCCAGCCCAAGCCCTAGGGGCCCTCACTGTTGGACCTGCCCTGATGCTTTGCCAAACTCAGAGGCACCTCTCCTAGACGGACAAGGCAAAGCTGACTTTCACTGTTCCCTGGGTGATCTGCACCTGGAGGAGTGATCAGGCAGGGATCCAGGTGATGGGACAGAAGGGGCCAGGGCAGCCACTGTTGTTCACTGCTGGAAGTGTGCCAGGGGACTGGAAGGTGAACAGCAATCCCACCTGTCTCCTAGAGACTCTGTCCTCCGTGTGTAGGGGAAAGTAGGGGATGGGCACACAGGGAGGAATCCAGCCCTGGGGCTTCCTTGAAGCCAAGTGAGCAGCCTTCTGTATTTGTTTTCCCACAAACAGTCTTTGAAACTGGGGCAAGTGTTGAAGGCAGAACAGAGTAAAAGAAGCAGCTTCATGAGGCCAAACCCAGTCTCTCCAGGTCTAGGTAGTCCAGCACAGGTTCTGGGAGTAAATGCCAGCTTTACCACTTGATTTCTTTGGTACGACCTTAACTTTTTGCCATCCTTTCACTAGTATTTGAGAACCCTCTGCATATTAGGGCATCAATGCTAAGCAAAAAATGGGTTCAGTCACCTTCCTGGAGGTTCCAATCAGTGGAGGAGACAAATATTAATCCAACAACCAGTACCCCCCTACCCCTACCCCCACAGAAAGTGTCAAATGCCCAAGAGATAGATAGTATATAATTAGAGAGACTTCACTCTCTCTGGAAGGTCAGAGAAGGCTTTCCTAAAGAAATGATAATGGAGCTGAGGTCTGGAAGAAGCATAGGAGTTTCCTGAAGAGGGTAGGAGGGGGCACTGCACACAGAGGGAACAGGACAGTCAAAGGCAGGCCATTTGGCAACAGGTGACTGGAAGGAACTGGAAGAAGGCCCATGAGGCTGAAGTACAGAGTGAATATGCAGGGTCTAGGCAGACCATGCAAGAATGTGGGTTTCTCCTAAGAGCAATAGGAAGCCTTTTGAGGTGCTCTTAGCAGGGAAGTGAGATGATCACACTTATCGTTTGAGAAGATTACTCTGGCAGCACAGTGAACAACGTATTGGAATGGAACCAAGGAGCATTCAGGAGGCCAGACAGAAGGTATCAGGTATTTGCCTGTAAAATGGGGGTGATGAGAATACTATCTTACAAGCTGTTGCCAGGATCCAATGAGATACTGCATTTTAAGTGTCTAGTCTAGTACCTGGCACATAGTAAAGGCTCAGTAAGCGTCGATATTGTTACTTTTATCATTGGTTCTTTGCAGAGTGCACATATTTCTTATCCAGGTCTGCTCCTGCGTGATGGGGTGGAGGGAGTAGTTGTGGTTTCCAGAGTGAAAACGTGATTTGTGTCAAATCACAATGTCGAGACCAGAATCCAGGATGCCTGAAGGCCCGATTAGAATGGCTTAAAAGTATGGATTATTCAGGAAGAAAAACGGGTTCCAATCGCTCCTACTAAGGACGCTGGAGGGATGGTGAACGATCCTTTAGATGGTAAGCCCTAGCACTTATTGAGAAAAACAGGTGCTTCTTTGGTCGGAGAGCAGGTGTAGGGCTCGCAGCCGCGTGCGCTCCCGCGGAGGCGGGGGACCCTCGCCACTCCCCCGCCCCACGCCCACCCGCGGGCTTCCGACTGCACCTGCTCCCCCGGCTCGGAAACGCGGGCCGGGTGCCGGGCTGCAGGCAGAGGGTGCCCGGGGGAGGAGGTCCCGAAAGCCTCCTCCACACGCCTGCACCGGCTGCCCCCTCCCCAGTCACGTGGCCCGGTGGGTGGGGACCGACCTGAAGTTGGAGAAATCCGGAGCGCTCCCAACCTCGGAGGGAGTCGCCAGTCCTCCGGGCCCGGGCGGTGGACCCTGGAGCCCCGGCTGGCGGCGTGGAGGTGCGTTTCTGAGAAGCCGAGCAGCGGCGCGGGCGGCGGGACTCGAGGCATGGCCCGGCTGTCGGTGATCCCCGGGTCGGCCACGGCGTGGACAGGTGAGCAGGTACCCGCGGCCAGCGGCAGAGATGGCCGGGGCTGCCAGGGCATCGGGCCCCAGAGCCCACGCCAGTCCAGGGGATGCGGGGCCCCCACGCAGGAGGGGGCGGTTGGGTGAAAAGGCCGCGGTGGATTCTCGGACTGCCGGGTCAGTCCCCACCAGCGCCGCCGCCTCCTCGCCGGCTTTGCCACCGGGTGAGCAGGGGACGCGGGACGCGGGACGCGGGACGCGAGGGAGCCGCGCGGGGCGTGGACTCTGTGCCGGCCCCGCCCCCCGCGCGCGCACTGGCTGCTCCCCGCGACGTCACGCTCGGCTATAAAAGGCGCGGCTCGGGGCCCTTGCGGCGCTGGAGGAGCTCGAGGCTGAGGCTGCCGGGGGGCTGTGGGCTACCGGGCCGCCGGCGCCTCAGCGATGTTTTACTCAGGGCTCCTCACTGAGGGCGGCCGCAAGGAGACCGACATGCGGGAGGCGGCGTCACTGCGACAGCAGCGCCGGATGAAGCAGGCGGTGCAGTTCATCCACAAGGACTCCGCCGACCTGCTGCCCCTGGACGGCCTCAAGAAGCTGGGCTCGTCCAAGGACATGGTGAGCCCCCGCCGCCGTTCTCGCCCCGGCCCCGGCGGCTTCGCGCCCGCCGTTTTCCGAGGCCCGGCCGTTGCGGCTTTCACTGAGTCACGGCCCGGCCCGCCGCTGCCCTTGGCTCGCGGTCGCTGCGTCGCGGATTCCTCCCCTTCCAGTACCCCTGCTGCGGTTTCGGTGGGGATTCCGTCGTAGCTTTTCTAGCTTGCGCTCCCCTCGGCTGTGCCTCCTCCCTGGATGTCTCTTCTCCAGTAGAAAGAAGAGGTCCTGCCCTGCCCTCTTGCCCTCGGGTCTTCTTTCTTTTTCCTTATTCTTAATACCGAATTTTGTTCACGGGGCTTGTGCCTCCTATGCTGTGTGGCTGTTCCTATGACCCAGACAGAGGTGATTCCTAATGGCTTTCCGTGAGGGGGAAAGAAGTGGAAAGAGGGTTTTTTGACAGTTGCCAGATCCAGAGGACTTCTGTTGAATCCATTGTCCCCCTATGCAAAACCCACTTCTCTAGTTTTGGTCCTAACTTTGACCTTCCATCCTGAGTGGGGAGAGAGAAAAGGGGCCAAATGTGAAGGTTTCCTGAACCCCCAACATCTCTTCATCATTCTCCTCTTCCAGCCCCGCCCCCAAGGAGTGGGTAGAGGGAGGAAGCCAGGCTGCTGCATCTCACCGACCAGCTAATGTGTGCATCTGGAGCTGGGGTGGGTGCAGTCTTTTTTTCTAGCACAGTTGTTCCTGGCATTAAGTAGAAGCACCTCAGGACAGGGGGCCTGGGGTCAAAGATGGTACTGTCCTCTTTCTATAGAATGGGATGGATGGCTAAGGGTTACCAATATAAAGAACTGTATTTGTCATCCCTCAGCCACTGTAGTGGTCCTGGGCCAAGTTTATGTTTAACTTTGTAGTTTTATCTGGAGTTTTCTTGTAGTTTGATTGTTTTCTTGAATTTCACAATCGCTTTATTCATTTGGGTGGTAATATGTGAAACACTAATTAAATGTCTTTTAACAAATGAAATAGGTGCTCTGCATAATTTTTCTAGTATTTTTTATTTTAAGCTTTTGAAATATTTAATTTTGGATGTGGTTGTCGGCCCTAGTTCACTGAAATTGCCATTTCTGGCCCCAGGAGGGCAGAGCTTCTGCATCCATTTCCTTTTTTTTTTTTTTTTTTTTTTAATTTAACAGCTCTAATGATACACAGGTACATTATATTATACACAGTATAATATAATATACAAAAATTTTTCTCCTCCCTGCCATTAGTTACTTCTGTGCAGAGTTTGTCTACTTCAGTTATCTTGCTCTGTTTTTTTTACAAGTTGTGTTTTTTTGTTTTGTTTTGCTTTTTGCACAACCCACAGGATAGTTTATCTGATTTATGCTAACCCAGAGTGATAAGTGATTGAAATGTGCTCCTGCAAAAGAGATAACTCTCTTTTCCCTTCTTTCACTTTAAAGCAATCTCGATTCATTTAACAAATCAGGTTCGAGAAGTATTCTTTCCTTCAGGCCAAATAATCCTATCCTAGTTCCTAGAATGCTCAGCAATCAATAAAGAAGGAAGTATTATATTAAGAGAAGAATTAAAATACAGAGTTTTTAAATGCTGGATTTGGTTGTCCCTCGTTGTCGAGGAGTTTCCTAGCCCTGAGAGCTACCTGAACTTCCTTCTGCCTAGGATTTCTTATACTACTTCATGCTGTGTAAGAATTCCATCCGCTTTTCTGACTCTAGTCTGTCTCAGTTGAGTCACAAAGGGCTGATAGCATACAGCACAGGCAGCAGGCTGCAAAGAGGAAGGAGCCTCAAGAAGCAGGATATTGCCTTGAGTATGACACATACACATGACAGTTGACTGTAAGGCTCTGAATCATGGTTCACGCTTTCTGTGCCCCACCGTCATGGAGTTGATTTCCCTCTCTCACTGTTTTCACACCTATAATGTACAAGTGATTGCACAGAACAGCCAGGTTACAGAAACCAAGGCAGACCGAGGTAGGGCTAGGAGAGCCGCAAGCGCTGGGGTGAGGCAGCATGCTTAAACTCTCTTGGAACTGTTGTTGCAGCCTTAGTACAATCTTAGAAGTGACCTTAGAAGTACATTATTATTCTTTTACTTTATAAATACATGTGGGATAGACCAGTGTTGACTCAATTTTCTCTCACTGCAAGGGAAATTTGGAGGATGTTAAAATTAATTGAATAGTTCTTACTTGGAGTAGTTTATAGTATAATCTCGATAGAAGGAGTCCAAGAAAAGGGAGAGGATAGCATCAGAGGGAGATAAGGAAGAGAGAGGAGAAATTAGTTGTTATTGACTTTTGGGTTTGTGAAGATTGTAGGTTGTTTTTCCTCATACCAGCAACCTATATTTGAATATACCGCTGGGATTTCTGAATTATCTACCTCTTACTATGCTGTTTCTGTAATGTTCACTGCTTGATACCAGCCTGCCAGCTCTTTTAGGACTGGCAGAAGGCAACCATAGGAAATCAAAGGGGGTCATGTTCTCTTGGCCCCAGGAAAGTGCCTTTGCCTATTCCTGTGTATCTGGAGTTGGCTGATACAAAGTCTTCTGTGGAAATTATATTTTTGTCTGCCCCTTTTGCTTTTATCCTTTTATCTTGTATTGTTCATTCTGTATTAGATTAAGAACTAAAACCAGAGATATGAGTGAGTAATATTATATTTGATTTTTTTTTTAAGAGACGGGTTCTCACTCTATTGCCCAGGCTGGAATGCAGCTGCAGTCACATCTTACTGCAGCCTCGACCTCGCAGGCTCAAGAGATCCTCCCACCTCAACCTCCTGAGTAGCTAGGATTACAGGTGCACACCACAACACCAATCTAACTTTTGTATTTTTTGTAGAGATGGGATTTTGCCATATTGCCCAGGCTGGTCTTGAACTCCTGGTCTCAAGCGATCTGCCCACTTTAGCCTCCCAAAGTGCTGGGATTACAAACATGAGCTACCACACCCAGCCCTGATTTTTTTTTTTAACTCAGTGAAGCTGGAGAAAAACATCTCCGTTCTTGGAAATTTGCCTATTGTAATTTATCTTGTTTTAGCTACCAGGTTCATAAAAGTTTTTCTCATTGTGCTAAGGACTTTTTAATTTTTAAAAACAGTCATGTTATGTGGTAATATGCTGTCTTTCCTAAATGATATTATACTTACCTGTAGGCATTAGGCCATATTCTTACTTGTCTGGCAATAGAGTTTTTCTTTCCTACATATGATTGCTTCTGATCATAGCTAAATGCTTTTTCAAAACTGACTAGAATTAGGAATGATGCTGGGGGAAAGATGGTTGAACACAGTAAAGCAAACTTACCATAAAATACCTGAACAGAATCTCTGTCTATTAGAGCAGGTCTGTGTGGTGTGCCCTATAGATTAGCTATCCATATCACCACAAATCATGGGCTGGAGAATTTCAGAGGCTTAGAAGAGAAGCGTGAAATACCAGTATAACACCAAGATCTGGCACAAACTGAAGATTTGCAGAGTCGTGATTGCATCCTCGTAATAGCAAACATTATTTGAATACTTGCTGTGTTCAGGACACAGTCTAGGGGCTAAGACACAAATAGGAAGACAGAAAAGTTTCTCATTATAAACAGGTTTATAGGTTGGGGGCAGGGAAGGACAGATCAGTTAATTTAATATACAAATATTTATTGAGTACCTACTACACATGTCATGCAATAATTTAAGCTTTGGAGATATAATAGTGAACCAAAACTGAGTTCCTGCCTTGACGGAACTTTCATTCTTGTGGGAGGAAGGAGGCAGAAAGTAAAATTAAGTAAATGTATATAAGGTAATAATAATAAATATTTTCTATGGAGAAAATAAATCAGGGTAAGGGGAATAGGGAAGGCAGTGACTGGGGTGGGGTGGAGTCTGGCTATTTTGTACAGGGTTGTCCGGCAAGGCCTATCTGATAAGATTACATTTGAGGAGATACTGAAGGGAATTAAGGAGCAAAGTTTCTCAGGGAAGAGTGTTCTAGGCAGAAGGAACAGCAAGTGCAAAGGACTGAGGTGTCACTGTGCTTGATATAACTGAAGAACTGTAAGAGGACCAGTGTAGCTAGATCAAAATGAGCAAGGGGGAGGGTGATAGAAGATAACATCAGAGATGTAGTAGGAGGCCATTGTGCAGGCATTTGGGTGGTTTTTTAAAATTATTATTTTTTTTATTTTCCACTCTTTTCAGCGCATACCTATGCATTTGGGTTTTAACCTGAGATTGGAAACGAGTGGAATATTTTGAGCAGAGGGGTGATATGATACATACGACTTATTTTACAAAAAGACTACTCAGGCTACTATGTGGGTTACACTGTAAAGGGGCAAGAGTAGATGAAGCAGGAAGACTGATTAGGAAGCTATTATACAGTAATTGAAGTGAGAGTTGATGGTACCTCAGAGCAGTGTGATAAGCTGTGAAGGAGAGGAGGAAGGATCAGGTTCTGGATATATGTTGAAGGCAGAGCTGACAAATGTAATTGATGCATTGGATTAAGAGTGAAAGAGTAATCAAGGAAGACCATGAGGTTTTTAACTTAGCCATTGGAAGAACAGAATTATCACTTGCTGAAGTGGATAAGACTTGCAGCGGGGAGCAGGTTGAGGATGGCAAATAAGAATGAAGAGTTTGCGGGCTGGGCGCGCTGGCTCATGCCTGTAATCCCAGCAGTTTGGGAGGCCGAGGCGGGCAGGTCACGAGGTTAGGAGATCAAGACCATCCTGGCAAACACGGTGAAACCCCATCTCTACTAAAAAATACAAAAAATTAGCCAGGCCTGGTGGCGGGCACCTGTAGTCCCAGCTACTCGGGAAACTCGGGAGGCTGAGGCAGGAGAATGGTGTGAACCCAGGAGGCGGAGCTTGCAGTGAGCCGAGATCGTGCCAATGCACTCCAGCCTGGACGACAGAGCGAGACTCTGTCTCAAAAAAAAAAAAAAAAAAAAAAAAAAATGAAGAGTTTGATTTTTGAACAAGTTTAGGGTCCCAATTAGTTACTTAAATGTAGATGCTGAATAGACAATTCTAGAAGAAGATAAGTAACACCACCAGAAAGCCTGTGCTAGTTGCCAAGATGTAATAGTCAGATGTGCCAGAGGAGTCCAGCGGAAGAAGTGATTTCTCTAACCTGATGTGATGATAAGGATGGAGACTGGCATCTATTTACACCTTTACCATTCCCTTTGAGCCAGCTGACTGTGAGATGGTATGGAGAGAAGGCTGCCTCTAGAGTGTGCTTTGTAGAACCTCAGAGTAGGAAGAATTTTACAGGTTATCTGGTCTAATTCCTTGCCCATTTGTGAATCCTTTCTAACAAAATGCAGCCTCCGTGAGCAGCTGAGAAACCATTATCTCAGACTAATCCACAAAACAGATAATAATGAGGAATAGGTTGTTTGTTGGGTCATGAGCAAAGGCAAAGAAATAGAACACAGAAGGCCTGGGGCAGTGTAACAGCCTGCCTTATGTTTTTGAGCAACTGCAAACTGAAGAACAATCTGTGTTTCCATGGGGTAGAATGGGTCACGTGTTATATACTCAGCTAGTAAGCAAAGAGAAGGCACAAATATTGGTGACCTTTTGGATTTCCAAGGTCAGAGATAGAGACATGTATACTGGGCTTGACTCAGGAGTCCATGTTTATCTATAGACTGTATATGAGGACTAAAATGGAGTAGAATGATTTCAGGCCCTTTTGGGGTAAAAGAAAAAGTGAATGGTATCCATGACCCTTGTTCTAACTAAGCTCTAGTTGTGGCTCTGTTGCTAGCTAGTGACCTTGGATTTCTCTCTTGGGAATAAATGCTACAAAGAAAGCAGACCCCTACCATTTCCTCTGTTTTCTAGTTTGGTTCATTCTGTGGACCACAGAAATCCATTAGTTTCTGTCTGGGTAGCTTGGGTAAAGGGATTGAGAGAGTGGCTTTAAAGTTCTTGCTCAAATTATGATTCTATGGTATCCTGCACTATAGTCTGATTCCTCTCACCTCTCTTTTCTTCAAACTCTATAGTTTGGTTAGAAGAGATGTTTAAGCAGTGTGGGTGCCAGATTGAGGAACTGTAGCTATTTTCACCCAGAATACAGCACTTCCCATAGTGTTCATTTCCTTTAGAAGCTCTTGATGGCGATGGAGGCAGAATATTTGAACTTGCCTGGTTAGAGTTTAGATGCCTCTAGCAGCCACATTTCAGGAAGAGTAGAGAAGCAGGGACTGCTTAGGTTAGTAGCTGCCTTGTTGAAGTTTAGCATAAAGCAGAATCCACGTCAGAAAGACGACTTAAAAATTATGTCTAAATGGCCACCAGGGTATCTGCAGCATCCATCTAGCAAATTAGTACTGTGTATCCTTTTTTCTTTCTTTTTTTTTTTTTTTTTTTTTTTGAGACGGAGTCTCGCTCTCTCACCAGGCTGGAGTGCAGTGGTGCGATCCGCCTCCCGGGTTCAAGCGATTCTCCTGCCTCAGCCTCCCCAGTAGCTGGGATTACAGACACCCACCACCACACCTGGCTAATTTTTGTATTTTTAGTAGAGACAGGGTTTCACCACATTGGCCAGGATGGTCTTGATCTCCTGACTTCGTGCTCCACCTGCCTCGGCCTCCCAAAGTGTTGGGATTACAGGCATGAGCCACTGTGCCTGGCCTCCTTTTTTCTTTTTTTGAGACAGAGTCTCACTCTGTCACCCAGGCTAAAGTGCAGTGTCGTGATCATAGCTCACTGCAGCCTTGAACTCCTGGCTTCAAGTGATCCTCCCACCTCAGCTCCCAAATAGCTGGGACTACAGGCGTGTGCCATCATGCCCAGCTAATTTTTAAATTTTTAAAATTTTTAATTAAAAAAAATTGTTTTTGTAGAGACACAATTTCACTGTGTTGCTAGGTTGGTCTCAAAGTCCTGGCCTCAAGCAGTCCTGCCTCAGCCTCCCAAAGTGCTGGGATTATAGGCAAGAGCCAGTGCACCTGGTCAGTACTGTGTATCTTGAAAGACAGGACGGCCCTTGGAAAGCCAATATGTCAATAAACAAATGAGAACCACTTAACCATATTTATAAAACAGTCATAGACTGGGGATACAAATAGTAGAAATTCTTTAATATACAAGTATTGAAGGGATTCTGAAAGAAAGAATTCAATGATATTAATCAAGAAAGGCTTTTTGGCTGGGTGTGATGGCCCACACCTGTAATCCCAGCACTTTGGGAGGCCAAGGCAAGTGGATCACCTGAGGTCAGGAGTTTGAGACCAGCCCGGCCAACATGGTGAAACCTCATCTCCACTAAAAAGGCAAAAATTAGCTGGGTGTGCTGCTACGCACCTGTAGTCCAGCTACTGGAGAGGCTGAGGTGAGAGAATTGCTTGAACCCAGGAGGTGGAGATTTCAGCAAGCCAAGATTGCGCCACTGCACTCCAGCCTGGGAGACAGAGTGAGACTCCATCTCAAAAAAAAAAAAAAAAAAAAAAAAGGAAAAAAAGGCTTTTTGAAGAAAGAAGGGGTAGAGATTTCTTTCAGTACTATGTCAAGAGCTGAGGATATAGCTGAAATCAAGACAGTCATGGTCCCTGCCCTTGTGCAGTTAACATGCTGGTAGGGCAGGGGTGAAATATAAACAAGTAAATACACAAAATAATTTCATATTGATAATTACTATGAAAGAAATAGTGAGATTTGTTAGTAACTAAAAAGGTGACCTACCTACTTTAAGTTGTATGGTCAAGGAAGGTATCTCTGAGGAAATGACATTTGAACAGAGACCTGGAAGATAAGAGGGACCTAACTATTAGAAATGTTAGGGGAAGAACATTTCAGGCAGAGGGGACAGCCAGTGCAAAGGGATTGGAATGGGAAAGAAATTTTGAGCAAGGAAGTGAGTGTGGATGGTGTTGAATCTGAATGAATAAAGGGAGAGTGGTTTGTATATGGAAGGAGAGGCAAGGGCCAGTTGGTACAGAGCTGTATAGAGAAGGGTAAAAAGTTTGGATTTTTTCTGAAGAACAATGGGAAGCCATTGAAGGGTTTTGAGTAAAGTACTGTATTACCTGACTTATGTTTTAAAAAGCTTACTCTGGTTTCCATGCAAAGAATGGACTGGAGAAGGGTAAAAGAAGAGGCAGAATGCAAGTTAGGAGGCTGTGACAGTACAGATAAGAAATTATAGTGGTTTGGATTAGATTGGAGGTAGTAAAGATGGGGAGAAGCAGATCAATTCCAGGTGTGTTTCAGAGTACAATATCACTTTTGATGGGAGGTCAGGAAATGAAAAAATCAAGAATGGATGTATGGTGGTGCCACTTACCAAGGTTGTTGGAAAGGAATTAACCCAATATGTTAAAACTGAACAAGTCTTTGGAGTTCAAACCTCCTTTATGACTGATCAAGAGAGTAAGGTTTGGAGAAAAGTAATGCTCATAGAGGTTAGTGATTTGCCCAAGCTAATATGTGACAAGTGGTAATTTGCTGAAAGCAGAAAGCCTTCATGGAGTAGTAATTAAAAAGATGAGATTGGGAAGGAGGATGAATGGTAGTGGAAGGTCTTGAATGGTAAATTGAGGATTTTTCTTTGTTACAACTAGCAAGAGAACCACTGTGGGGGAAGAGGACCATGAAAGTAATGTTAGGAGATTGGGCTTAGCAGTAACGTAAATGAAGAAGAAAATAAGAGGAGGCAGAATTTCACCCACCGAGATAGGGAATAAGGGAGAATGCGCAAGTTTGATAGAAAATATCAGTGGGATAATTTACATTTGAAGTGCCTGTGGAATATCTAAGTAGAGAAGTTGAAAAAGGCAGTTGGATCTATGGGTCTAGAATTGAGGTGACATCTGGACATGAGATAGAGTCATCATCATAAAGGTAGTAATTTATGCAATGAAAACAGATAAAATTGCCCTGGGAGTATATGTAGAGTGACAAAGGACCAAAGATAGAGCGATGAGGAACACTAACATTTAAGAAATGAACATAGGCAAAGGAACCAGTGAGAGAGACAGGAACAGAATAAACAGGTGGTTTTAGAGGCCAGTGGAGGAGCGTTTCAGGATAAATGAAATGTTGAGTTTATTGCAGCATTGTTTCTAATGGCAAACATATGAAAATAATCTAAATGCCCATTAGTAAATAGTTAAGGTATGCTTATACCACAAACTTGTCTGTCAAGGATGTGCTGTTTTAAAATGCAGAAAGTAGGGCAGACATAAGAAAATAGATGCTAAGCTGGTTATAAGATAACCTGGCATTATACCTGCCTAAGTTACATTGTGTGTGTGCACATGCTTTAGTTTTTGCATCTGGCAGACACTGTTAGTTGGCTAAATTATCACCCATCCTTAGCCCTTTTCTTTATGCTGAACTCCTCTATAGAGATTATAAAAGCTAAATTCTCTCCCAATGTCTGTTAGAGCTAGGAGTGGCCATATGAGTTCTGACCAAGAAGATATGGGCAAAAAACTGCTGAAGGAACTTCTGGGAAAGCTTTTCCTTTTCTGATAAAAGCAATTGATGGTGTTAGTGTAGTCCCTCCTCCTTCCTCATTTCTTGAATGTGGATATAATGCCTGGAGCTGGGGTATTCATCTGTGACCATGAAGGAATGTCCAAGAGAATTAACAGAGTCAATAGCCCTGAAGTTGTTAAGCTGCTGAGTTAGTATCAGCAGCTTCTATGTCTAGACTTCTTGTTATGTGAGAAAAATAAATCTCCATTTAAACTACGGTAAGTTGGCTTTTCTTGTGGCTGAACTCTTTTCTGCTACATGGGGTATATTTTTATTTAAAATTTTTAAAAATGTAAATAATTTAAAACTTTTAAAAATTTAAAGCTGTTGCTTGTGTTAGGGATCTCCATATCTCCAAGTAAATGGTGATACTGCTATTTCTTAATTAACTGTTTTCATCACTATCTATCTAGTCTTACTTTTTTTTTTTTTTTTTTTTTGAGGCAGGGTCTCGCTTTGTTGCCCAGGCTGGAGTGCAGTGGTGTGATCTTGGCTCACTACCACCTCCACCTTCTAGGCTCAAATTAGTCTCCTACCTCAGCCTCCCAGGTAGCTGGGGCTACAGGCGTGCACTACCATGCCTGGCTAATTTTTGTATTTTTTGTAGAGGCAGAATTTCACCATGTTGCCCAGTCTGGTCTTGAACTCCTGGGCTCAAGCAATCCGCCCGCCTTGGCCTCCCAAAGTGCTGGGATTACAGGTGTAAGCCACCGCACCCAGCCCTGATTTTCTATTATAATGGATAAAAACTTAATTCTCTTACACCTTCCCATCATATTCACTCTTCTATTATACTAACATTCTGTTAAATAACTATTTTGGGTCAAATAAGCATTTATTGCTTACATTATTATGACTATGTTCTTGTTATTTACAGCTGAGTCAAATGTACTATTTCTTTTCTCATAAAAACATTTTTCTCAAAATTAATAATTTCCTTGGTGTTTAAAAAAAGTTTCCATGTAAAATTTAATTCTCCTTCAAGTAACTTAAAACTATAGATGGTCTAGCAAGTCCATTGTTTTCTTGGAGGATCCTTCCTAGAGCCCCCTATCTTTTCATTTCATTTTGGACTGGCTGCTTTTAAGGCCTGTAGGCAACCTGTATCCTGGACTTTTCCTTCAACACCATTCTTAGAACTGCCTTTGCCTCTCTATTGGATTCTTTCATTCTTAGATCTCATGTTTTTCTCCTTGTTGTTTGTTTCCCTTGCTTTGGTGAAGCATGCATATCTTTCAGTAGCTTCTTGAGAAGACACAGGAAATAACTTTCTTGAGTCTTGATTGATAGTTTGACTAGGTTTACAAATTATGTACTATCAAATTTTTTTTTTTTTTGAGACGGAGTCTCGCTGTGTCACCCAGGCTGGAGTGCAGTGGCACAATCTCAGCTCAATGCCACCTCCACGGTGAGTTCCAGTGATTCTCCTGCCTCAGCCTCCTGAGTAGCTGGGATAACAGGCACCCACCACCACGCCCGGCTAATTTTTGTATTTTTAGTAGAGATGGGATTTCACCATGTTGGCTTGGCCAGGCTGGTCTCGAACTCCTGATCTCGTGATCCGCCCACCTCAGCCTCCCAAAGTGCTGGGATTACAGACGTGAGCCACTGCGCCCGGCCCCAGATTTTTGAAGGCATTATTCTATTGTCTTTTAGCTTTGACTGTTACTGTTGAATAGTCCTCTACTATTCTGATTCCTAATCCTTTGTATTTTGATCATCTTTTTCTCTTTGGAATCTTGTGGAATCTTTGTCATCAATGCTATTCCAAAATTTCACAGTGATGTGAAATCTTGATGTGGATCTTTTTTCCTTCATTATGGTAGGCTCCATGTGGGCCCTTTCAATCTTTAAACTCATGTCCTTCAGTTCTGGCTTAGTATGATAACCCACACTACCCTTCAGCTGTTCTCGAAATCTGAAAGCCTAGCCAAGCTATCAACTAATCAGTCTTTTTATTTACTCTTACAAGAAGAGTAAACTTTTGGCATTCTCCTCAGTTCTCCAGATCAAGTGAGTCTCATGAAGACTTTAGTCTATTTCCAACCCTAATTGCATCCTTCAACTGTAGAGGTTCTGATACCTGTAACTCCTCAGCCTTTTAATTTTAGTTTGAGTAGTACAACTGCTTTTACAGCTAGATGCAAATATATAACAGCTCAAACAAAATAGTTTATTTTTTCTTAAGTAACAGTATTAGTGGAAAAGTCAACAAGACAGCCTCTTCCATATAGTCCTTTAGAGACTCAAACTAACAGTAGCTCTTCTGTCTTCAACATGTGGCCTCTGAGAAGGTAACCATAGTGGTCATCTCCACTCCAGCCAGTCAGAAGAGGAAAAGAATATAGAGAAGTATGCACAGGAGATTTTTATGGGCCAGGCATAGAAATGGTGCATGTCACTTCCACTCACATTCTATTCTGTAGAACTCAGTCATATGGCTATGCCTAACTACAAAGAGGGCTAGGAAACAGTCTAGGTATCTTCTCATGAGGAAGAGGAGAATTTTAAAGAGGATTTTAAAGAGCAACTGGCAGCCTCTGCTGCTTCAGCTCTCTGTGAAGTGAAATGGTATAAAGCACTTAGCTTTCTCTAGTCCAGGTCATTAATTGCTGCTTTTCTGCCTGCTATTCAGATTCCAGAATTTTGTCAACATCTTTTTTTTCTTCTTTATTGTTCTTTTTGTTTTGTGGGTTTAGGACTTATTCTTTTACTGTCATTTTAGTGAAATTTTGGCTGAAAGCAGAGGTAAATATGCAGCTATATTGTTACTTAAGATATAGTATATGTAGGTATAATAAAATGACCAGAGAAAAACATCTCTGAGGTTCATATGGGTTTGTTGGCTGTAAATTTTCTATTCCTGAACTATATTATGAGTACTTTTTAATTATCAAAGAGAATGAAAAGAATTATGTATATTGACATAGAAAATGCCTTTTTGTTTTGAGACGGAGTCTTGCTCTGTTGCCTGGGCTGGAGTGCAGTGGCGCGATCTCGGCTCAATGCAAGCTCTGCCTCCCGGGTTCATGCCATTCTCCTGCCTCAGCCTCCCAAGTAGCTGGGACTACAGGCGCCCACCACCACACCTGGCTAATTTTTTGTATTTTTAGTAGAGACGGGGTTTCACTGTGTTAGCCAGAATGGTCTCCATCTCCTGACCTCGTGATCCACCCGCCTTGGCCTCCCAAAGTGCTGGGATTACAGGTGTGAGCCACCGCACCTGGACAGAAAATGCTTTTATATATTAAATGAAAATAGAAAATTTCAGAACAGTTTTATAGTATGATTAGTCTTTTATATGTTTATAAATGTATTAATATTTTTTGAAAGATATATTTCTAAATTTAATGGTCATTATTTGTTGGGAGTGGGACTGAGAAGGGCTTGAGAGATTGGGGAGGTTTTTGCTTTTAATTTTATTTATTTATGTATTTGTTCATTTATTTATTGTTTTGAGATAAAGTCTTGCTCTGTTGCCCAGGCTGGAGTGCAGTGGTGCGATCTAGGCTCACTGCAACCTCGGCCTCCTGGGTTCAAGCAATTCTCCTGTCTCACCCTCTCTAGTAGCTGGGATTAAAGGTGCATGCCACCATGCCTGGCCAATTTTTGTATTTTTTCTTTTAGTAGAGACAGGGTTTTGCCATGTTGGACAGGCTGGTCTCGAACTCCTGAGCTCAAGAGATCCGCCTGCCTCGGCCTTCCAAAGTGTTGGGATTACAGGTGTGAGCCACCGTGCCTGGCCTTTGCTTTTTATTTTATATATTTCAGTGATACTTAAGTATTTTACATTGAGCATGTGTTTGAACCTTTTTTGGTTACTAAAGAACAAGTAAAGGAATAGTCAGCAGGGCCAAATGCACTAGAAAAGTCTGGTAAAATTAAGGCTGAAAATGTCTATTGTATTTGGAAATCAGAGGTAATTATTGGTATGGGATAAGAAGTGATCTCAGTGAAGAAAATATGGGATATCAGAAAATAGATGTCATGGTTTAGTCTTTTTTTAAAAAGACCATTCCAGATAAGGAGGGTGATTAAAGGAGGCTGTAGAGTAAAGGCAGCAGGATCTGACATTTTGTGGAGGAGTTTGCTCCCCAATATCTAGGAACTTTTAGTATGTTTTATAACTTTTGGAAGAAGAATCCAGTAGAAAGAGGAAAATACAGAAAAGGGATGAATTCAAGCATAATGATTTCAGAACTTCCCTCGTTTGTCTCATCTGTCCACTAATGATTAGGTTCCTTTGCAAGATTAAGAACTAGATAAAGTGTTTAGCAAGACCAATGTAGGAAGACATCCCCAAACTTTAGGTAAGAGGGCTTTGTTTAGGTGGTCTTTGAAACTCCTTCCAATCTTCACTTCTACAAGTCCAGTTTTATCTGAGTTGGTCCTGGTAAGCATGGATGTAACAGAAACAAACACCCTGCTTTAGTATGGCTTGAGCTAGGAATCCATTCTTATTGGTGAGAGAGATTCGAATGAAACATTTTCATTTCTTTTGAGAAGCAAAGCATTATCCCAGTGTTGCATCACAAAATCTGACAGAGTTAGCACTTCCTCTAGCTCCTAGTCAAGCTAAGAAGCTCTCATTTTCTTTACAAGTGCCTCTCCCTCCACTTTTCCCAAAGATACCAGTTTAGAATGTGCTTTGCCAAGAATCAGTGTATTTTGGGAATCCATTTCTTCATCTCACTAGGGTTACAATGAGTCATGGCTGTGACTGCATTCTTCCTTAGGAATCTGAAAGGTGGCAGATACACTGAAGACCTCCAGTGCCAGCCCCTCCCCTTGAAAGGTTCTAGGCTCTGGGCTTCTAAGAGTGACTTCCTTCCCCATAGAATGAAAGTGTCATCTGGTATATGTTAGATAGAAACTTGGGGTGAAACACTCTCCTTTGAGGGATTTTAGGTTAAACACTCTCCTTTGAGGGATTTTAAATGGTATTGTAGCCGGGACATAAGATATTTGTGTATACAAATTTCTCCAGTCAAAGGATTTCTTTTCAAGAGATATCTTAAACTTTCTGGAGGCCACTTTGAATAGAAACAGTGGAGCATGATTATATCTGCCCTAGGAACTCTCCTAAGCTCTATCAAAGTGTAGACTTAAACTCACACTTCTCATTCTGCTTCTTAACATTAGGCATCCTGGCATGCATATAAGGTCTAATTAAGTCCCCTGCTTCTTGGTCAGTGTCTTTCCCCTTCATACCTCCACTTTTTGGGCCATTGAAGGGAAGGGAAATGGATGACAAGATAGGGCAGGAGAAACCAGTGTTTTGAGGACCAGGGGATGCCAGCATCGATGATTCTTGTGTGTTCGCTCAGGTTTCAAAGTGTGTCTGCTGAGAGGCTTGCTCAGCAAGTGTGAATTCCTGTCTTTTCACCCTATCCACCCATGGGTGACTCAGTCCACAGGACAGCCAGCCACTAAGGCTTCTGCAGGCTGCATCTGAAAGATAAGAGAGTGAGACTTGACACAGAAGTAGGCAGAGCTTCTGAATACCTGTGTTAGCTAAGTTTCTTCAGCCTATGAAAATGAGCTGCCCTTTCTATAAGGCAGTGATTTGCTGTCACCTAGGAAGATACAGAGATTACTTACTCTAGACTAAGACCACTTTTCCCTTGAAATGCTCTTGTAAGGGGAAGAAAGGTAGCAGGCCTAGGTTAGTCCAAATCACAAGGGTTCTCAGTTCTCTTAAGCCCTAGAATATTTATCGGCCCTCTCCACATTTCCCAGTGTCATATCTTGCATTTTCATTCATTCAGGGTGGCCTACTGCAAATTGGTTTATGGTACCTGCTCTGACAATACCAGTGAAGTCCTCACTTGAAGGAAGTATAAATAAGAAGCAAAGATAGAGCTCAGTTATGGGAGGCTCCTTCATTATTTTTATGGCACCTGGGGGACAATGGGAAAGAGGGATGTGGCCTGTCACTAAGAAGTCTCTGCTTTCTATCCCTCAAGCAACCTCATAATATTCTGCAGAGGCGCCTCATGGAAACCAACCTGTCTAAGCTCCGAAGCGGTCCCCGTGTCCCTTGGGCCTCTAAGACGAACAAACTCAATCAGGCTAAGTCTGAGGGGCTAAAGAAGTCTGAGGAGGATGACATGATTTTGGTTTCTTGCCAGGTAATGTTCTGAGAACAGCTTTTCCAGGGTTTTCTGGAAAGTAGGATGTGGGGCCCTCTCCTCCTGACTTTATAGAGTGTGGGTCTCATGGAATTCATAAGTGAGTTTTAAAAGGGGCACTCCATGCAACACTGGAAGTGTATGCAACATTTTGTAAGCATGTGCATCTTTATGGGAAGAAGGAACAAAGCTTTCATCAGATTTACAAATGGGTATGTGATTTTTTTAAAAAAGATTAAGAGCTATTTGGTGTATAGCATGAAACACCTAGAGTTTTTGGGGGATCTTCTGTCAGCTCTGGATTCAGCAGGAACAAGAGCCAGTCAAAGGCAGACTTAGCAGTGGGTAAAGATGGGACACTATAACCCATAATTGGGAGGATGCTCTCCAACCCTGCCTTTCATATGACATCTGCTGCTTGCTGTCTGCATCTCCTTTCCCTTTCGCTTCTCTGGCTCTTATTGAACAGTACATTTCCTCCCCACAGTGTGCTGGAAAGGATGTGAAAGCCTTGGTTGACACAGGCTGCCTATATAATCTCATCTCTTTGGCCTGTGTGGACAGATTGGGGTAAGTAGGCACTTGTGCTGAGTGGAACTTAGATGTGACTGTACTCTTCGCTTGACTCTATTTTATGGTTAGAGATGGTGAGGGTCTCTACAGCAGCTCAAAGAGAAGTATGCAGAGTTCAGATCTCAGCTGGAACCAGAATCCTTAGTAGAGGGGAGGAGTAGTGGGTTATCCGGCAAGTGGGAGAAATCAGTGAGCAGGGAAACCTTTGGCTTTCTGTTAACTCCCCCTATTAAGTTTTGAGCAAAGACCTCTAAACTTGAATGAGAGAGCCTGAGACCTCTGGCTCATTGTGTGCCCTGCCCTGATCCACTAGATAGCAAATTAAAAGGAGCTGTCCTGTTGGTATACTCCATCCAGATGAGTAAAAGTAGGGATGTGGTGGGGCTTAGCTTACTCAGAGTCTTTCTGGAGGATGCATTGCAGGTCCCCAAGAAACATCCATCAGAACTGAGAATAGGACTGCAGCTGCTACTGGGCCTGGGCCATCATAAGGGTAATTAGCCAGTAGTTTCTTTTGTTTGTTTTGTGTGGCGGAGCCTCACTGTGTTGCCCAGGCTGGAGTGCAGTGGTGCAATCTCAGCTCACTGCAACCTCCGCCTCCTGGGCTCAAGTGATCCTCCTGCCTCAGCCTCCCGAGTAACTGGGACTACGTGTGCGCCACTATGCCTAGCTAATTTTTTGTATTTTTTGTAGAGAGGGGGTTTTGCCATGTTGCCCAGGATGGTTTTCAACTCCTGGGCTCAAGCAATCTGCCCGCTTCAGCCTCCCAAAGTGCTAGCATTACAGGCGTGAGCCACTGCACCCAGCCCTGAGCTTTTGTGTGGTAAAAATATGAAGTATAGTGCAACATGATGGTTCCAGAAAGACTAACAATGTCCTGGTGCATAATTAGGCAGCAGACTGCCATGATTCCAGAGGAATTAATAACCATCTGTAAAACTGCAATTATTTTTCTTTTGGATGGGCTATAACACCAAAAGAGAGGAAATAGAGGAAAGCAGAAGTATTGGCACAGAAAGTTCATAATTAAGTATTTATCCACCAACCCATAATAGCTCGGGTGCTAGCTATTCCAATCAGCTTATGTAACATGTGAAACCTTGGTACTGTTTCTTTCCTTCCTCCCCTGCACAGACAAGTTAAATTAACAAGGATTTTCTCCATGATATTCCTTGCTGATATGAATATCAGTGCACTTACCAAATAAGTACTTGCCTCCATTAACATTATAGTCTAAGACAGACTGATGAAGACAGAGTGAAATAGAAAGGACAATGAGAAAATTACACATTGAACAAAGCACCTTATAAAATTAGGATTAATCTGACTTCTCTAGTATCTGTTACTCACAGATGGGTAAAAGGATGTGTCAACTCAATTGCCTCACACAATAGTGGGGATAGTAGGATACAGAATAGGATTCTCTGAATATATCAGTTCTCCTCTCTTCACCAATACACATAAGTGATGTAAGGTTTTTGAGAACGGGAGATGAGTCTTTAGTGTTTTTATATCTCCCTGGCATGTTTAGGACAAAGTGCTGGAACAACATATGTAGGATGGCTAGCACTTTTCGGTAGATTAATCCCAGGAGATCCCTGGAGAATTCCAATTGTAGGTCAGAAGGTAGGCATTGCAGGATTCTACCAGGAATCTCTGTCAAGGGGATTTTGGTATCTTCCTCTTTGGTACAGACTCAAGGAGCATGTCAAATCCCACAAGCATGAAGGAGAAAAGCTTTCTCTACCCCGGCATCTCAAAGTAGTGGGCCAGATTGAGCACCTAGTGATCACACTGGGCTCCCTCCGCCTGGACTGCCCAGCAGCTGTGGTTGGTAAGCAGAATTGAGGGCTGGACCTATGGACCCTAACGGAAACCCTCTCCCTACCCCCAACAAAACCTCATGTCATCTCATGCCTGTAAATATTGACTTTTTCAAAATGGTTCCCATTTTTTTGTACTGTAGACCTTGTCCCAATTTTTGCTCTCCAAAGTAATAGATGGGCCCTGAGCTACATTCAAGACATGTTGAGAATCAATCAGTAAAACAAATGTGGTCAGATAAAAAAAAAATTCGGCCGGGTGCGGTGGGTCATGCCTGTAATCCCAGCACTTTGGGAGGCCGAGGCGGGCGGATCACAAGGTCAGGAGATCGAGACCATCCTAGCTAACACGGTGAAACCCCATCTCTACTAAAAATACAAAAAATTAGCCAGGCGTGGTGGTGGGCGCCTGTAGTCCCAGCTACTCGGGAGGCTAAGGCAGGAGAATGGCGTGAACCTGGGAGGCGGAGCTTGCAGTGAGCTGAGATCGTGCCACTGCACTCCAGCCTGGGCGACAGAACAAGACTCCGTCTCAAAAAAAAAAAAAAAAAAAAAAATTCAAGGAGCAAGAGGCCGGGCGCAGTGGCTCACGCCTGTAATCCCAGCACTTTGGGGGGCCAAGGCGGGCAGATCACCTGAGGTTGGGAGTTCGAGACCAGCCTGACCAACATGGAGAAACCCCGTCTGTACTAAAAATACAAAATTAGCCGGGACTGGTGGCGCATACCTTTAATCCCAGCTACTTGGGAGGCTGAGGTAGGAGAATCGCTTGGACCCGAGAGGCAGAGCTTGCAGTGAGCAGAGATCGCGCCATTGCACTCCAGCCTGGGCAACAAGAGCGAAACTCCGTCTCAAAAGAAAGAAAAAAAAAAGGAGCAAGAAAACACATTTTTATGTATAGGTGAAAATGTCCCTTGAGAGCTTTCCATGAACTAGTTAGAGACAGAGAGCAACTTACTTACTCCTTTGCCATAAATCCCTTGATAATTTCCCACCAGTTTCCACACTTCTCTACATTTTACTCTTGACTACTCCAAGTTCTTGGTTTTTGTGTAAAGGCCTTTGTCCTTTAGAGTAAAAAAGACCTGGGTTTGAATCTTGGCTCTATTGCCTTGTAAGTTTAATGATCTAGGAAAATTACTTAATATAACACATGCTCGGCCAGGCGCGGTGGCTCATGCCTGTAATCCCAACACTTTGGGAGGCTGAGGCGGGTGGATCTCCTGAGGTCAGGAGTTCGAGAGAAGCCTGGCCAACATGGCAAAACCCTGTCTCTACTAAAAATACACAAATTAGCCAAGCGTGGTGGTGGGTGCTGGTAATCCCAGCTACTCCAGAGGCTGAGGCAGGAGAATTGCTTGAACCTGAGAGGCAGAGGTTGCAGTGAGCCGAGATTGCGCCACTGCACTCCAGCCTGGGCAACAAGAGCGAAACTCCATCTCAAAAAATAAAAAAAAAATAAAAAAAAAATAACACATGCTCAATATATGTTTATTGGATGTTATTGGATGGATGGATGGAACCTAATAGTGATTAGGCCAACTTCTAAGCAAGCATGGAAATGGCTAAATCTTAATCATTTTTTTGTTTTTATTAGATGACAATGAGAAAAACTTGTCCCTTGGTCTACAGACTCTCCGATCTCTGAAGGTAAGATTGACTCCACTTACCCCTTGATACTTCCTCTCTGAGGCAGGTATCCTCTTACACAGGAACTCATAGTGGTATCACTGACAAGTTACCTGTTTTCAGTGCATCATAAACTTGGATAAGCACCGGCTGATCATGGGGAAGACAGACAAGGAAGAAATCCCTTTTGTGGAGACAGTCTCTTTGAATGAAGACAAGTGAGTGCCCAAATGGGTCAGATCAAGTCACATCCATTTGTCATCAGCTGCGAGCAGGGTGGTGGTGGTTCTCAGACAGGACATGGGGTTGTATCCTGTCTTTGGCTTTCAATTATACTACAAATCCACCCTTCCCCACACCCAGAGTTCATCACCCCACAAAACTCTGTAGTGCACACATCAGAATGAGCAATGGTGATGCCACACAGAGTGGTAGGGAAATGACTAGCTTTGAAAGCAAAATTTTACTTGCCTTCAGCTTAACTTTTTTTGAATTTGGCATTATTTCTCCTGATATTTATTTCTCATTTCAGCACTTCAGAAGCATAACTACAGCCTGCAGCATGTCTGCACGTGTGCATGCATACACACCGGGTTGACAGATAGAGAAAACTGGGTTTGAACCAAATGCCGTAGTGACTTGCTGTGGACCAAGTCCTTCCATCTAATAGAAGCTCCAGGGGCTCCTTCCCATTCAGACCTCTCTAGACTATAGTCTATGCTTAGAGATCTTGTCTGGTTATGGCCATTGTTTTTTACTACTTTGATCACTTAACTTATAGACCTTTTTTGACACTGCCAGTCTCACTTGTGGCCTATTTCTCTGCTTCTTCCAGGAATTTGCTTTTATTAGTCAAGTATAGGGGCTGCCAGGTTCTGTGTCTCCATAGATATATGTGCTTCTTTTCCTATAGCTAAATGTATAATAAACAGGAACCTGACCTTTACCTCCTTTCAGCTGTTTCAAACAGGTGCCAGGATACCTATGTCTTAGAATTAGAGTTTCTTCAAATTGATTCATTGATTTCTCAAGTATGGATTATGTGAAAGAGCCCAGGGACATTATCCATTACAGTTTAACTCTTTCATTTAAAGGTCCAGAGAGGCAAGTGAATTGTCTAAGTTCATATATTAGGTCAGTGACTGAAGGGACCAAGAACGCAGACCTGATTTCCAAGCCAAGACTCCCATGCTGCCTCATTTGTATTCAAGCCTTTAACAGGAGGGCAAAGAGGTGAGAATGTGTTAAAAAAAAAAAAAAAAAGGCAGAGCATGGGAGGAATATTCTCTGGAGATGGATGCTAGGATGATTTGGGTAGCTCTCCCTCCTGTGTGCCAAGCCCAGTAAAAGTTCCTTGCCCCAAACTGTCACATTTAGGCCCTCATCTTGGTGCCTAAAAACGAGCGTACAAAGATGAATGAAATGGTTTCTCACTGTGAACCTCTTGGAGGAAAGGAGGAACCACAGACAGAGGAATATTAATCCCTCTCTGATATGGAATTGAAGGCTTAAGTAAATCAGAGTGTCACTGTCAGACGTTGATTACTCCCAAGATCCGATCAGCATTTCTGCCCATCCTATTATGTGTCTGTCAAGGACTGAAGTAGCTGGAAACCAGGAGTAGAGAAAGATGGGGGGAAAAAAAGAGCAAGGCCAGAATAGAAGGGAGTAGACTGAGTAGAATCAGTTGGTGGAGAGGCCTATCTAGATAAACCTTTCTGGGAGGCAGGGAATGACATTTTCAGGCAGGGAATTGAGATGTTCAGTTCTGTCCTGATACAAGGAAAGAGGCAGAGCAGGAGCCGGCAATGTTAAGGACAACTTTTTATAACTGCCCAGTATTTCCTGACCCCTGTCAAAGGTTGGGGAGAATACAAGGTTTCTTGAAGCTTTTTGACTGGGGTGTCACATTAGGCACACAGGTGTCTATAATGGAATCTCCCCTTCAGTTTGGTCATAGAAGTGCTTGGACAAGTCAGAAAAATAGCTAGCTGTGGGTATCCCTTTAAGATATTCCCAAGTCTACCCTGTGTCATAGCAGTAGTTCTCAGAGTGTTTGTTTAAAGGATCCCACTTTGAACTTTGCCAAGTACTACCAACTACCTTGTCTGGTGTTCAGCAACTGCCCCTACTGAACAGCCCTTTGGAACTCTGAATGATTTGGGCCTCACAGAAGCTCCCTAAAGCCTAGGAACTTGGTGACTATCATTTGAACAACTAGGCAGCCATACTGCAGTCAGTTGTCATGGGGTCATTCCCTAGGCCCCCTTCCTATCAGCCTCTACCTAAAGAAGCTAGATAGGAAGCTAAGCACAGCCATGGTTGGGAGGCTATATCTAAAGCTCATGAGGGGTGATCCCGGGGTTACCAGCCTTCAGCACTCCCTCTAGCAACACCCCATTCTCTTACCTAGCGGGGATTTGTACCTTTCCACTGAGGCCTCTCCATGCTCCTTCCCTACCTTTCATGGCAATACTTTGGCCTGCCTCTTATCCTGGTACTAAGTTGAAGTAAAGCTCACCCTTTACTTCCCTACTTGAAAGTTCTACTCTGAGCCTTGACTCTTAGCCACAGTGAGGCATGTTGAAGGTTCCTGCTGGTTTATTCTTTTTTTTTTTTTTTTTTTAGACAGAGTCTCACTCTGTTGCCCAGGCTGGAGTGCAGTGGCACGATCTCGGTTCACTGCAAGCTCCGCCTCCCGGGTTCATGCCATTCTCCTGCCTCAGCCTCCCAAGTAGCTGGGACTACAGGCACCTGCCACCACGCCTGGCTAATTTTTTGTATTTTTAGTAGAGACGGGTTTCACCGTGTTAGCTAGGATGGTCTCGATCTCCTGACCTTGTGGTCCGCCCACCTCAGCCTCCCAAAGTGCTGGGATTACAGGCGTGAGCCACCGCACCCGGCCTTCATTCACTTTCTTTAAATGCCTCCAAGTTGATTATTCTCCTAGCTCATATCTCCTTGATGTGCATGAGGGAGCACTGGGTCTAATTTTTGGGGGCTGAGAAGGTAAGAAGGTGAGGTCAGTTTTTCCCAGGAGTCCTAAAAAATTCTGGTACCTTACATTGAGGGTGTGGGAGAAAGGGTGTCATAGTTCTGAAAATAGGCAGTAGCATGAAGCACCAGACCTGTCTCATTCCTTATTAGATGTCTATCTCAAATAACAGAGTTTGAAAAATATTGGTTTTATCATTTGATATTTCCATGCCTGACTCGGGAAAATAACATTTTCTGACTTCTTTCTATTTTCTTGCCCTGCACAGACCCTACCTGGTACAATTTTCTATTTCTTAGCTCAAAGTGTCTATACAATGGGTTGCCTGGTATGTCAGCTGCCCTCACTCTTGTGTAATAGAAATATATTGCCAGGCTGGGGACGTGGAGGAGACGAACTGGATTCCTCCCTCCTCCTGTTGCCAGGCCTCTCTGCATTGGCACTTTATCCTTTCAGTGTTTCTGGCTGTGTTGGGTTCATTTGTGAGACTGATGTAACAATAAAGTGAAATCTTCCCCTCTGTGTGCTTGTCTGACAAAGTCTTTGTGTCAGGGCTCCAGTCTGGAAGGTGGGGGAGACTAGGTAAAGTCTAATTGCATCAGCATTTTTCTCTTAGGGTCTCCTGTTCCTCCATTGCTACTGGCCCTTCAGGTGTCTCTTACTGACTGTATGTCGAGCACATTAGCAAACCTCACTGAGCTTGGTTTTGTAATCTATAAAACAGAAGTAATAAAAGTGCTTACCTCACAGTGTCAAATAAGAAAATCCATATAGAGTGGTTGGCATATGGTAGTCACTCAGAACTTCATATACGGGAACAATCTTTTATGGTGGACCTGTCAGCAGTCCGAGAGAACACTTCTAGAAAAGGAAATATAGCTGGACGCGGTGGCTCACACCTGTAATCCCAGCACTCTGGAAGGCTGAGGCTGGAGGATTACTTGAGCCCACGAGTTCAAGACCAGCCTGGACCACATAGCAAGACCCCCTTCTCTACAATTTTTTTTTTTAATTAGCCGGGAGTGGTGGCATGCACCTGTAGTCCCAGCTACTTGAGAGACTGAGGCAGGAGGATCACTTGAAGCCTGGAGGTCTAGGCTGCAGTGAGCCATGATTGAGCCACTGTACTCCAGCCTGGGCGACAGGGCAAGACCCTGTCTCAAACAAACAAACAAAAAAAAAAAAAAAAAAAGGAAATATTTAGTTCAAACAAATAGGAGAGGTTTGGGAAGGGAAAGAGTTGAATGAACCTTAATATATAGTTAAAGTCATTGTCCAAATGGCATCTCAAATAAATGTATTTTCAAGATGATGGAAACTTACCTTTTAAGTATTGATGTTTTTTTTTTTTTTTTAACAACTAATTCAACTCTGTTTATTTTTGACGAAACCGATTTCTTTCATTCAGTTCATACTACGCGTCCACACTGTGCCTCCAAAAATATTTGCCCTTATAACTGAATGCTCAGAAAGGCTAAGAAATCTGCCCAAGGTCCCCTGGCAATCCAGCCAGAGATGTGAGTCACTCTTTTATTTATTTATTTATTTATTTATTTATTTATTTATTTATTTATTTTATTGATCATTCTTGGGTGTTTCTCGCAGAGGGGGATTTGGCAGGGTCATAGGACAATAGTGGAGGGAAGGTCAGTAGATAAACAAGTGAACAAAGGTCTCTGGTTTTCCTAGGCAGAGGACCCTGCGGCCTTCCGCAGTGTTTGTGTCCCTGGGTACTTAAGATTAGGGAGTGGTGATGACTCTTAACGAGCATGCTGCCTTCAAGCATCTGTTTAACAAAGCACATCTTGCACCGCCCTTAATCCATTTAACCCTGAGTGGACACAGCACATGTTTCAGAGAGCACAGGGTTGGGGATAAGGTCACAGATCAACAGGATCCCAAGGCAGAAGAATTTTTCTTAGTACAGAACAAAATGAAAAGTCTCCCATGTCTACTTCTATCCACAGAGACCCGGCAACCA
This sequence comes from Homo sapiens, assembly GCF_000001405.40. Lineage (NCBI taxonomy): Eukaryota > Metazoa > Chordata > Mammalia > Primates > Hominidae > Homo > Homo sapiens. The sequence goes on along the minus strand of NC_000011.10, from coordinate 8,979,116 downwards.
TCCGATTTCTCAATTTTTTCCCCACTCTTCCCGCCTTTCTATTCCACAAAACCGCCATTGTCATCATGGCCCATCCCCAATGAGCCGCTGGGCACACCTCCCAGACGGGGTCGTGGCCGGGCAGAGGGGCTCCTCATTTCCCAGTAGGGGCGGCCGGGCAGAAGCGCCCCTCACCTCCCGGATGGGGCGGCTGGCCGGGCGGGGGGCTGACCCCCCCCCAACCCTCCCGGACGGGGCGGCTGGCCAGGCAGAGGGGTCCTCACTTCCCAGTAGGGGCGGCCGGGCAGAGGCGCCCCTCACCTCCCGGACGGGGCGGCTGGCCAGGCGGGGGGCTGATCCCCCCACCTCCCTCCCGGACGGGGCGGCTGGCCGGGCGGGGGGCTGACCCCCCCCACCTCCCTCCCGGATGGGGCGGCTGGCCGGGCGGAGGGCTGACCCCCCCACCTCCCTCCCGGATGGGGCGGCTGGCCGGGCGGGGGGCTGACCCCCCCACCTCCCTCCCGGATGGGGCGGCTGGCCGGGCAGAGGGGCTCCTCACTTCCCAGTAGGGGCGGCCGGGCAGAGGCGCCCCTCACCTCCCGGACGGGGCGGCTGGCCAGGCGGGGGGCTGATCCCCCCACCTCCCTCCCGGACGGGGCGGCTGGCCGGGCAGAGGGGCTCCTCACTTCCCAGTAGGGGCGGCCGGGCAGAGGAGCCCCTCACCTCCCGGACGGGGCGGCTGGCCGGGCGGGGGGCTGACCCCCCCACCTCCCTCCCGGACGGGGCGGCTGGCCGGGCAGAGGGGCTCCTCACTTCCCAGTAGGGGCGGCCGGGCAGAGGAGCCCCTCACCTCCCGGACGGGGCGGCTGGCCGGGCGGGGGGCTGACCCCCCCCCCACCTCCCTCCCGGTCGGGGTGGCTGCCGGGCGGAGACGCTCCTCACTTCCCAGACGGGGTGGCTGCCGGACGGAGGGGCTCCTCACTTCTCAGACGGGGCGGTTGCCAGGCAGAGGGTTTCCTCACTTCTCAGACGGGGAGGCCGGGCAGAGACGCTCCTCACCTCCCAGACAGGGTTGCGGCCCAGCAGAGGCGCTCCTCACATCCCAGACAGGGCGGCGGGGCAGAGGTGCTCCCCACATCTCAGACGATGGGCGGCCGGGCAGAGACGCTCCTCACTTCCTAGATGGGATGGCGGCGGGGAAGAGGCGCTCCTCGCTTCCTAGATGGGATGGCGGCCGGGCAGAGACGCTCCTCACTTTCCAGACTGGGCAGCCAGGCAGAGAGGCTCCTCATATCCCAGACGATGGGGGGCCAGGCAGAGACGCTCCTCACTTCCCAGACGGGGTGGCGGCTGGGCAGAGGCTGCAATCTCGGCACTTTGGGGGGCCAAGGCAGGCGGCTGGGAGGTGGAGGTTGTAGCGAGCCAAGATCACGCCACTGCACTCCAGCCTGGGCACCATTGAGCACTGAGTGAACGAGACTCCGTCTGCAATCCCGGCACCTCGGGAGGCCGAGGCTGGCGGATCACTCGCGGTTAGGAGCTGGAGACCAGCCCGGCCAACACAGCAAAACCCCGTCTCCACCAAAAAAAAAAAAAACGAAAACCAGTCAGGCGTGGCGGCGCGCGCCTGCAATCGCAGGCACTCGGCAGGCTGAGGCAGGAGAATCAGGCAGGGAGGTTGCAGTGAGCCGAGATGGCAGCAGTACCGTCCAGCTTTGGCTCGGCATCAGAGGGAGACCGTGGAAGGAGACCGTGGGAAGGGGGAGAGGGGAGAGGGGAGAGGGGAGAGGGGAGAGGGGAGAGGGGAGAGGGAGAGGGACGTATTGATGTTTTTAATATGACTTAAACAGCATGGTTAAATAGTCAACAAGCAACACGCTTTCATTATGACAATGATTATCACCATCTAGAACTATGGTTTTACTACTACTCAAGATACTTCCATTCCACCTCAAAGTATTTTGTTTTGTTTTTGTCAATTTATTCTGATGATAAAAAATGTCAAGTGGTTCACCTGCCTGGTCCTTAAGCGATGAATGACAGAATCAATATTCATAATAATCTCAAAAGAATAAAACCAACAAATTAAAATTTACACAGTTAAGAATATATATTGTTGGCCAAGCACGGTGGCTCACACCTGTAATCCCAGCACTTTGGGAGGCCGAGAGGGGTGTATCACAAGGTCAGGAGATGGAGACCATCCTGGCTAACACAGTGAAACCCTGTCTCTACTAAAAATACAAAAAATTAGCTGGGAGTGGTGGTGGGCACCTGTAGTCCCAGCTACTCAGGAGGCTGATGCAGGAGAATGGCATGAACTCGGGAGGTGGAGCTTGCAGTGAGCCGCGATCACGCCACTGCACTCCAGCCTGGACAACAGAGCGAGACTCTGTCTCAAAAAAATATATATATATATTGTTACCTTCATTTTTAAATATTTATTGCACTTGCATAGTGGGGGAGAACTTGGATTAACAGAAATTCACATTAAGATGATACTGATGTTTTAATTGATTATACATTGCATGTAGAAATATTAAGGACTCTGTGTATAGGAGATGTCATTTGTAAGGCAGGGACATGTATACAATGTGTGGCACATCCAGAAAAACACAATGGTAGTGTGATTATTGTCTTCAGAGTTGTCATGTGGAAGGTGTTTTTTTTTTTTTTCTGGTACCAGAAGGCAAGCATTTCTAATAGATGGGGAGGTAGCAGAGAGGTATATCTTGATTCAATTGGAGGAAAGCATTTACTGTAAACCAGGGACTATGCTATCCCCTGCAAAGAAGGTAGTATTGTTCAGTTTTACAGAAAAGAAACCTAAGGCTCAGAATAGTATAAAGATACAACTATTGAGCACAATTATTATTTTAACAGTATCTTCATGACATTTAATATTGAGCACATCCCAGCACTTTCGGAGTCCAAGGTGGGAGGATCACTTGAAGCCAGGAGTTCGAGACCAGCCTGGGAAACATAATGAGACCCTATCTTTACAAAAAAATTAAAAATTAGCTGGGCACAGTGGTGCATGCCTGTAGTCCCAGCTACTTCAGAGGCTAAGGCAGGGGGATCCCTTGAGCCCAGGAGCTCAGAGGCTGCAGTGAGCTATGATCACACCACTGCACCCCAGCCTGGGCACAATTTCTCACGCCAAATTCTTTGACTCTAGAACATCTTTATTAAAATGGCATTGTCAATCAAATGTAGCTTCTTGTTGACTCACACATTATGGCTTGTTTGAAGGGTTGCAGGCTGCTGTTCTCAAGAGCAGAGACAAACTAGTCTGTGTGTTATTGCTTAGACTCGTCTGTCAGCTGCTGCTTCAAACTTCTATTATCAATGCATCCTGAGCTATAATACAGTGTTGTCCTATTTCATACTCACCTGTCTGGCCAGTGACCTACTGGAGGCTGTTTCTCACATGGTGTCAAGTACAAGTACATGGACATTGTGACAACTGTTTTCTCAGAGACCTTTTTATTGAAGGGTTGTGGTATGTTCCTTTTTTTTTTTGAGATGGGTTCTCACTTTACCATCCAGACTGGAGTGCAGTGGTGTGATCTCGGCTCACTGCAACTGCCGACTCCTGGGTTCAAGCGATTCTCTTGCCTCAGCCTCCCAAGTAGCTGGGACTACATATGCCCGCCACCACACCTGGCTAATTTTTGTATTTTTAGTAGAGACAGGGTTTCACCATGTTGGCCAGGCTGGTCTCCAACTCCTTACCTCAAGTGATCCTCCTGCCTCAGCCTCCCAAAGTGCTGAGATTACAGGCGTGAGCCACCGCCTGACCAGTATGTTCTGAAAGACTCACGCCACCAGGTGCCTGACCAGATGGACAAAAAGCTGGGTCTTTACCTGCTTTTAGATAGTGACTTGTCCAAAGGTTCTAGCAGCCTGATGGCTATAGGCCTTATTCTTTCTTTCTAGTACCTTTTTTACATTCTTTTCTGGACCTATGCCTCTTCCAGCAAATCCCAGCCACCATAATCAGAGAGGGGACTTCAATCCTGGTATTGCTTTTACTGGAGCCAGAGTAATCTCCCAGTCTGTAATTAATACAGAAAATCTAACTCTCCAGGGACCCCAGATACTCCGATGTTGTTGACATACACAAACACTGCCAGTGCCCTTAAACAAGAGAAGTGGGTTGGGAAGAGGGAGTATGGTTATTCTAGTAGAGGTACTTGTGTTTGCCAAGGGATAGATTGGGGGGCAGAGGATATGGGGACATAGAATCTCCTGTACTCTAAACCTGCATAACAGGAATTTAACTCTGCTTTCATCAGTTAGCAAACTAATCAGGGGGTTCTGTTATGAAATGCTGGACTCCTTGAAAACATTGGATAACCTTGTGCTTAAGGGTGGGTGCTATAGTGATAAGTGATTTTCATCCTGCTTGTTCTGGAAATGGGTAAGGACAGAGAATTTGAATGGTGCTGGAGCTGACCATAATGAGGAGGCAATTACCCTGTTTTGTAAGTCCTGCAGAAACTGAGCTCATAAGAGTTTCTCTATGGTATACGGGAACAATTGGAGAATTGAAAGTATATATCTATATATAGATCTATATATACCTATCTATATCTATATATAGATAAGATATATTTTGGAGACGGAGTCTTGCTCTGTTGCCCAAGCTGGAGTGCAGTGGCACAATCTCGGCTCACTGCGACCTCCGCCTCCTGGATTCAAGTGATTCTCGTGCCTCTGCCTCCTGAGTAGCTGGGACTACAGGCACATGCCACCATGCCTGGCATATGTATATATATTTGTATTTTTAGTAGAGATAGGGTTTCACCATGTTGGCCAGGCTGGTCTCGAACTCCTGACCTCAAGTGATGCACCGGCCTCAGCTTCTCAAGGTGCTGGGATTACAGGCGTGAGCCTGGCCTAAAAGTATATTGAAGTGAACAGGTTTCATAAAGACCAGTTGGAGCACAAGGGTGTAAGAAGGGGACCTGTTCTAAGGCCTGAGGAATGGCAGTGAAGAAGAGGATCCAGCTGTGGATGCCCCCGGAAGAGTGGAATTTTAGAAATGGTAAGATTCATTTTCAGCAGGTAAGGGATGAGGGAAAGGACAGGAATGGAAAAGAGGGACAATTAGAAGAAGAAATGCAGTGGGAAACTCAGAATCAGCCTAGGTTGTTTCCACCACTGGGATTCAGATCTGTCTGTGTATACCAGAAGCCTAGTGGGTGGACCCATCAGGAATTTGTGTGTTTGAGGGACTAAGCAGCATTCTGGGAAAAGTCAACCAGTCAGACATGTCTGACCCCTTAACAAAACTCTTGACAACTTTTTAAAAAACAGTGGATTGGCCCGGTGTGGTGGCTCATGCCTGTAATCCCAGCACTTTAGAAGGCTGAGGTGGGTGGATCACTTGAGGCCAGGAATTCAAGACAAGCCTGGCCAACATGGAGAAACCTCATCTCTACTTACAAATACAAAAATTAGCCAGTTGTAGTGGCGCATGCCTGTGGTCCCAGCTACTCGGGAGGCTGAGGTGGGAGGATCGCTTGAACCCGGGAGGCAGAGGTTGCAGTGAGCTGAGGTCATGCTACTGCACTCCAGCCTGGGTGACAGAGTAAGACTCTGTCTCAAAAACAACAAAAAAGAACGGTGGACTAGAAACATGGCTTCCTCCTGAAATGCCATTAAAATGACAGTAAAGGAATGTTAAATGATTAAGGACAAAGAATATGAGACAAAAGATGGCAGCATCCAGGCAATGTCAACAAAATCTTTGAATCCGGAAAGCAAAAAACAAGGAACAAACTGAGTAGACCAGAGAAAGCAGAAGTCTGGGGCAGGGGCTGGTGGAGTGTTACTAGCAATAAGCAAGCATGTTTGTACCACAGAACCCCAGAAAAGGCTTAGGAATTGGAGGCATCAGTTATCTGAAAAGCAAGAGGTAGTAGGTAGAGGGCTAAAAACAAGATGATTACTTGAAAGACTATGAAGTCCTGAGATCCTCGCCCCTTATAAACTCATTCATTCATTCATTCATTTGTTCATTCATTATCTCCTGGGGAAGATGAACTAGTTGAAGCCACCAACAACAACTGGGAGCTGAGGGGAGACATCCTACTGAATATAGGGATTTAAAACTCAGCATTCTGTTTGTTTTTTTGAGACAGGGTCTCACTCTGTTGCCCAGGCTGGAGTACAGTGGTGTGATCATGGCTTGCTGCTGCCTCAACCTCCTGGGCTCAAGTGATTCTCCACCTCAGTCTCTTGAGTAGCTGGGACTACAGGCATGAACCACCAAACCTGGGTAATTTTTGTATTTTGTGTAGAGATGGGATTTCACCATGTTGCCTGGGCTGGTCTTGAACTCCTGGACTCAAGTGATCTGCCCACCTTGGCCTCCCAGAGTGCTGGGATTACAGGCGTGAGCCACTGTGCCCAGCCTAAAGCTCAGCATTCTAAAGAGTCAGAAACCTTTCCCTGGCTTGGATCCCAGCAGTCTGAAACTTGGCTGCTACCTTAGGATACTGCTTTCACTACAGCCCTCTCAAGGTGATTTTTTTCTCCCACAGTCCTCCTATTACTGGTCCTGGAGATGGGGTAGATGATGTTCTTGCTCCTCATTACTACTTCTAGACACGTCTCCTATCTTCCCTTAAAACTCTCAGCTTTGAGTTCCATACCATCAAATAATATCTCTTCTCTTCATTGCTATCATCTACAAAATCTACAAACCCCTGGGTCATCCCCTCTCATTTCTCAGTAAGTTTAGTTCACTGCTCATTTCATTTCCCGCAGCACTACTCCTGATTTAATTCTTAGCAATTTTTAATCTTTCAACACCCTGACTATAGGTTCTTTGAAGAGTAGTTTTCCACTGACCTTGTTCTCTGCTATTCTCATCCATTCACTCTCAGTCATACCTTAGATCTCTCTCGTTATTACCAAAAACTGTAACCCCTCCATAATCTATCTCATTATCTGACCACCACAGTCTGTCTTCCAGACATCTAGTAACTTAACTCCAACACTCCTTTCACTACCACCTTTTCATTGTCCCTAATCTCCAAGTTCCTTCTGTTCCTGTCATAATCAACTTAAATCCCAGGATCACTCATTATAATCATGCAACTTGCATGTACTTTTAACTTAGTCTACCCCTTTTTGTCATTTTCAGTTTGCAAAATCACAACTTTAAAGCCAGCTCTTTGCCTTTGTACCTACTTCTGTGCAGCAACTATGCTGTTTAGTCTTACTTTAAATTCATGTCCATAACCTTCAGGCCTTAATGCTGCCTGATAATCATATTTCCCTACTCTATATACCTTCCCATCCTCCTAGATCAGGAGTCAGCCAACTTTTTCTGTAAAGGGCCAGATAAATATTTTTGGCATAGCAGGTCATAGTCTCTTTTGCAATTATTCAGCTTTGTCACTGTAGCATGAAAGTAGCCAGAGGCAATATGTAAATAAATGAAATTTGAATTGCATTTATTTGTTACATGCTATGATGTAATATCATCTTAAATTTTTTTCCCAACCGTTTAAAAGTAAAAAAGTATCCTTAGCTTGTGGATTGCACCAAAATAGGATTTGACCAAAGGCTATAGTTTGCTGTGCTGTGTCCTAAATTATTTCACACCTTCTCTTTTCTTCCAACACTTCCTCCCCATTTTCACTCTCAGATGATGACCTTGTTTTCTACTTCATTCATCCACCACATCCACCCTCTTACCAGCATCTATATGCATATGTTCAGCTTTCCCTTCTGTTGCTGTGTTACCTAGCGCAAGATCTAAATACTATATAACCCACTGTTTATCTCCCTCACTAGAATCTAGTCCCAGGAGACAGTTTTGTCTGATGTATACCCAGAACCTGGAACAGTGTTTGGCACATAGTAAGTCCTCAACCAATACCTGAATGAATGAGTACTGTCTATCAGACTAGCATGCAGGCAAAAGTTTAGAGAATTTTACTCCAGGAGAACTTATCTCCGTTTTTTTTTTTTTTTTTTTGAGACGGAGTCTTGCTCTGTCGCCCAGGCTGGAGTGCAGTGGCAATCTCCGCCTCCCGAGTTCAAATGATTCTCCTGCCTCAGCCTCCCGAGTAGCTGGGATTACAGGCGCGTGCCACCATGCCTGACTTATTTTTTGTATTCTTAGAAGAGATGAGGTTTCACCATGTTAGCCAGGATGGTCTCAATCTCCCGACCTCATGATCTGCCCGCCTCAGCCTCCCAAAGTGCTGGGATTACAGGCATGAGCCACCGCACTGGGCCGGAACTTAACCTCTCTAAGAGAAAAGACCTACCTGTCCTGACAGTTGGAGATCTCTTTGATTATCCTAAGTTGTACTTTTTCAAATTTCTTTGAAGAAACACCCACAATAAAAAAAAAAAACTCCCATTTTATGGGATCAAACCAGTACATAATATGTATATATGATATGTGTAAGAAACCAAAGTTTCATAAAATAATTCTCTTTCTATGTAGATGTATTCTGAGGTGGTGTTTTCTATTCTGTTCTGTCATTTGGGGGAAATAAAACTGATTATATTGATTTCACAAACTACTAATGGGTTTGCGACCAGAAGTTTGAAAAATACTGCAGTATGTCCTACCAATTACAAGTCCTAAGTATGTACACAGAACTTTTTTTTTTTTTGAGACAGAGTTTTGGTCTGTTGCCTAGGCTGGAGAGCTCACTGCAACCTCTGCCTCCCGGGTTCAAGAGATTCTCAAGCCTCAGCCTCCCAAGTAGCAAGGATTACAGGCGTGCGCCACCAGCCCGGCTAATTTTTGTATTTTTAGTAGAGATGGGGTTTCACCATGTTGGCAAGGCTGGTCTTGAACTCCTGACCTCAAGTGATCTGCCTGCCTTGGCCTTCCAAAGTGCTGGGGTTACAGGTGTGAGCCACCTCACTGGCCAGTGTACACAGAACTTTCTATTGGCTTTCTAGTGCCCCACTCTTACATATGAATGGATGGCCAAGGATCTCTAGACGTTTAAGAAAAGCTTCCAACACAAAACAGAAACAAGCCTTAAAAATTCAACACAGACAATTCAAGAAACAAAAGAAAACATTAGCAATATTCTTAGAGTAATAAGATACTGCATCCACCAAATGGAACAGACTGCTATTTAAAAAGGGGAAGGGGGTGGACAAGAAAGTGCTTCCCTGGAGGACGTTATGCTGAATGGAATAAGCCAGGCACAGACAGACAAAGTCACATGATTCCTAATGTAGAATCTAAAACAAACTCACAGAATCAGAGTAGAATGATGGTTATCAGAGAGTAGGGGGAAGGGGTGGTAGGGGAAACAAGGAGATGTTGGTTAGAGTACGAAGTTTCAGTTAGATAAAGGGAATACATTTTTTGAGATAAAGAGTATAGCATGGTTAATAATAATGTACTGTATATTTCAAAATTGCTGAAGGTAAATGTCAAGTATTCTCACCACAAAGAAGTATTTGTAGTGATGGATATGTTAATTAGCTTGATTTAATCTTTCCACATTGTATACATATAACATCACTTTGTACCCCATAAATATATCCAATTTGTACTTGTCAATTTACAATAAACCTTTAAATTACAAAAATAAAAAATATTTTTAATTAAAAGAGAGGTTGACAAGAAAGTATTCTGGCAAATTTAAAACATAACAGAAATTTTAAAATTCAAAAGAAAAGCTGGAAGGTGGAAATCTTTCAGAAAAACAAAAAGAAGTGGAAAACAGGGTAGAAAGGATAAAATTATTTCAGGACAAAAGCTGTGCAGTAGGCTTAGAGAAAAACTAGTCCACAGTGAAGGAGGATGATGGGCTCCTAGAGAGTTGTCTCCAATTTAAAAAATAAACTGATTGATAGACTACTTGATGTGTTTCAATGTTTTGAAAGGACAGTTTGGAATAAATTGATTATAGACACTTGAATGCTAGGTACTTAAGAAAGTTGCATGGAGAAAGAGGCAATAGTTAACTTCAATCAAAATAAAGGAAATATAATCATATTATGCTAACTGGATCAATTACATACCTTTATAATAGTATAATGAATAGTACTCTACCTATATAGGGTGATATAGATAAACTGAAGGATGGAAGATGGAGAAATACATGTGTGTATTACCAGTCTTCAGAGTATAAACACATATCTTATTTCCTATAGAAAAAGTAAAATAATGGCCCAAACTGAAAAATTAAGAATTAGTAGTATAAGCATGCTATTTAGAAATACGGAGATAAATACCAGAAGAGGTAGCTGGGTGAATAGAGATTATATCTAGGGAGTAGAAACTGAGAGTGTGGAGGGCTGGGACAGGGTCTGCTGTTTTTCATTATAAACCTAGTGATACTATTTGATTTTTAATGTAATGATAAAAATAAAACAATATGATTAATGTGGTATTTCATTTATTTGAAAATCTTAGGAGGGACTGTATTCATTAAGTTTTTTTGTTTTGTTTGTTTGTTTGTTTTGAGACGGAGTTTCGCTATTGTTGCCCAGGCTGGAGTGCAATGGTGCAATCTCAGCTCACTGCAACCTCCGCCTCCTGGGTTCAAGGATTCTTATGCCTCAGCCTCCTGAGTAGCTGGGATTACAGGCGCCTGCCACCACGCCTGGCTAACTTTTTCTATTTTTAGTAGAGATGGGGTTTCACCATGTTGGTCAGGCTGTTCTTGAACTCCTGACCTCAAGTGATCTGACTGCCTCAGCCTCCCAAAGTGCTGGGATTATAGGCATGAGCCACCATGCGCCCAGGCTGGAGTGCAGTGGCATGATCTCGACTCACTACAACCTCCGCCTCCTGAGTTCAAGCGATTCTGGTGCCTCAGCTTCCGGAGTAGCTGGGATTACAGGTGCCTGCCACCACGCCCTGCTAATTTTTGTATTTTTAGTAGAGATGGGGTTTCACCATGTTGGCCAGGCTGTTCTTGAACTCCTGACCTCAAGTGATCTACCTGCCTTGGCCTCCCAAAGTGCTGGGATTACAGGCGTGAGCCACTGCACCTGACCTGTTTTCATTAAATATTCTAAGGTACTGGGAAATCAACAATATTGATTTAGCACCTCTAAAAGGAACTAAAAATTCTCCCCACTTTGGTACTCACCTGCACTGTGGTGTTTTATTTCAGGGAACCCAGTAACATCAGCAGTGGCACCAGCAGCTCTAGAAACATATTCTGTCCCCATAAATTGTTGTTATCATGGTGAACACCAGCAAGTGATGCACTTAGGTGGCTTTACAGGCAGCAGTAGGCTTTACAGTGGGCTGAAAAATCCCACTAAACAGGGCTGAGTAGGAGGGAGCATCCTAGTGGGTGCACACAATAAAGAAGAGGGCTCATAAGACGTTTCCAGAGTATGCTCAGAAATAACTGGAAGGATGTGTGTGTCCCCAGCCATAACCACTGGAGCCACAATACAAGGAAATCACCAATGTTGTGCATAACTCCATTTGTTCTCCTGGACTGGTGTTGCCTAGGCAAGTGCTGGGTAGATCAGAATGGATGGGGTGGAAGAATTAAGGGGCATCCAGAGAGCTATTTGATCACTGGAGGGGAAAGGGCATGGGGGGATGCAGACAGGTGGCAAAACCTGGGTCCAAGATATATTTGTCCCAGATATATAAATTGTCACTTTTCTCCCTCCCCTTCTGACTTGCACACTTACAAAGAAGGTTCCTCTTCCTTTTCTAACCATCCCCCACCAGGGAATTTTTCAGGCCTTACAAAGAAGGGAGAGGACCCAGGCCAGTTGGGAGGGTACACGTGGACCTACATCACTCTTTTTGAGGAAGTGAGTAGGGAAACCTAGTTATAAGGAAGCAAGGAAAATAGAGGGAGAGTGAGTACTAAGGCCAGCGCCGTCTATAAACAGAACAATTCCCGTGTGACCTGAAGGTCTAGGAAGACCCGAGGTGAGAAATCTTCACTCCCCTGCCTACTATGGTGCGCCGGATCCCGCCATTTGCACATCTTTGGGCATCTCAGCATCCCCTCTCATGGTCAGAAAGAAATCAAATGAGGATTCAAGTAGGTGCCTGATACTTTTCTTTTAGACTAACCAGAGGAGCCTCTCCCATTCCCCTTTTCCCTGGTCCCCACAAACATCATATTGTTTTAATCTGTCTCCAGGTATAACAATAATAAGACAAAGTCCTTACCCTCAGAGAGCTCACAATATTTTGGTGGAGGTTTGGGTATAAAGGCAAATGTGAAAACATAATTTTACTATAATGGGGTAAAGTTAAGAAAGAGATCTATGCAAACATAGAAAGGAGTGCACTTAAGTCAGTGAAGGTTTTCTGGCTTAGAAGAACCCTGACCTAAAGGAAAAGTAAGAGTTACCTAGATAAGAGCAGGGCAGAACAAGAGAAACTGATCCCTCCACTTCTATTGAGTCACCTGAAATTATATTCATTTTTTGGCAGACATATACCTCCCCCAAACATTCGGCTCTAGTTGTGCCAGTTCTTCCTTGTCAGCCCTCTTACCTTGGCCTGAGGCTTCATTGTCTCCAGTCAGGCGACTATCTCATAGTCACACTCCACTCACGGCAGCCACATTCTGTATTCCAGAACAGCACTTCCTGACAGCACTATAACATTTTCTAGCAGCCACATTTAAGAGGTCAAAAAACAAGTGAAATATTTTACTAATATATTTTATTTAACCCAACATATCTAAAATATTTAAACCATATTTTTAAATTACTGAAATATTTTACATTTTAAAAATATTGTCTTTGAAATTAAGTGTATATTTTATACAGCACATTTCAATTCAGTCTAGCCACATTTCAAATGCTCAATTGCCACATGTAGCTAGATAGTGGTTATACTATGGAGCTCTAAAATTCCGCCCAGACTGAGTGTGCTTGGTGTTTCTCCATTAAACAGATGAGGCCCATCAGTCTGAGGCACAACTATGTATTTTCTCTAAGTCTCTGTACCCCCAAGGCCTTGAAAACAATTCGGAAGGAAGAGAAGGCCTATGAGGTTTCAGCTACAGCAGGCACTCCCTTTAGATGCCAAGCCTAGAAAACCCTAAACTGATGCCTAACTTGCAGCTGAATCACCTTTCAGCAATCAGATTCAGTGCCTCACCAACACATTTGATCCAGGGAGTCTCCAGTTTGTCCTTTGTCCAGTAGAAGACCCACTACAAAGCCTTGATAATTCATCAAAGTGACAGCACCTTCACTGGGCAGTCTGGTGAGAGGACATCTAGCCCTGCCACCCTGGTTCCTGTTGGGAACAGTATCAGATACGTTGTGTTAGATTCACATGAATCTAAGAATCACATGGGCGAAAAATATTGAGAGCATTCTGTTAAAACATTTCCACAAATTGGGAAAAGACCATCTTTAAAAATCTGTTGGGGCCGGGCGCGGTGGCTCACGCCTATAATCCCAGCAATTTGGGAGGCCGAGGCGGGCGGATCACAAGGTCAGGAGATCGAGACCATCCTGGCTAACACAGTGAGACCCTGTCTGTACTAAAAATACAAAAAAAAAAAAAGAAAAAGAAAAAGAAAAAAAAAATTAGCCGGGCGGCGTGGTGGCGGGCGCCTGTAGTCCCACCTACTAGGGAGGCTGAGGCAGGAGAATGGCGTCAACCCGGGAGGCGGAGGTTGCAGTGAGCCGAGATCGCGCCACTGCACTCCAGCCCGGGGGACAGAACGAGACTCCGTCTCAAAAAAAACAAAAAAATCTGTTTACAGAGGTAAAAACACGGGTATTACATGGAGCATAATTTGAAATCCATTCCCTCATATTCAGCCAAGAACTACAGGCCCAGAGAAGGGAAGTGATTTGCCAAAGGTCATTCAACAAATCCCTAGGGGCTGTGATGATCCGTGTCCTTGCCATTACCTCCCTTGTCTCCACTAACAAAAATATTTCAATGGGAGAATGTGCCGATCTAAGGCACTCCTAAAGTACTTGCTGAGAATGACAGCCCTGGGGAGACAGGTCGGCAGCCCTGAACAGGCACTGCCTTACCCGGGCGTAGTGCCCCAATTCGCCACCTCTTGGAGTCCTAGGCGGAGGATACTACTGGGGCAGTTGTTTCGCCAATTCCACATCTCCCGGAGCCTGGCCTGGCCCAGCCCAGCCCCGTCGCTGTGACCCACTTCCTAGCTGCAGGCTGGACCAAGGGGAGGCACATGGGGAGCTCCACAGGGAGGCCACGCCCACGAGGGCAGCTCACAGAATTAGAAAGCCGACGGGGTGCTGTGGTCAGGAGGCGCGTGGGCGGCAGGTTAGTACTTAAGGTGCAGAGACCACCCCCAACCCTTTGACTGGCGGTGGGCATCCCGGAAAGGCATGGCTCGGCCAATTCCAGCCCCGTTTCCACGCTCAGCACCCGCCCTGCCTGTGCGCGAACGGCTCCGGCCCGCACGGGTCGCCAGAGGCGACTGTGTGACACTCGGAGTTTGCTGGGGTCTCCGTGGGCGGGAGGACTTTCCAGCGCAATGGCGACTCCCTAAGCCCCGCAGCTTCTGCGCCCGGGAAAGATATCCAAGAGATGCAAAGCTCTACTGGGCCCAGGCTGCCACCCCAGAGGCCCCCTTCCGTCCCGGGGCCGGGGCTAGGCCAAGGCGGGCACCAGGACTGCCCAGCCTCCCGGCCCTTCGCACTGGTAACCGGTTCCGGGGCGGATGCTTTTTGCATCTGACCCGGCGCGCCCGGTGACGCCTTCGCGTCCAGACGGAAGTGCGGGCGGAGGATCCCCAGCCGGGTCCCAAGCCTGTGCCTGAGCCTGAGCCTGAGCCTGAGCCCGAGCCGGGAGCCGGTCGCGGGGGCTCCGGGCTGTGGGACCGCTGGGCCCCCAGCGATGGCGACCCTGTGGGGAGGCCTTCTTCGGCTTGGCTCCTTGCTCAGCCTGTCGTGCCTGGCGCTTTCCGTGCTGCTGCTGGCGCAGCTGTCAGACGCCGCCAAGGTGAGTCCCGCCCAGCCTCGCTCCTGACGGAAGCTCCTCCCCTACCACCGGCCTTGCGGAAACTGGGTCTGCCAACCTGCTCCTTGGCCCATTCCTGACAGCCATACGCCTGGCCTCACAGCTCCGGCAGACCCCCGCCGCCACCAGCCCCGCCCCTCCCGACTGCCCGGCGGCACTCTCGCCCTCAGCCCCGACAGCCTGGCAGGCAGCGCCCCACGGTCGTCCCCAGCCCCGACAGTGCCCACAGTCCGGACAGCAGCCCCCCACCGCCTTAACATTTCCCTTCCCAGCCCCGGCTGCACGCATCTTACACTTGACAACCTTTTCACCTCCGAGAGCCTTTAACTTTCCACCCTAAGCTCTTGACAGCCCACCTGCGCCCTCCGCCAGCCTCACAGGCCCCGCATGCCCCAAGCCAGAATGATAGGAAGCCCCCATCTGACAGAGCCTTCCCTGTCAAGGGCCGACTCAGCTCAGCTCACCCCTGAACACTTCCCTTCCTGTGGTGGGAACTTGCCCCTCCTGGCCTACTTCCCTCCCAATAGGGCCTACGGAGCATCTCTCACCTGCTTCATATTCTCACCTAACTCCCTCCACGAGTCCCTTGGTGCCTTTCTTGCTTTCTCTCTTCCTGATAATTTAGTGGGTAAGGGAAGAACCAAACTGCAAGAGAGGTGAGGTTGTGGCCTCCCTGGTTCGATTTCTTGACCTTCTAGTTCCCTCATACTGTTCTCTGGTGCCCCAGCTCTCCAGACCTGCCCTAGCTCCATGCATACCTGTGCTTCCTCTTTGATGAGCTAGCTCATCATTGGGGGAGAACAGAAGGGATTCACATTAGTATGATGGGAAAACAGAATGACATTGCGTTTTTAAAAATAAGAGCTTTAATTTATAATATCTTTAAATGTAGGAGTGGGGAAAGGTTACAGGCAGGCAAATGTTTTTGATTCAGAGATTCTTTTTGAAACCATCTCTACCTCCTACCAGAAACAGGGACAGCAGCACGTCTCCTGACTTTGAAAACATTGCTGGCACCCTCTGCATATCTTGCCTCATAACTTTATGTATTGTGATCATGTATTTATTTTTCAGTCTCCTTTACTAGGGTGTGTCCTGGTTATGGGCAGAAACCATGTCTTATGCTTATCTGAATCCACCTTATTGAGCACAAGATCTAACACAGAGCAAATGCTCACTAAGTGGTTGCTGAATACGTTTGTGAATTGTCAATAGCTCTGCCAGACATATCACTGTATATAGGAGGAGTGGGCAAGGTCCTCTGGGGAATGATAAGCCACTTCCTTCTCAAACAGATTCCCCTTTGCTGAGGAAGCATCTCTTCTTTTCTCTATCCAGATACTTAGTCACCTGTTCCTCCACCTCTTGAAACTTGTTTTGTTGGTAGTTGTTCTGTCTGTCAACCAGGAATTAGAAGCAAAGTTTCCTGGGAAGAGTATACTAAACTGATCTCAGAGTCAGGCTACTTCCTGTGTGTACTTCCTTTCTAGTTGTAGGTGGGTGCCTCTAACATTTCATCCCTTCTACGGGACTCTGGCCCAACCCGTTTTATCAATGTCAGTGCCTTCTACCAGAGGGTGAAAGGATGATAGGTAGAATTGTGACCTTTTTTGTGAATAATTTTTAGTTTCTTTCCCATCCTTTAGTAATGAATATTCTTATTTACAGGCACAACTATCTGCTTACCATGTGTCTTTCTAGTGGCAGATAGATGGTAATAACATTAACATAATTTGATTGTCATGTGACCCATAAATATGGTTAATAAGTCTTAGATCATGTATTAGGTATTATTTCAAAATAACTACATGTAATATATAATGATTCATTGGCATTACCATAAAGGACTGTGGCTTTTAAAAACTGTGTCTGTTAAAGTTTTAAATGAATGATTTTAGAATACTTGGTATTCTAAAGAGGATGCTTGGCAAAATGTATATGGTACAGTTTTTAAAAATATTGATGATAAACTGTCAACGCACTATACTGTTTCCATTTTGGTTACAGAATTTCGAGGATGTCAGATGTAAATGTATCTGCCCTCCCTATAAAGAAAATTCTGGGCATATTTATAATAAGAACATATCTCAGAAAGATTGGTAAGTATCTGGATTACTGAATTACCTGTCACATTTGTTTCTGTGGTTGTCAGTGTTATCCCAGAATGTTCATCAAATGCATAGTTTTCTTTTTAAGTATTTCATTTGAAGCAAAAATGTGAAATTCTACTTCCATTTGAAAAAGTGAGAGTGAGGCCCTACGTGCATGATGCCTGCAGGCCTAAAGGTATACAGCCAAAACACTAAGACCCATGTAGGCAGAGTTTCATGGGAGCATATGACTGGGTTTGTGGCACCTAAACTACCCATAGCTATCTTGCTGTACTCCCTCAAGTTTTGGTGAGGGACCTTTCTCCCTCTTGCTTTTCAGTGGAAGGTTAGCAAGCCTCGTTTGTCTGGGTTATAATTTTTACAACTTGTAGGTTTTGATGATGTATTGCCAAGTATGGGAAGCTATGTTTAAAAGTGTCAGAAGGCTCAAGAAGAAGTGGAAATGAGCTATGTAGTCAGAGTTTCCCATTTGGTGTAAATGAAGAAGTTACAGTTGTGCCAAGATATTGACCTGTTCAGTCCTTGGGCAGTCAGGCAGGCCTGTGATGACTGGGGGATCCTGACTGACTAGCCACCAGCAGCCTTCTCTGCTTATCCCAGCAGACCTGACAAATAGCTTTTTCTACGTGTGCCATGAAGCAGTTGGGATGCAGTTGTATTACAGCAGGATGAATGTGTTCCTTCCCATAGAATTGTGATGTTTTATGGTTTGTAACCACGGTGGAAGATGGATGGGATAGGAATTTAGGAAAAATAGTTCCAAATGGTAGGAGCTTTCACGTGTATCTGATTTCATAGCTAAATAGCCATCAAAGAGTTAGAAAGCAAGATTAAATTCATTCAGTTAACAGTATTCCAACCTGACTTTAAAAAAGAAAAGGCAGCCTTTGAGTATGTTTAGTTTCTCTGATGCCACTGTCTGTTCTTCCCTGATACGCATTTAGGTTCAGTCTCATATTTGTTAAGTGTGTTCTTGAGAACTTCTTGTGAACCTCTATGTTCCACTGTAAGTGGTGTCATATTAACCAAGCGATTTGGCCATATTCTTAAAGGTTTTATATCAGGAAGTTACTTTATATGATACAAGAATGTTCAGGCCGGGCACGGTGGCTCACGCCTGTAATCCCAGCACTCTGGGAGGCTGAGGCAGGCGGATCACCTGAGGTCAGGAGTTCGAGACCAGCCTGGCCAACAGAGTGAAACCCTGTCTCTACTAAAAATACAAAAAAAATTAGCCGGGCTTGGTGGCGGGTGCCTGTAATCCCAGCCACTCGGGAGGCCGAGGCAGGAGAATCGCTTGAACCCGGGAGGCAGAGCTTGCAGTGAGCCGAGATCGCGCCACTGCACTCCAGCCTGGGTGACAGAGCGAGACCCTAGCTCAAAAAAAAAAAAAAAGAATGTTCAAATAAATCTTTATGTTACTTCTATAAATTTTCCAAATTTATTCAGTGCTTACAGTTTATTCTGTTATCAGTAATGAAATGCAATGCCTGTCTTTTGAGTAGCAAATGAACTCACTATTCAAGTGGTTAGCACTAATCTTTTCACTAACTTTTCATTATTTCAGACTCAGACAGGACCATATGTCATTAACCCCTGGTTATTAGTAAAAATAGCTTTGGCTTTGAAAACAGTTGAGGCAGGACATGGTGGCTCACACCTGTAATCCCAGCACTTTGGGAGGCCAAGGCAGGTGGATCACTTGAGGCCAGGAGTTCAAGAACAGCCTGGCCAACATGGTGAAACCCCGACTCTACTAAAAATATAAAAATTAGCTGGGCATGGTGGCACACGCCTGTAATTCCAGCTACTCGGAAGGCTAAGGTAGAGAATCGCTTGAGCCGCAGAGGTAGAGGTTGCAGTGAGCTGAGATTGTGCCACTGCCCTCTAACCTGGGTGACAGAGCATGACTCTGTCTCAAAAAAAAAAAAAAAAAAAAAACAGAAACAAAGAAAATAAACAGTTGAGAATAAGGCTTGCTTGGGGTTTTTCTTCCCTCTCTCCCACTCTCCCTTGTTTCTTTTCTGCAGCTTAGCATTTTTCTAGGGATAAGTTCCCAGCTGGCACTGAAAAATTTTAACTGACTTTACGGGGCAGGCAAGTTATGATTCACCAGAATTATGGCTTTACGAGGCCTCCAGTATCTGTGAGGGCCTAGATATAGTTTTACCTTTTGTTTTCTGGGCCTTTCATTTTGTCCAGTTTTTATCTTTAAGTCTTCATTGACTTATGCTGGCTGACTTAAAACTTAAGAGTAGTTGGAGTGCTCTAGTTTGTGTTTGGGGTGATTTAAAGCTAATGATGTGTTACTTTTGGCACTAGGGGGAGGTGTTGCCTAGTTCCTTAAGTGGTTAACCTCTGACTAGGTCTAGCTCTGTTTGTAATGACTGGTCAGCCAAAATCAACCTTCCTGCTTTCTCTCCAGCTGGGCACAACTTTTGCACAGCACTCAAGTATCTTTTTGTTATTAAAATATATCCTTCAAAAGAAATACTCAATACTTACTTAGCACTTAAAATTCCCAAGTCATTCTTAGGTATTGTTGCCAAAGCTTCTGAAGCTGAAGTAGGAAACTAAATAGATCAGTTTCATTTTCCCGAGGTTCAGAGGTAAAGAACTGACGTAGGAAGCAGGAGTCCTGGATTCTGGTCCTTTCTGTTTTTTTTATTGCTAGAGTGCAGTGGCACGATCATAGCTCATTGCAGCCTTGATCTCCTAGGCTCCAGTGGTCCTCCAGCCTCAGCCTCCTGTGTAGCTGGGACTACAGGTGTGTACCATCAACCTGGCTAATTTTTATTTTTGTCGACACTGGGTCTCACTATGTTGCCCAGGCTGGTCTCAAGTTGGCTTCAAGTGATCCTCACATGTTGGCCTCCTAAAACTCTGGGATTATAGGGATAAGCCACCATGCGTGGCCTGATCCTTTTTCAAATATGATTTTACTCTGTGACCTTCTCTAAGCCTGAGGCTAGATGAGCTCTCTGATCCTCAGATAGATAACACCTGTTATGGGATATAGTTCCCTCTGCCCATTTTGTGCCTGCATCCAGTTGGGTACATGCCTGGTCTTCTGTATATTTGGAACAGATATCACACACTTTTATGGTGAGAGTTGTGGGGCCTTACCCGTATTTGAAATACCATCAGTGGAAATTTAATTTTTCATTACTACCTTTGTTAAAATTAAATTACCTGTTAAGAATAACCTGGGCCGGGTGCGGTGACTCATGCCTGTAATGCCAGCACTTTGGGAGGCCGAGGCAGGCACATCACCTGAAGTTGGGAGTTTGAGACCAGCCTGACCAACATGGAAAAACCCCATCTCTACTAAAAATACAAAATTAGTCGGGCATGGTAGCGCATGCCTGTAATCCCAGCTACTAGGGAGGCTGAGGCAGGAGAATCACTTGAACCCTGGAGGAAGAGGTTGTGTTGAGGAAGATCACACCATTGCACTCCAGCCTGGGCAACAAGAGTGAAACTCTGTCTCAAAAAAAAAAAAAAAGAATAACCTAACAACTTCTATCATATACCGTTTTGGTTATTTTTTCTAATGCCACAGTTTAGAGGGAACAGAACATGAAAATATGAATTTCTAGAAATTAACTTTTTTTTTTTTGAGACAGAGTCTCACTCTGTTGCCCAGGCTGAGTGCAATGGCGCGATCTCGGCTCACTACAACCTCTGCCTCCCAGGTTCAAGTGATTCTCCTGCCTCAGCCTCCTGAGTAGCTGGGATTACAGGCATGTGCCACCATGCCCAGATAATTTTTTGTATTTTTAGTAGAAATGGGGTTTCACCCTGTTGGTCAGGCAGGTCTTGAACTCCTGACCTCATGATCCAACCGCCTCGGCCTCCCAAAGTGCTGAGATTACAGGCGTGAGCCACCACACCCGGCCTTTTTTTTTTTTTTTTTTTTTGAGACGGAGTTTCGCTGTCATTGCCCAGGCTGGAGTGCAATGGCACGATCTCGGCTGACCGTAACCTCCACCTCCCAGGTTCAAGCGATTCTCAAGTCTCAGCCTCCTGAGTAGCTGGGATTACAGGCATGCACCACCATGCCTGGCTAATTTTTTTGTATTTTTAGTAGAGACGGGGTTTCTCCATGTTGGTCAGGCTGGTCTCGAACTCCCAACCTCAGGTGATCTTCCCGCCTCGGCCTCCCAAAGTGCTGGGATTACAGGCATGAGCCACTGCGCCCGGCTGAAATTAATTTTTAATTGACACAATAACTGTACGTATTTATGGGATACATAGTGATGTTTCAATTCATATAAGATATAGTGATTTGATCAGAATATTTAGCATCTCAGACATTTATCATTTCTTTGTGTTGAAAATATTCAAAATCCTCCTTCTAGCTATTTGAAACTATAATATATATTATTGTTGACTATAGTCATCCTACAGGGATATAGAACACTAGAACTTATTCCTCCCACCAAGCTGTAACTTTGTTTCCAAAAAGTACATTTTGGTGGGGAAAGAGAAGGAATCACTCTATAGAGTATTGGGTGTCCCCAAGAGAATGGGTAAGATAAGATAGGATGGTGTAGTAGAGTGCTTGAGGCAGCCAGGAATGCCTAACGAAGAGATGCCAAAAGGAAAGAAAATTGTCCAACAGCTGGCAGGAGGACAGGAAAGCTTTCCCTAATTTTGCTGAAGGTGATCAGAGTCATAGACTCTTAATAGTTGAGGAGAATAATAATTTAGTTATTGCTTAGAATTGACAGATTTCTAGGAAAAATCTGATAGCACTGTGTTTACACAAACCATAAATAATTAGCCTTGAAAATGGGGTTGGGGAAATAAGTAACATTCAACAAAAACACTCATCCCTTTGTTAGTTTTTATTTAGTTCTTTGGAATAACCAGTTTTTGTTTTAAAATATTTTAGTTATTCTATTTCTCCTTGCTTTTTCAGATTTGCTCATTAAGAAAAGTGATTGTTTCTTCCTGTGTGTGGCTTTGAGGGTTCAATTTTCAGAGTTTCAGAATTTACCACGCTGTTAAACGTGGTTAGTCATTCATACACCACACTGGCAGTTAAGAATGATGTTGGCTGGGCACGGTGGCTCACACCTGTAATCCCGGCACTTTAGGAGGCCAAGATAGGAGGATCACTTGAGGCCAGGTATTCAAGACAAGTTAGGTCAACAAACCAAG
Organism: Homo sapiens; assembly: GCF_000001405.40. Classification (NCBI taxonomy): domain Eukaryota; kingdom Metazoa; phylum Chordata; class Mammalia; order Primates; family Hominidae; genus Homo; species Homo sapiens. Next base: position 8,956,913 of record NC_000011.10, on the reverse strand, counting down.
ACCTGATCTCTACAACAAATCTAAAAATTAGCCAGGCATGGTGGCAGGCTCCTGTAATCATAGCTGCTCTGGAGGTTGAGGCAGGAGGATCACTTGAGCCCAGGAGTCTGAGGCTGCAGTGAGCTATGATGGCACCACTCCACTACAGCCCATGTGACAGAGCAAGACCTTGTCTCTTAAAAAACAACAACAAAAAAGAATGATGTTAATTCACAAAAGAGATAATCTTATATTTGAACAGTGCCCCATATCACTTTAAACCATTTTAAGTAGTTTTCCTTAGTAACTGAACAAGTCTAAAGGTGACTTGATTTGTTAAGTAGTTTTTCATCCCATTTGGGATTTTTTGTGTGCGTTTTTGTAACTGTTAACAGTAGCAGCTTTGAAAATAGACACTACTATATGTGTGACTTTGTGGCTTCTTAAATGGTTAAAACTTACCAAAATGCTAATATTGAGAGCAGAAATTATTTTACTTTATCTTATTGATTATTTGTTTTTTATGCTCTTTCATTGGGTAAGTTTAGTGATTATTCTAGATTTCAGGAAACTTTTGGTCAGAGCAAGCAGAAGAGCTAGCTGGGCTTAAGCAGCATTTTATCTTTGTTTTTTCAGTGATTGCCTTCATGTTGTGGAGCCCATGCCTGTGCGGGGGCCTGATGTAGAAGCATACTGTCTACGCTGTGAATGCAAATATGAAGAAAGAAGCTCTGTCACAATCAAGGTAAAATATATATCCCTCTATCTACCTGTCTGTCTGTCTGTCTACGTCTTTTCTGCTTCTGGATGGTTTCTAGACAAGACAGAAAAATTTGGACCCCTACCCCAAAAGGAATAATGGGCCTGTTCTGCCTGCCTCACTGACATGGTTTGTGGATTAGTTAGGGTATGTTAGATAGATATGTGAAATGGCACAAAAATGCCCTATGTGTAATTAGCATATTCCAGAAAGATATCCCAGCTTCTGTGTAGGCCATGTGTGCCAGAGGCTGAGAGAGCAGCATTTATAAGCCCTCCTCTCCTTGCCTTTCCAGCCCTTTGAAAAAATTAAATATATAGTAATTATTCTAGAACTATTACTTCTGGATTTTAAGATTTCCCCTCTTCATTTCCTGTAGGACAGTGGTCCCCAGCCCCCAGGCCACAGCCCAGTCTGTGGTCTGTTAGGAACTGGGCCACTCAGCAGGAGGTGAGCAGTGGGCAAGTGAGCAAAGCTTCATCTTATTTACAGCTGCTCCCCATCATTCGCATTACCACCTGAGCTCCACCTCCTGTCAGATGAGCAGCAGCATTAGATTCTCATAGGAGCATGAACTCTATTGTGGACTGCACATGTGAGGGATCTAGGCTGCATGCTCCTTATGAGAATGAGAATCTAATGCCTGATGATCTGTCACTGACTCCCATCACCCCCATATGGGACCGTCTAGTTGCAGGAAAACAAGCTCAGGGCTCCCACTGATTCTATGTTATGGTGAACTGTATAATTATTTCATTATATATTATAATGTAATAATAATAGAAATAAAGTGCACAATAAATGTAATGTGCTAGAATCATACCCAAACCATCCCCTACCACCCCTGGTCCATGAAAAAATTGTCTTCCATGAAACTGGTCCCGTCCCTGGTGCCAAAAAGGTTGTGGAGTATTGCTGTAGTAAATGGGATGTAGATCACTCTCATCACCATTTGTATTTCTAATGAGTTCAGTTACTTTATTATAGTGGCTAATGGTTTTTCTTCCAATTTTTTTTTTTTTTTGAGATGGAGTCTTGCTCTATTGCCCAGGCTGGAGTGCAGTGGTGTAATCTTGGCTCACTGCAACCTCCGCCTCCTGGGTCCAAGCGATTCTCCTGCCTCAGCCTCCTGAGTAGCTGGGATTACAGGCATGCACCACCACGCCCAGCTAATTTTTGTATTTTTAGTAGAGACAGGATTTCACCATGTTGGTCAGGCTGGTCTCGAACTCCTGACCTCGTGGTCCACCCATCTTGGCCTCCCAAAGTGCTGGGATTGCAGGTGTGAGCCACCGCGCCTGGCCTAATTTTTTTTTACATGGCACTTCCCATTCCTTTCCCCCCAAAAGGCCCTGTGGGGAATGTGGGGTGGTTAGTTATAATAGTCACAAACATTTCTGCTGTGATTGACCCTGTGGAAGAGCTCTTGCTCCAGCAGGGTGCTGAACTTTAGATAAATCCTCACTGTACTATTATTTAACAGATTTGTAAAAAATATACAACTTATGTACCCTAAAAGTCACTCACTATAAGTATACAATTCTATAAATTTTAGTAGATTTAAAACATTTTAAAATCCAGTTTCAGGCCAGGCATGGTGGCTCACATCTATAATCCCAGCACTTTGGAAGTCCGAGGCGGGTGGATCACTTGAGGTCAGGAGTTCGAGACCAGCCTGTCCAACGTGGTGAAACCCCATCTCTACTAAAAATATAAAAATTAGCCAGGTGTGGTGGCACGCACCTGTAGTCCCAGCTACTTGGGAGGCTACGGCATGAGAATCACTTGATCCTGGAGGCAGAGGTTGCAGTGAGCTGAGATCGTGCCACTGCACTCCAGTGAGACTCTGTCTCAAAAAAAAAAAAATAAAATCCAGTTTCAGAACATTCCCACTACCCCAAAAAGATCCCTCATGCCCATTTACAGTTAATTCCCATTTCCAGCCCTACTCGGTCACTAGTCTACTTTCTGTCTCTGCATACATGGACATTTCATGTATATGGAATCATATAATATATAGTCTTCTGTGACTGGCTTCTTTCATTTAGCACAATGTTTTTGATGTTTATGCAAGTTGTAGCATGTATCAGTACTTCGTTTCTTTTTATTGCTGAATAGTATTTCACTATATGAATATGCATTTATCAGTTGATGGACGTTTGGATTATGTCTGGGTTTTTACTATTATGAATAATACTGTTGTGAATATCTGCACATATGTCTTTGTATGGATATATATGTTTTCCATTCTCTTGGGTTAATTCCTTAGAATGGTAAAATTATGTTTAACTTTTTAAGAGACTGCCAGATTGTTTCCCAAAGTGGTTGTACCACTTTACATTCCCACCACAGCGTATGAGGGCTGTTTCTCCATATCCTTGCTAATACTTGGTATTGTCTATTTATTTTATTGTAGTCCTTCTAGTGGGTGTGTCACACTGTACTTTTTCTCAGTACATGAATTAAGGTCACAAGAAAAAATCACCGGCCTAGAAAATACTTTTGTATATCTAAATTGAGCTAAAGAGTAGCTGAATTTAGGACATTATGTTCAGCTGGGAAAAGAAACAAACTGCTGTGCTAGCAGTGGTGACAGGTGATTAGCAGTAGGTGAAGTTGGAGTCTTGAAGACTTGCAAAAAAATCCCAAAGATCTTTCCTCTTTTTTTCTTAAATAATACTTTGGTGAAGAGTTGAGTTTATTTCTTATATTGCTATCTGGTTTGTATAGAAATCCTATAGGCTTAGCAGATATGTCAGTCAGTTTTACTATTATCATACAAAGTTCTGATTTATGGGCTTGAACAAAGATGTAACTTAATTTTCAATTTCCTTTAGGTTACCATTATAATTTATCTCTCCATTTTGGGCCTTCTACTTCTGTACATGGTATATCTTACTCTGGTTGAGCCCATACTGAAGAGGCGCCTCTTTGGACATGCACAGTTGATACAGAGTGATGATGATATTGGGGTAAGTTCCCAGCCTGCCCTAGCTGCTCATGGCCAGTCCCTGTCATCATTCGATGTGAAGTGCAAGTGAAAAATAGTCATATATAGATGTTCACGTGCTGAAGCAGATCCTCAACTAGAGAAGCTAAAAACAGCTCTGATTTCAGTATATACCTCTTTATGAAGAAATTGCTTGATGAAGCCATAAATGTGATGATTTAAACGATGATCTTTGGTGAGCATGCTATACAGGGCCTTGCTTTCAGTACCAAAGGCACAATTTTATTGCCATTCCCTGTTTACATTGAGAAAAGTATCAGAGATGGTTTTCTCTCCAAGCTCTCCTGCCTGAAACACCTTCTCTGTCAATATCACCAAATATTTTAGAAGGCAGAGAGGTTTTCATCAAGGGAAGTGTGAAGATCATGATGTTCTTTTCTTAATGAAGTACAACTTGATAACCTGCTGATGTTTTATATTTCCTTTTTTTCTACTGCTTAAAAAAAAATCTGTGGGCCAGGTGTGGGGGCATACACCTGTAATCCCAGCACTTTGGGAGGCCAAGGTGGGAGGATCACTTGAGCCCAGGAGTTCAAGACCACCCTGGTCAACATGGTGAGACCCTGTCTCTACAAAAAATAAAAGCATTAGCCGGGTGTGGTGGTGCATGCCTGTGGTCCCAACTATTCAGGAGGCTGAGACAGGAGTGTCACTTGACCCCAGGAGTTTGAGGCTGCAGAACTGTGATCACACCATAGGACTCCAGCCTAAGCAACACAGCAAGAAGCCTGTTTAAAAAAAAAGAAAAAAAAAATCTGAGATCTTTAGAGAAAAATAAAACCATGACTACCATCACTCCAGATTCTCTTCCTGTCTTTAAATCTCTCACACACACACACACACACGTGTGTACATTATATATGTTTATATATATATATATATAGCGTGTGTGTGTGTGTGTGTGTGTGTGTGTGTATATAGTTGGCATAATCTGTATAAATTGCTTCATGGTCTCCTTTTTGTTTTAATATTCGTTTATTCAAAAATGTCCAGAAATTGACTTAGTCCACAAATCTGTTTTTCAGTGTAGCTTAGAGAATGTTTTTTTTGTTTTTTGAGACGGAGTCTCACTCTGTCGCCCATGCTGGAGTGCAGTGGCGTGACTTTGGCTCACTACAACCTCAGCCTCCCAAGTTCAAGCAATTCTCCTGCCTCAGCCTCCCAGGTAGCTGGTTCTACAGGCACCTGCCACCACGCCTGGCTAATTTTTTTTGTATTTTTAGTAGAGACGGAGTTTCACCATTTTGGCCAGGCTGCTCTTGAACTCCTGACCTCAAGTGATCAGCTCGCCTCGGCCTCCCAAAGTGCTGGGATTACAGGTGTGAGCCACTGCGCCTGGCTGGATATTTTTGTTTCATCATTACCCTGTATGAAATTGTTTCTGAATTTTCCTTTTTTTTTTTTTTTGAGACGCAGTCTCGCTCTGTTGCCCCGGCTGGACTGCAGTGGTGCGATCTCAGCGCACTGCAAGCTCCGCCTCCCGGGTTCACGCCATTCTCCTGCCTCAGCCTCCCAAGTAGCTGGAACTACAGGCGCCCGCCATCGCGCCCGGCTAATTTTTCGTATTTTTTTTTTCTAGTAGAGACGGGGTTTCACTGTGTTAGCCAGGATGGTCTCAATCTCCTGACCTCATGATCCCCCTGCCTCGGCCTCCCAAAGTGCTGGGATTACAGGCGTGAGCCACCGCACCCAGCTGAATTTTCCATTCTTTCATTATTATATATAATTATTTTTTTAGAAATTACTTTTTCTCGTGGATTATTATATTGGACTATGTTCCTTAAAATGGGTAAAATTCAGAATAGTTTTAAGGTTCAATTCAAAAGCCAAACCCAGAGTGAGCCCTTGCCAGCCAGTCAAAAGTCCTTTTACCCTGGAATGGCTCGTGCATCTATAGGCATAGACGTTGAAAGTCTTAAACGACATCCTTCCTTTACAGCGTTAAATATCTGTTCCTGATTTCAGAAATAGACAATATAATAACACAAAACATAAGAGAAATGGATGTAGAGATGAAAACATGTAGGGCAGGCATTTAATTGGTGGGATCACATGCTCAGTAATTGTTTTGTCCACCAGTGATTGATTCTGCTTGTGTATTGACTATTTGAGAACACTGTCTCTGTGAGGCCTGGCTGACTCTTGGATGTCTTTTAAACTGATTCTAGGCAGAGAGGTTTTCTGACCAGAGCTGTGAATTTATGGTAACAACTCTACAAAAATAAGTGAATTTTAATTTTTAAAACTGTTGCTTATCCAAGATGTGAGTTCTGCACTATTTATATACTTTAAAAATGTTTTTGTTGAACTATCAGTTTTCATTTTTTCTGTTTTTGTTCAGTGTAGAGCATTTTAAAGCAAATAAAAGTGAGTACAAATAGTTAAGCTCACTGCAAGTAGTCACAATATTTACTATATCATATATCCATGACACATCATCGTTATTACCAAAGCATTACAGTAAAACATGTTTTGTATTTATTGTAATTTTATCAGGTGTGAAAAGAACAAACATAAAAAGGGTAAATCTCTATTTGCATTCCCCCAGCATCTGTGACCATGAGCAGCTAGTTCAATCTCGTTCTGATGGATAGAGAGCAGACCCAAAGGATTAGCTGGTTTGTTTAGTCTTTTGAACTTGTTCCTTAAGAAGATTTTTCTCCCCTACCTTGAAGAATAGATAACAGCACTAGGCAACTGAGAGGTCCTCTGCCGATCAAGTACATCCTTCTTCCCAGTATTGCTTATGTCAAAACAAACCAATGGTGATAATATTTTCCTCCTCTGGTCCTTGACTTCAGGGGATGATATTTTATACACAAATTCACTGAAGCACCATATTCTTATAGTGTCATTTTAATCTACCTGACCAAAATCTGTTTTGAGACAATATAACACCAAGTCAGGGTTAGGCAGGCTAAGTTTTAGTCTTTATGCTAATTTGTTAAATGACCTTGGGTCAATTTATTGCCATAATGGAAAATCAAGCAATTCTATAACTTTAGCCTGCCTCCTTTTTTTTTTTCTTTTTTAGCTTTTTTCTTACATTTTTTAAAACATTTTAAGCCTCATGAAATTGCCTTTATTATTTTCATTTGTAAGGTTAAAAGTTTAAAAATAGGCTATAGGTCCCAGCTACTTGGGACGCTGAGGCAGGAGGATCACTTGAGGCCAGGAGTTCAAGGCTGCAGTGAGCTGTGATCACACCTGTGAATAGCCCCTGCCTTCCAGCCTGGGCAACATGGGTAGACCCTATTTCAAAAAAAAAAAAAAAATTAAGTTCATGGCCAGTCTGGGCAATATAGTGAGACCCCATCTCTTTAAAAAAAAAAAATCCACTTTTTAAATAACTTGAGTTTTAGGATTTGTACAAGCCATTACCTAAATAAAGTGAAAAGTTGAAGGAATTTTGACAAAGAAGAGGAGGAAAGATTCTTTATAAAAACTCTTTGATATCTTTCAAATGTAGACATTGTATAAATGCCTTGCTATAAAAACAAGACCAGGTGTTCTAACTCCTATAATTATAGTTGTATATATAGTTATGTGGTTATGTATATAGCTTTCCATATACATGCAGACTCCTGCCCTGGATATATAATAGAGCTTTTTCAAACATGCACAGCAAAATAATGTTGTTTCTCTCCTAGAGGCAAAGTTTAGTATAAGAGGTACAACTTGTGACTTGGATCTTCTGTTGGAACATTGAGAAGCTTTGCTAACACGGGGTTCAAGAAAAAGAGATCAAGGAAAAGGCAAACAAAAGCAATAAATTACTATTGAATGCTTTTTGTCATTTAGACAGCTGTGTTTATATCTCATTCATAGATAGATTAGCATGGTGGTTTCCTGTGTAATGACTACAAACATCCAGTTGTACTCGTTTACTTTGACCAGGTTAGGTTGGTTTTCTATACAGATACCTGGGCAACCCTTCAATAGCCTCTTTCCCAAGGCAGCAACTTACATGGAAGCCACTGGGTGCTTAACAATGGAAGATTCAATCTTTGTTGAATAGAGAGGGTGATTGTAGCACTTGAGCTGTGTCTCTTTTCATTACACATTGGGGAAGTGGGGAAATGAGGAAGCTTTTGGAAGCTAATCCATTTAGTGTGTGTGTTGAGGGTACAGGGAGAGATTAAAAACAACCCAAGATAAGACTCTGTCGCTCACCCTCCCAGAGTGATGTGGCCCCAAGCTGGCAAGAAAACAATTCTAATGGAGACAGGAAATTAAAAGACAGATCTTTCCTCTGCCACAGATTAGCTTTATAGTATCGAATAAAGCAAGGAAAGACCCTACTTTCCATATCTATAACATGGAGAGATGTTAACATGAAAATAGATTTTCTTTTCCCTATCAGTTAAGGAAGGCTTCTCTTTAACACAAATGACCACTGTCTTTTGCTTGGTCTCCACTTCTTTAAGGGAAATATCTTTGGAAATGGCAATCCATGGGAACGTTTCACAAATACTCTGTCATCGCTTATGTTTCTTGAACCACCTAGGTCTGTACTTGAGTTCATACTCTATCTGGTAGTTGAGCGCTTAGGAGTGCTTAGCTAAATAGATGCTCTGTTGTTTGAAAAGTCCACCTACCCCTATTTCTGTGGCGGGCTGGTCACTGTTGTGTGTCTATGTTTTACACTGACTGTGCCATCTCTAATGTTCTCCATTCCTGGACTTTTAGGATCACCAGCCTTTTGCAAATGCACACGATGTGCTAGCCCGCTCCCGCAGTCGAGCCAACGTGCTGAACAAGGTAGAATATGCACAGCAGCGCTGGAAGCTTCAAGTCCAAGAGCAGCGAAAGTCTGTCTTTGACCGGCATGTTGTCCTCAGCTAATTGGGAATTGAATTCAAGGTGACTAGAAAGAAACAGGCAGACAACTGGAAAGAACTGACTGGGTTTTGCTGGGTTTCATTTTAATACCTTGTTGATTTCACCAACTGTTGCTGGAAGATTCAAAACTGGAAGCAAAAACTTGCTTGATTTTTTTTTCTTGTTAACGTAATAATAGAGACATTTTTAAAAGCACACAGCTCAAAGTCAGCCAATAAGTCTTTTCCTATTTGTGACTTTTACTAATAAAAATAAATCTGCCTGTAAATTATCTTGAAGTCCTTTACCTGGAACAAGCACTCTCTTTTTCACCACATAGTTTTAACTTGACTTTCAAGATAATTTTCAGGGTTTTTGTTGTTGTTGTTTTTTGTTTGTTTGTTTTGGTGGGAGAGGGGAGGGATGCCTGGGAAGTGGTTAACAACTTTTTTCAAGTCACTTTACTAAACAAACTTTTGTAAATAGACCTTACCTTCTATTTTCGAGTTTCATTTATATTTTGCAGTGTAGCCAGCCTCATCAAAGAGCTGACTTACTCATTTGACTTTTGCACTGACTGTATTATCTGGGTATCTGCTGTGTCTGCACTTCATGGTAAACGGGATCTAAAATGCCTGGTGGCTTTTCACAAAAAGCAGATTTTCTTCATGTACTGTGATGTCTGATGCAATGCATCCTAGAACAAACTGGCCATTTGCTAGTTTACTCTAAAGACTAAACATAGTCTTGGTGTGTGTGGTCTTACTCATCTTCTAGTACCTTTAAGGACAAATCCTAAGGACTTGGACACTTGCAATAAAGAAATTTTATTTTAAACCCAAGCCTCCCTGGATTGATAATATATACACATTTGTCAGCATTTCCGGTCGTGGTGAGAGGCAGCTGTTTGAGCTCCAATGTGTGCAGCTTTGAACTAGGGCTGGGGTTGTGGGTGCCTCTTCTGAAAGGTCTAACCATTATTGGATAACTGGCTTTTTTCTTCCTATGTCCTCTTTGGAATGTAACAATAAAAATAATTTTTGAAACATCCATCAGTGTATCTATCTATGTCTCCTAGTTTTTTCCTCCTCCCTCTTTTGCTGTATAATGAGATTGAAGATATAAAGACATTTTGTACCCTGTTCTGAGACTACTGTTTTATACCAATCTAACCGTAAAATATTGGTGTAAATTATGTGTTTGCATGTATAGACAGAATATATGAATTTGGGGGTGGATCTCTGAAAAGTATACTAATATTTTGATAAATTGGGAGATTTCAAATTCCTGAAGGAGTACTTGTTCTGAGAAATTCTTGGCCCAAAAAAATCAGAATTAAATTCATAAAAGTGAGGTTTTAGGAGCCATTAATGGGATTTTGGGGTTTAGTAAAATTTTAAGCACCTACAAATATATAAATTATCAATTTTATTGTTAGTATTAAAAAATTTAATTTCAACCATGACCAAGTGGGATTTATCCCAGGTATGAAAAGCTGGTTCAACATTTGAAAATAACATTTCTAAAGAAGAAAAATTACATGAATTTTATCAATAGCAGAGAAAGCATTTGACAAAATAACCCCATTCATGATAAAAATTCTCAGGAAACTAGGAATAGAGAACTTCAACTAGATAAAGAAATGAGCTAACAAAAAAACCACAGCTAACATCATATACTTAATAATGAGAAATTAGAAGCTTTCCCATTAAGATCAGGAATAAGGCGAGGACGTCTTCTCTTACTATTCCTTTTCAACATTGCACTGGAAGTCCTAGTTGTACTGGAAGTCCTAGCCAATGCAGTGAGACAAGAAAAGGAAATAAAAGGTATAAATATTGAGAAGGAAGGAATAGAACTGTCTTTGTTTACTGATGCAATGATTGTCTATGTAGAAAACCCAGAAGAATTGACAACAACAATAATAGAACTAATAAGTGATTATAAAGGCTTGCAGGATACAAGGTTAGTATACAAAAGTCAATCAAACCAGGTGCAGTGGCATGTATCTGTAGTCCCAGCTACTCAGGAGGCTGAAGCAGGAGGATTACTTGAAGCCAGGAGTTTTGAGGCTGCAGTGAGCTATGATTGCTGCATGAATAGCTACTGCACTCCAGTCTGGGCAACACAGCAAGACCCTGTCTCTAAAAAATGTCAACCGTTTTCCTATATATCAGCCACAAACAGTGGAATTTGAAATTAAAAACAATACTATTCATAGTAGCACCCCCAAAATAAAATACTTAGGTATAAACCTAGTAAAATGTATCTAAGATCTATATGAGGACAACTGCAAAAATGATTAAATAAACCAAAGAACTAAACAAATGAAGATATATTTCATATTCATTAATAGGAAGGCTCAATATTGTTTAGATGGCGGTTCTTTCCAACTTGATCTATTGATTCAATGCAATCCCAATCAATATCCCAGAAAGTTATTTTGTGGATATTAAACTTATTCTAAAGGTTATAAAAAAGCCAAAGACAGAATAGCCAACACAATATTAAAGGAGAACAACAAAGTCAGAAAACTAACACTACCTTTGAGACTTACTATAAAACTACAGTAATCATGACAGTATGCTACTGGCAAAAAAGACAGATCAGTGGAACAGGATAGAGAACCCAGAAATAGGCCCATATAAATACAGTCAACTGATCTTTGACAAAGGAGCAAAAGCAATACAATGGAGAAAAGATAGTCTTTTCAACAAATGGTGCTGGAACAACTGGACATCCACATGCAAAGAAATCTAGTTACATACCCTGTACCCTTCACAAAAATTAATTCAAAATAGATCATAGGCCTACATGTAAAATGCAAAACTACAAAACTTTCAGAAGATAACATAGGAGAAGATCTAGATGGTGGTGATGACATAGCTGATAAAGGACTGCTATCTAAAATATACAAAAAATACTTAATAAGGGACAAAAAATTTGATTTAAAAATGGGCAAAAGTCCTGGACACCTCACCAAAGAGGAGATACAGATGGCAAATAAGCATATGAAAAGATGTTCCACATCATATGTCATCAGGGAAATGCAAACTGAAACAACAATGGGATACCAATACACACCTATTAGAATGACCAAAATCTACGACACTGATAACACCAAATGCTCTCAAGGATGTGGAGCAACAGGAACTTTCTTTTATTGCTGGTGGGAATACAAAATGGTACAGCAACCTTACAAAACTAAACATACCCTTACTATATGGTCCAGCAATTGTGCTCCATAATAATTACCCAATGAGTTGAAATCATGTCCACACAAAACCCTGCATGCAGATGTTTATAGCAGCTTTACTCATAAGTGCCAAAATTTGGAGGCAACTAAGATTTCCTTTAGTAGGTGAACGGATAAACAAATTGTGATACAACCAGACAATGGAATAATCAGCGCTAAAAAGAAATGAGATTTCAAGCCATGAGAAGACATGGAAGAACCTTAAATGCACACTACTAAGTAAAGAAGCCAATCTGAAAATGCTATATGCGGCCAGGCGTGGTGGCTCACACCTGTAATCCCAGCACTTTGGGAGGCTGAGGCAGGCAGATCATGAGGTCAGGAGATCGAGACCATCCTGGCTAACGCGGTGAAACCCCGTCTCTATTAAAAATACAAAAAAAAAAAATTAGCTGGGCGTGGTGGCGGGCACCTGTAGTCCCAGCTACTAGGGAGGCTGAGGCAGGAGAATGGCATGAACCCGGGAGGCGGAGCTTGCAGTGAGCTGAGATTGTGCCACTGCACTCCAGCCTGGGCGACACAGTGAGACTCCGTCTCAAAAAAAAAAAAAAAAAAAAGAAAGAAAGAAAATGCTACATGCATAATTAACAACTATCTGACATTGTGGAAAAGGCAAAACCATGGAGACAGAAATATCAGCGGTTGCAAGGGGTTAGAGAAGGAGGAGGGATGAATAGGCAGAGCACAAGATGTTTAGGCAGTGAAACTATTCTGTGATACCACAATGGTGAATACATGTCATTATATACTTGTCAAAACCCACAGAATGTAAATGTACAACACCAAGGGTGAGCCCTAATGTAGACTATGGACTTTGGGTGATTATGTATCAATGCAGGTTCATCAGTTCTAACACAGTACCATAATGATGTGGAATGTTCATAGCAGAGGAGGCCATGCACACGTGGGGGCAGGGAGTGTATGAGAATTAGCTCTACTTTGTGTTCAATTTTTCTGTGAACCTACAATTGCTTTAAAAATTAAAGTTGGGGCCGGGCATGGTGGCTCATGCCTATAATCTCAGCATTTTGGGAGGCCAAGGTGGGCGGATCACCTGAGGTCAGCAGTTCGAGACCAGCCTGGCCAACATGATGAAAACCCATCTCTATTAAAAATACAAAATTAGCTGGGTGTGGTGGTGCACACCTGTAATTCCAGTTACTTGGGTGGCTGAGGCAGGAGAATCACTTGATCCTGGAGGCAGAGGTTGCAGTGAGCCAAGATCACGCCATTGCACTCCAGCTTGGGCAAAAGAGCAAAACTGTCTCAAAAAAAATTAAACTCGGCATGGTGCAGCAGTCTATAATTCCAGCACTTTGGGTGGGATTTCTTGAGACCAGGAGTTCAAGACCAGCCAGGCAACAAGGTAAGACCTCATCTCTATAAGAAATACAAAAATTAGCCAGGCAAGTTGGCTCGCACCTGTAGTCCCAGCTGCTCGGGAGGTGGAGGCTGCAATGAGCTGCGGTCATGCCACTGCATTCCAGCCTGGGCTACAGAGTGAGATCTTGTCTCTAAATAAATAAGGAGAGAAGGAATGCTTCTAATATTTATATTTTTAAAAAGATAAAAGTATACTTAAGAAGAAAAAATAAAATGGCTATTTAAGAAAAAGGTATTGGCTAGTTCCTATGATACTGGGTTATCAGAATTTAACATCCACATTCGTGTCACTAAAGTCCCCACTGCTAAATCCAACTGGCTTTAAAAAAATAAAAAGTAAAAAAAAGATGTAAGTTCGTATTGACCTTCCTAGTTCTGGCCTTAACCTCTATCTAAAAGAATACTGGCCAATATTTGCACATTATGAGTCTATTGCTCCATAAATAATTTTGATATAATATCATATAACCCAGAAGAATGGGGGACATTCTTTAAACAAAAGAATTTGTTACAAGTATCCAGTTTTGTAAGCACGCCTTTCTATTTAGTATGGTTATCTGTTGTCATATCTACACATTGGATAGGAAAAACAGCCAAACCAGAACTGAGCAGTTCTGTTTAACTGTAAGCTACTTTGCATATTGTTATTAAATGATCACCTATAAATCAGGTTAAGTCCAACTCAGCCCAAAATACAGCATCCTGACGACAAAACTCAGGTAAGAGACTATTCTCCAGAGTGGCCCGTGGGGAAGAATAAGAACATGATTTTTAAGAAAATCCCTAGGTACAGTTGATAAATACTGAATTTTGTCAGCTATCGGATTATTCCATTATTTCAAACTACCAATTATTCCCCATATAATGGAAGATCCAGGTTTTGCTGGCAATTAAATCATCTAGAAGAGCAGAAGGAGTTTTGATTTGGAAGTCGGGACACTAGGTTCTGGCCCCTGCTCTGCTACTAGCTTTGTAACCTTAGCAACATATCACAACCTATGAGGAAGTTTTAAGTTTCCTTCTAGCTCTAACATTCCATAATTCAATTATATCGGCAGTTGTAGCTTTTTATTTTTTACATGCTACATATCTTTTATATCTCTGAAATTTGAAGCTTTTATGCTCAGCAGAGCATCCAGAATCTCTTACAATTTTATCATTAAGACCTCATCATTTATTTCCCAGAATCGCTCTAAGGCAGAATCTGAGATTTTCCCAACATAGGTGTGTTTGTTAGCTGTGTCTGTATCTGGAACCATGGAGCCCCAGCACTACCAATCTGTGTTGCTTTCTTTTAAAAACTTATACTCAATTCCTACAAACACATCCAGACCCCACTAGGCTTTCTATCTTGATTCTCCTTGTTGCTGCATTTTATTTCATTTTCTCACTCTGTTGCCTTAAATTTTCTTCTTTGAATAAAAGGTGATCATATTTAAATGCTAGTACATTGATTGGTGAACTTATTGGAAATGCTCAACAGAAAAAAACTTCTCATCAATGTGCCTCCAGAGACACCATGCTCTTTTTTCAAGAATTACGAAAATATTGTTAAAACCTAGAAAGTTTTAATTACTTGTGGCATATACAAATTACTCAGATTTCATCTGGGTCAAGATTTAAGATATTGTTTAAATGGTCTTTTAGGGTAAAACCATCACCAAAAGAACGATTTTTGTATAGTTAGGTTTGATGACATCTGCTTTACTTTTTGGTAGCCTGTTAATTCCAGCTTGTTAACTACAGGCAACAATATGGCTCTGCTGTTGTCGGAAGTGCAGTAATACGGGCTCCACACCCATTTGCCACCATTTTGCAGCTTCTGCCATACCCGTTCTTTCTCTCTTACCCTCTAGAATTCCTGGCTTGGGAATTTCCTAACTTGTTTCTCTCAGTAACTTTTTCTTTTTGACAGAATCCTGGCTAGTTTTTAGTTTTCCAGAGATTTTTGTTTTGTTAGTTATCTTAGGTCATTTGGTCAGTAATTTGGAATCTTTCATTTCCTGTTCCTCTGTTTCGATTTTTAATTGGAGCTATCCCACTTATCTCATCCCACCACCCCGTCGCTTTTAAGAAGAGCTTTTCCTGGCATTGACTTCTTTTCCAGCCTCTTTCACCATGACTTACTATAGCCTTTAACCCTGGCCACTCCTCCCTCCCGGCACCCCTGCCCCTGCTGCCCTTGCTGTTTCCCTAGTCCCCTGACCTTCATACTTGAATTCTGGTCTTAGGGGCTGCTCCTCCCACTACACAGTGCAGCCTGCTGAGTTTTTGCTGTATTCAGGTAGAGAAACAAGTGCCAATATTATCTAATCTTGCCCTAAACATTAGGACTGGTGTGTGTGTGTGTGTGTGTGTGTGTATGTGTGTGTGTGTTTAGTATGCCAAGCACAGATAATAACCCCTCACTCCTAAAGATGCTGAAAAATCAACCTGCTGAGAAATTAACACCATATTTCCTTCTTTGATGGAGGCCCACAATTAGACTTCAAGCTGCTTTCCCTTCTCCATTTTAGGTATGTTCCTCATCTCTCAACATGTGTGTTTAGGATAGATCAGTGCTGTGACTCTACAGTGTTAAGGAAAACATAAACCAGGTTTTCTATAAGGTGCAGTTTAGAAAGGAACGCTACATAAGGATTCATTCATCTCTAAAGAAAGGAAAGAGGCAAATGCTGGGTGCATTATAGGCACGGTCACTCCTCTGTACCTGGGGGGTTGGGTTTAGGACTCCCCTTCGGATAACAAAATCCACAGAGGTCCAACTCCCTTACAGAAAATAACGTAGCACTTGCATGGAACCTACACACACCCTCTCAAACACTTTCAATCATCTCTGTATTACTTATAATACCTAATGCAATGCACATTCTATACAAATAGTTGTTACACTGTATTGTTTAGAGGATAATGCCAAGAAAAAATGTCAGTACTTATTTAGTACCCATGCTGCCATCCCTTTTTTCCCCCTGAATATTTTCCACCCATAGTTGGTTGAATACACAGATGTGGAGCTCACCAATATGGAGGGTCAACTGTAGTTTTTTCACTTTATCCTCACAACCACCCTGCAGAATAGTTAGTAGCTCATTTGGACATGGGGAAAGCGAAAGCT
This sequence comes from Homo sapiens, assembly GCF_000001405.40. Lineage (NCBI taxonomy): Eukaryota > Metazoa > Chordata > Mammalia > Primates > Hominidae > Homo > Homo sapiens. The sequence continues at coordinate 8,940,589 of NC_000011.10, read as the reverse complement.
CAGAGAGGTTAAGACACTTGCCTAAGGACACATAGCTAGGAAGGGGTAAGGCCATATTGAAACCTGAGGGTGTTATGACTGAGAGAAAAAGCTCTTTCTCCCCCCGCCTCCAAGTTAACCGGTTACACTGCAGTGGCTCTGTAAAATCTGTTGTTGCTACATGATTACAGGCAGAGGCAAAAAGTAACAGTAGTTTAAAACAGGAGAAGGATATAGACCTATTCACAAAGAAGAAATGCGTTGGTGTGGAACCTCTTGGGTTATACTGCTTCATCCTTGAGTTCTACAAAAACACACACACACAAAAACCAACAAAACTTAACTATAGGCTGGGTGAAGTGGCTCATGCCTGTAATCCCAGTGCTGTGGGAAGATCTTTTGAAGCTAGGAGGTTTAAAATCAGCCTGGGCATCAAGGCAAGACCCCATCTCTACAAAAAAAAAAAAAAGCCAGGCATGGTAGTGCACACCTGCAGTCCTAGCTACTCAGAAGGCTGAGGTAGGAGGATCACTTGAACCCAGCAGTTTGAGATTGCAGTAAGCCATGATCACATTACTGCACTCCAGCCTGGCTGACAGAACAAAACACCACCTCTAAAAATAAAAATATAAAATAAATAAAAAAATTTAAAAACCTAAACATAGCTGCACTTTACTCAATATATTTACAGTTCTACATATGTAAAAACTTGTATATTGACTATGTTTTAAATGTGTAGGGGAAGTTTCTCACCTAAAGGAGTCCCATAGTGAACATTTAAGAGCAAATGATTCCTTTTTTATTTGTATTTTTGGTTTTGCCTCTAGCACATCAGGTATTCTTTAAGAAGGCTATGCCTCTGAGGTTGCATGATCATTAACTAATTCATAATTTCCCTTGCATATATTTGGGTATTTTGGTGTTTCAGCCTTTCCCACACTTTTTTTATTTGCATGTCTTCACGATCACCATTATATCTTTGTTCCACCTGTACTATTATTTACTCACTCTTTGTCTTTAAATCAAATCACGTTTCTTACTCAAGTAGATTTAGTTTTAAGACAAACCTTATGGCCGGGCACAGTGGCTCACACCTGTAATCCCAGCACTTTGGGAGGCCAAGGCGGGTGGATCATGAGGTCAGGAGTTTGAGACCAGCCTGGCCAACGTAATGAAACCCCGTCCCTACTAAAAATACAAAAAATTAGCTGGGCGTGGTGGCGGGCACCTGTAATCCCAGCTACTTGGGAGGCTGAGGCAGGAGAATCACTTGAACCCGGGGGGGCAGAGGTTGCAGTGAGCCGAGATCGTGCCACTGCACTCCAGCCCAGGCAACAACGCGAGACTCTGTCTCAAAAAAAGAAAAAAAGGAACTTTATGTCGCTACCATAAATGTGAAATTACTAGAACTCACAATAAATAGAAGTTAGTAAAGACACTGAATTCTAACTAGACGCTATTGCTTGTTGAAGGCTTTGATCTTAGGAGGATTAGAAAGCATTCTAGGCCAGGCACGGTGGCTTCCTGTGTGTAATCCCAGCAGTTGGAGAGGCTGAGGCAGGCGGGTTGCTTGAGCTCAGGAATTTGAGACCAGCCTGGGCAACATGGCAAGACCCTGTCTCTACAAAAACATACAAAACTTAGCCAGGCGTGGTGATGGCCACGTATGGTCCCAGCTACTCAGGTGGCTGAGGCAGGAGGATTGATGAACCTGGGAGGCTAAGGCTCTAGTGAGCCATGATCACACCACTGCACTCCAGCCTGGGTGACAGAGCCACACCCTGTCTCAAAGGAAAAAAAAAAAAAAAAAAGAATTCTAGTGGTGTGGTGTGGAAGACACATTCTCAGCAGACTAAGGTTGTATCTTTATAACCACAAGGATTGAAAAAGAACGGAAGGACAATAACTTTCTCATAAGGTGATTCAATGTTATTTAGTGCTGTTTCTGTGTACCATCAAAAATCCTCTTACTACACACAGAATATTATAACACCATCTCATTGTCCACATGAGCTCAGAAATTGGTCATCAAAGCAGAAAAGTCTTTAAAACATTGATCTCCGGCCGGGCGTGGTGGCTCACACCTGTAATCCCAGCACTTTGGGAGGCTGAGGCGGGCGGATCACAAGGTCAAGAGATCGAGACCATCCTGGCCAACATGGTGAAATCCCATCTCTACTAAAAATACAAAAATTAGCTGGGTGCAGTGGCAGACGCCTGTAATCCCAAGCTACTCGGGAGGCTGAGGCAGGAGAATTGCTTGAACCCAGGAGGCAGAAGTTGCAGTGAGCCGAGATCACGCCACTGCACTCCAGCCTGGGCAACAGAGCCAGACTCCATCTCGAAAAATAAAATAAAATAAAACATTGATCTCCAAGAAAGTAGATCATATCTGCTCTCTATCTGACCACATTGTTAAACTTGGTTATGTTTGCAGGTTAAAGAGGAAATGATGGACAACAGAGGCAACTCTAGTCTACCTGACAAACTTCCTATCTTCCCTGATTCTGCCCGCTTGCCACTGACCAGGTCCTTCTATCTGGAGCCCATGGTCACTTTCCACGTGCACCCAGAGGCCCCGGTGTCATCCCCTTACTCTGAGGAGCTGCCACGGCTGCCTTTTCCCAGCGACTCTCTTATCCTGGGAAATTACAGTGAACCCTGCCCCTTCTCTTTCCCGATGCCTTATCCAAATTACAGAGGGTGCGAGTACTCCTACGGGCCAGCCTTCACCCGGAAAAGGAATGAGCGGGAAAGGCAGCGGGTGAAATGTGTCAATGAAGGCTACGCCCAGCTCCGCCATCATCTGCCAGAGGAGTATTTGGAGAAGCGACTCAGCAAAGTGGAAACCCTCAGAGCTGCGATCAAGTACATTAACTACCTGCAGTCTCTTCTGTACCCTGATAAAGCTGAGACCAAGAATAACCCTGGAAAAGTTTCCTCCATGATAGCAACCACCAGCCACCATGCTGACCCTATGTTCAGAATTGTTTGAGTTGCTGTTTCCAAATAGAAATGAATAATATCACAAAATGGGGTCTCTTACGGCATCATTCAATAGTTTTTCCTAAATGTAATTTCCATGTGGGCAGGAAATAGCTCAAATGCTAACCTATGCTGGGTATTACTCGCTTGGGCTTCAATTGTACTAAACATGATCTCATGTAGGTTGAGGAGCTGCTCTGCTTCTTTCACGAACTCTAGGGGAGCAGGGGGCCCCAGAGTTTCTGCATGTCTCACCCTGCCCTTCTCACATGCTCGGCCAGAGGCTGAGCATGTGAGAAGCTCTCACGGAAGCTTGTGAAGCGTGACTGCTAACTACCTGATGCCGGTCGTCACTTCGCTGAAGCGTCGTGCTGAGCAATCACAATGAACTTCTCTTTATTTGTCAACATTTGGAGATTTTTACTTATTGGGGATTGACAAGAAGTCACCACCATGGGAAAGTGTCTTGGGGCTAAAGTGAAAGTAGTTTACAAAACCTTGTTGTTATTTGAAATTATTTCAGATGCATCATTTTCCTGCATGCAGACTTCTTCAGGCAGCTTAGTATAGGGTCTAAGAAGGCAGAGCTGTGGCCGGGCTTGGTGGCTCATACCTGTAATCCCAGCACTTTGGGAGGCCGAAGCGGGCGGATCACAAAGTCAGGAGATTGAGGCCATCCTAGCTAATGCGGTCAACCCCGTCTGTACTAAAAATACAAAAAATTAGCCGGTCATGGTGGCGGGCTCCTGTAGTCCCAGCTACTCAGGAGGCTGAGGCAGGAGAACGGCGTGAACCTAGGAGGCGGAGCTTGCAGTGAGCCGAGATTGCGCCACTGCACTCCAGCCTGGGTGACAGAGCGAGACTCCATCTCAAAAAAAAAAGAAAGTCGGGCTTGGTGGCTCATACCTGTAATCCCAGCACTTTGGGAGGCCGAGACAGGCGGATCACGAGGTCAGGAGATCGAGACCATCCTGTCTAACACGGTGAAACCCCGTTTCTACTAAAAATACAAAAAATTAGCCGGCCTGGTGGAGGGCGCCTGTAGTCTCAGCTACTCGGGAAGCTGAGGCAGGAGAATGGCGTGAACCCGGGAGGCGGAGCTTGCAGTGAGCTGAGATCGCGTCACTGCACTCCAGCCTGGGCGACAGAGCGAGACCAGACCTGTATCTGCAGTATAACTCTGCTACCTCTTCTCTATGTCTCGGTTCTTCTCCACAAAATGAGAATAACAACAACAGCAATTCCCATGTGTTTATGATGATGATTAACAGACCTTGACATGTAATAAGTATTCATAATGATTAAAAACTTTTTTTTGAGATGGAGTCTCACTCTGCTGCCCAGGCTGGAGTGTAGTAATGCAATCTCAGCTCACTGCAACCTCCGCCTCCTGTGTTCAAACAATTCTCTGCCTCAGCCTCCCGAGTAGCTGGGATTACAGGCACCCACCACCACACCCAGCTAATTTTTTTTGTATTTTTAGTAGAGATGGGGTTTCACTATGTTGGCCAGGCTGGTCTTGAACTCCTGACCTCATGATCCACCTGCCTCGGCCTCCCAAAGTGGTGGGATTACAGGCATGAGACACCACTCCCAGCCAAAAACATTTTTTTTAGAGATGGGGTCTTCCTATGTTGCCCAGGCTGGTCTCGAACTCCTAGCCTCAACCAATCCTCCCACCCCTGCCTTCTAAAGTGTTGGGATTACAGGTGTGAGCCACTGTGGCTGGCCATCATTACTGATTATTATTATCATTATCTTGTTTTGTCCATAGCATCACCATTCTCTAGGTTCTCTAAGCTAGAAAACTTGGAGCTGCCAGGCCTTTCCTTCATACCTGGGAAGGACAGTCCCTGCCCCGTATCTTGGGGTCTGCCTTCAAAGTGTGTCTATTTCTGCTTCCATGGCCAGCTTCAGCTCTTCCTTCTCCTTTAACTCCCAGGTCCCATCTGTCCCAAGGCCCAGTCAGTGACCTATCCCACACTGTCTATCACACTCCTCTCCACTGCTATGCCTCTATGAAGTCTTCTCCAACTTCCTATCCTAGCCGTTACTTCTTCCTTTATTTTGTATAAATATTTCTCTTGTGGTTGCTATCCTGCTATCTTTAGACACTTTACACACCTATCTCTGTCTTCTTCAGTAGACTGCAAGTTCCTTGAAGATAATTCATCCAGCCTTATTCATCTTCTATTCCTAGTACCCAGCAAAGAGCCTCAAATCAGGAAGGTGTCGGTGAATATCTGTTGTCACTGTTTTCTTATTCCAATCCCGTCACCTGTGTCTGGGTTATTGGTAGCAGTCTCCTGTCTGGCCTCTTGGGATGCGTTCTCAACAGGCTCCACCCTCACTCTCTCTGAAGGTATTTCATGTCACTTCATCGCTTAAGCTGCCTGATGACTTCCTTCTGAACGCCACCTTGTTTAAATTTATCAGCTTAGTTTTCAAAGCTCCCTACTGCAAAACAAAGCAGCAAACATAAGAAGCCGTGTTTTCTCATTTCTCCTTGCCAGCAACATTTCACAAAGCCCCTGACTCTTACCGCAGGCAGCTCTTTCGCTCTTCAGAAAGAAGCTTTGAAGACACGACAGGACAGAGTACACGCCCCTCTCCCTCCTCCACCCCGTCATCTCCTGCCTGAGTCACTACATTCCTTAAAAGATAAATGACCCGAGTTTTGGCCTTTTCCTATATGTAAGATAACATCTGATGGGATTAGCGATGATGCCTCTGTAATCTATAAGCAGGATTACTCTCACACCCACACTCTGATGTGAGTCTGCTTTAATGTGACTCCTAAGCAAGTTCAATGTGATTTTGCATGTGCTGAACCCATTTCCCCCAAACAGAAAATCACAGTCTCGCAAATGTATCCTTCTCTCTTCTCTCTTACTTCCTACCTAAACTAGAATATTCTCCTTTTCCCCTCCTCCACTGAAATCCCACTGTCTCATTCAAGAATCATTCTTTCACTGCCAGAGACTTCACGGGTATTTTTTAATTTATTTTTTATTTTTTGAGACAGAGTCTTTCTTTGTCACCCAGGCTGGAGTGCAGTGGCGCGACCTCGGCTCACTGCAACCTCTGACTCCCTGGTTCAAGCGATTCTCCTGCCTCAGCCTCCCGAGTAGCTGGGATTACAGGCGTGTGCCACCATGCCCAGCTAATTTTTTGTATTTTTAGTAGAGACGGGGTTTCACTGTGTTAGCCAGGATGGTCTCGATCTCCTGACCTCGTGATCCACCTGCCTTGGCCTCCCAAGTGCTGGGATTACAGGCATGAGCCACCGCGCCCGGCCATGGGTCTTTCTTAGACTCTCTGTGTGCCAAATAACTCCGCCTTGGTATACGGTCCTGGGCAGCAGTCATTCTCCTGACTATGAAGTGATGCTTCGGGAGGGCAGTCATCAGTTAAGAGGCTTTTGGTTGCAAGTAAGAAACAGCCCAATCCAGAGTGGCATAATCAATAAGGGGAATTATTGGCTCACAGAGCTGAGGCCTAGAGTAGCAGCACTGCCTGCAGGCAGGACTCAGTACTGTCACCGAGAACCTATTTTCAGCTGGGCGTTGGGGTGCATGGCTGTAGTCCGAGCTCCTTGGAAGACTGAGGCAAAAGCATCCCTTGAGCCCAGGAGTTTGAGGCCAGCCTGGGCAACCCTGTCTCAAAACAAACAAACCAACCAACCCTCTATTTCCTGAGGTCTATCCTCTCTTTCTCTGGGAATAGCTTCAGTGTTCCCAAAAGGCTGTCAGAGGCTCTCAGAACTATCAGCTTTCTTATTCAGGCATAGGAAGAAAGAGAAAGCCTATATCCCAGGATTCCCAACCAAAGTCTCCAGATTCCTGCTGATTGGAGAGGTTCAGGAACACGCCACTGCCTGACCAACCCCTGGGGCCAGACGGGGATGGAAGGGGTGACTGACACCCACTCTACCCCTGGAGGTGGGTACTTTGGCCTCCCTATCCACATGGATCTGCCAACTGAAACAGGACCTGGTAGAAGCGGGGTATGAATGTGGGGGAGACACATCCAAACGTGCCTGCATACCAGGCATATAACCAGTGCACAGTGACTGGCAGAGGCCTCCAAATACGAGCCCCTCCCACAAGCAGAATCTGGACTTCTGTTCCTTTGTTGCCAGTGTCCACACCTCTCACTCCAAATGGTCACAACACCTCTGCTCCTCAACAGAGTCCTGCCTGTTATAGACAAACAGGCCCACACCTTTGGTTATTTTGGTTTAGACTAGGGACAAATTCTATCCTAGAGTCCCCAGGCCGCCAGTGGCTCCCCCATTCCTGCCTCTAGTGTGTACAGGGAGGACGCCCTCAGTTTCTGCGGAGGTGGCTCCTCCCTCACAGGAGTCTCCTGGGATCCGTGAGGGCTTCCCACCACCACTGACTCTTCCAGCAGTGGAGCAGCCTGAGCTTTGGAGAACTGAGGCTACACTGGCCTTTTTCCCTTCTTCCTCCTCCTCTTCTCTCCAAAGGGAAACCTGGAGAACACCCCCTCCCCCATCACTTCCTGCCCCACCCCTACCTCCCAAGGCCTCCTGTCCCCCTCTCCGCATGCTCGGTGCACTCACTGGCCACAGACGACAGCGTCCCCAGGCTGCACCCATGGTAACCGGCGTGGCAACCAGGAGTCGGTTGGGCTGAGACCCTGAGCCCCAACTGTCAGAAGGAGCCTGAGGCTGAGGTGGAGGCTGGGAGTTTGGGGCTGTGGGTAAGTCCTTGTGGGGTCAGACCTGTGGACTTGGGCAGGGGCAGACCCTCACGGGGCTCTGGTGGGCTGCAGCAGTGCGGCTTGATCTTGGGCCCTGGTGGCAGCTGTCTCCTCTGAACAGGGCTGGAAAGGGGATGGACGGCCCTGAGATCTCAGCTTGCCTGAGGCCAGAACTAGCCTTGTAGGTGGCCGGGGAGGAGGAAGGAGGAAAAATACTAACATAAGTTGAGCTGCTGAATACGCCAGGTGCTTTCCATGTATTCTATCCTGAGTGTAACTGGAGAGCAGAGGTTAAGTGAGCACACAGCCAGCAGGCTGTAGGGGAGGATTTAAAGCTGGGCTGCTCTAAACTCACAGCACTTGCTCTTCCAATCCCTTCCCTGTTTCCTGAGTGGAGGTTCCCAAGGCAGGTGACTCAAAGAGGAAACTGTGAGAGTTTGTGGGAGCAGGTAGGGCCGTGCATGGACTCAACTGTCCCCAGAGGCAGCTAACTGCAGAGCTGAGCCCTGCCTCGCCCCGGTGGCCACTGCTTGCTTCAAGCTGCAGCTCAGGTAATGGTGGTGCCTATTCTCAGGTGGATCCTCTGAAGGCCATGGAATCCTCCACGGGGCCCAGGATGCCTTTGCTCAAATACTGCAGCGTGGCCACAAGCCTGAAGGCCCCTGGCTGGGACGGTGCTGCTCCACCTTGGGACCTCTCCTTCACCTACCCCTTTGCCCTCCAAGCACCCTGGCTCACCGGGCACAAGCCCCTTGCAAGGTACCTGTCTCTGCCCCTCTGGGGGAAGTGGATGCCCTTTTCTTTTTCCTTTGTTCTTGGCTGTTGGTGGTAGACCTTGGTGGACAGACTTGCTTCCTGAGAAGGTGGAAAGGGGTCGTCATTGTTTGGCCTATGATTGGCATATCTGTGTGGGGTCTGTCACTCCAGCCTACATTGTGCTCCCAGAGCCCTCCAGGGTTGATCTGGCTTTAGCAGAGTTGCAGATGCTGCAGTTGGCATGAGTAAGAGAAGGCAGTTAGGGATAGCCAGTTACCAAGTTTATAGCTCATTTTACCATCAATGCTGAGACTTGGCTGGGCGCAGTGGCTCACACCTGTATACAATCCCAGCACTTTGGAAGGCCGAGGCAAGCAGATCACTTGAGGTCAGGAGTTCGAGTCCAGTCTGACCAACATGGCAAAACCCCATCTACTAAAAACACACAAAAAATTGGCTGGGCATGGTGGCTCATGCCTGTAATCCCAGCACTTTGGGAGGCCAAGGCAGGTGGTTCACCCAAGGTCAGGAGTTCGAGACCAGCGTGGCCAAGATGGTGAAACCCCGTCTCTACTAAAAATATAAAAATTAGCCAGGCATGGTGGCGGGTGACTGTAATCCCAGCTACTCAGGAGGATGAGGCAGAGAATTGCTTGAACTCGGAAGGTGGAAAGGTTGCAGTGAGCCGAGATCGCACCATTGCACTCCAGCCTGGGTGACAGAGTGAGACTCTGTCTCAAAGAAAAAACAATAATTAGCTGGGCGTGGTGGCACATGCCTGTATTCCCAGCTACTCAGGAGGCTGAGGCAGGAAAATTGCTTGAACTCGGGAGGCAGAGGTTGCAGTGAGCCGAGACAGCGCCACTGCGCTCGAGCCTAGGGAACAGAGTGAGACTCTGTCTCAAAAACAAAACAAAACCAAAAAAAAAAAAAAAGAGACTTGCTCAGCCACCATATGAGAAATCAGCTAATGTGGGGTCTCCAGGTCCCTCTTCAGGTTCCCTCGGTACCCCTCCTTTGTCCAGGATTTTCCTGAATAGGATCCTCAGTCTGCTTTCTAAAGCGTGGATACAAGAGGCCAAAGGCACCACAGCCCTATATACACATGTGGAGCGTGTCATCTCCAGGGACTCGCATTCCTGCTGCCTGATCCATTCTGCCCACATTAGGGACATGCCAGCTTGAAAGATCCTTAATGGCTCCCTTTCGTGATCCACCCGGTGGACCATCCTGTTCAAGGCTAGAGTTAAGCATGGGACTTTAGATGCCAACAAGCACAGGAAGGAGGCTGAGGGGGGCTGAGGGCAGCTCAGCATGGGTCTGCAGGAGCTCCTCAGCACGAACAGCCTGGGTGCAGTGACGGCATGTTGATGGCAGCAGGAGGCAGACAGGCCCCCTTTGCATTCAGCCTTGCCCACAAAGTAAAATGGCTTCTTCAAAAACCCAAACCCTGACTCAACAACTCCCCTAGGCCAACTGGCCCTGACCACAACATTTTCTGGAACTAGCATCTCCTTTTTCTGTCCCACAGCCCCTTAGCTCCTCTGGGTTGTCCCTGCCCAAACACTTCCTCATCCCTCTGACCCCACAGCATCAAGTGGCATTACAATTTCACACCCTCGGCATTACTATCCAAGCTTCCACGCCTCATCCTGGAATCCCACACGCCGCCTTAGGATTGACCTACCTGGCACTTTTTTTTTTTTTTTTTTTTTTTTTTGAGACAGAGTCTCGCTCTGTCACCAGGCTGGAGTACAGTGGCGCAATCTTGGCTCACTGCAACCTCCGCCTCCTGGGTTCAAGCGATTCTTCTGCCTCAGCCTCCTGAGTAGCTGAGACTACAGGCACCCACCACCACGCCCACCTAATTTTTGTATTTTTAGTAGAGGTGGGGTTTCACCGTGTTGTCCAGATAGTCTCGATCTCTTGACCTCGTGATCCGCCCATCTCGGCCTCCCAAAGTGCTGGGATTACAGGTGTGAGCCACTGCTCCCGGCCCCTGGCACTCTTTTCTTTTCTTTTTTTTGATAGGGGTCTCACCTTGTCACCCAGGCTGGAGTGCAGTAGTGTCATTTCAGCCCACTGCAACCTCTACCTCCCAGATTCAAGCAATCCTCCTATCTCAGCCTCCCAAGTAGCTGGGATCACAGGCTCACACCACCACACCCAGCTAATTTTTTGTATTTTTGGTAGAGATGGGATTTCACCATGTTGCCCAGGCTGGTCTTGAATTTCTGAGCTCAAGTGATCCATCCACATCGGCCTCCCAAAGTGCTGGGATTACAGGCTTGAGCCACACTTTTCCAGTCTGTTGTCTAGTGTAGGAACAAGCATCAATTAACTTGAATGTATCAAGGCGAATTACATTTTGGTTGCCTTGAACCAACTCCCAATCCACCAAGGATGGTTCCCTTCACTGTCCTCTCCTTCTGCCCCTCCCGGAGGTTTACCTTATCCTTCCGGAAGTCATAGATTGCCACTTTCCATATGGATTTCTGTTCCGCATGCCTCATGTGCTGTGGTGTACCTCAGATGTACCTGCGAAACGTGTTTCTTGATGTGTTTAGGGCTTGTTGCTCTCTATCCACTAATTCCATTTGCTTTTTTCCAGGCATGCCTCTTCTTGCCCATGTCTCCACGTTGCCGACCCAGCATGGCAGGGGCCTGGCTGGCTGGGAAGAGCTGGAGATGCTGCCAACACATGGGTCCTAGCAAGAAGGGAAGCAGATGGTTTTTACTACCGGGCCCAAATAAAGGCCACTCCCGAGGCAAGTCCCTGACCCCAGTATCTCCCTGGCGTGCTCCTCTGGGTGGCCTTGTCATACCTGACATGCCTTAGCTGTGTACATCTAGCAGGCTGGTTTCTTGCATAAGCACAGCTCTCCCATGGCCATGTTGTAGAAGTGAACATGTAATACCATTGAGTGTATTAGTTTGCTAGGGCTCCCTAACAAAGTGCAACAAACGGAGTGGCTTAAACCACAGAAATGTGTCATCTCCCATTTCTGGAGGCTGGAAGTCCAGGGGTTGGCAAGGTTGGTTCCTTCTGAGAGCTATGAAGAAGAATCATTCCCATGCCCTGCTTCTGGCTTCTCATGGCTTGCTGGCAGGCTTTGGTGTTCCTCAGCTTATAGAGGCATCGCCTTGATCTCTGCCTTTACCTTTATGGGGCTTTCTCCCTGAGTGTGTGTCTGCCCACATTTCCCCCTTTATAAGGACATCAATCACACTGGATTAGGGACCTGCCATATTCAGTCCTCATCTTAATTACATTTGCAATGCCCCTATCCACAAATAAGGTCACATTCTGGGGGCTAGGACTTCAACATATGAATTTGGCAGGGGGCAAGGCATGTTGGCTCATGCCTGTAATCCCAGCACTTTGAGAGGTGGTGGTGGGAGGATTGCTTGAGGCCAGGAGTTCAAGACCAGCCTGGGCAACACAGTGAGACCCTGTCTCTACAAAAAATTTAAAAATGAGCCAGGCATGGTGGCACATGGCTGTAGTCGCAGCTACTTGGGAGGCTCAGGCAGGAAGATCACTTGAGCCCCAAACTGATGGCATCATTGCACTCCAGCCTGTGGGAGGAGGGTGGAGGTGGGTAACGGGACACAATTCAATGCATAACAGAGAAGAAAGTGTACTTTAAAAGTACTTTGTTGCGGAAAATTCAGTGTGTTGAATGAACACTAGCCTAAGGGAAAGGTGGAACGAGATATGTTTGCTCACATGCATGGGTGTGTGCTGGTACAGAGAAGCACACTCTCGCCATGCTGGGGGCCAGGCCTGGCCTGTACTTCAGTGGCTACTCACTTCTTTTTTTTTTCTTTTTTTCAGAGTCAGACTTACTTTGTGAATGTAGATTCATGAAGGGAAGACTAGTGTAAATTCTTTAAAAATATGAATTTCAGAATTTCCAATCAAAAGTCAGTTTTTGGCCAGGTGCGGTTGCTCACACCTGTAATAACAGCACTTTGGGAAACCAAGAAGGGTGGGTTACCTGAGATCAGAAATTCGAGACCAGCCTGGCCAACGTGGTGACACCCCGTCTCTACTAAATATACAAAAATTAGCTGAGCCAGGTGGTGGGCTCCTGTAGTCCCAGCTGCTCGGGAACCTGAGACAGGAGAATCGCTTGAACCCAGGAGGCAGAGGTTGCAGTGAACCAAGATCACGCCATTGCACTCTAGCCTGGGTGACGAGCGAAACTCCGTCTGGAAAAAACAAAAAAAAGTCAATTTTCAAGTAACTAATATGTGAATTAAAATGAAATTCTAGCAAAGCTTTGCTCAAATATAGGTTCTGTCCAGTGATTTGGTAAAAATAATTTATAACCAGAGTTTATTTCTCTTCTAAATCACAGAGTACTTGAAACAGCTTGTACTTTTAAGTAGCTGCAGCACTGTTCTCTCACTTTTGCTATTCATTTGCTTAGCTAACCCTTTCCTCGTTGACTGCAAGGGCAGTGCTGAGGGCAGCTCTGTGGCCACAATCGCTCCTTGCCTACATGAGCCTCATAGGTGAACAACCATCCTGTTGGTCTTGGACACATCCCTGGTTGGTCTTGGACACAGGAGCGACGCTTCTTGGGGGTGCTGGAAGGAGGAGATTGCATTGAGAAAAGGTCCAGGGAGGACCCAGGTAACTCCTGGCAATTGCAGGTCAAAAATTTGGTAGGAGGAAAGAAAACCAGGCAAAGGAAGGGAATGGAAAGGCAGAGGCAGGAAGTGATCCACAAGAGTTGCCCGAGGCAGGAAGAGATTCAGGGGAGCACAACCGTGCCACACAGCCTGCCTGTCTTGGCTTTGACTGGCTTGAAGCAGCATCTGCCCTGTCCCTTCTTTAGGTGCCTGTCACTGTTTGGAAGGCAGCCCCTGGGCCTGATTTGGGGGGCATCGTAGGGAACCTGGGTGCTCCCTATTGTACTTTGTAATGCCAGGTCTTATTCTGAGTGTTTTCTTTCCCACAGCTGGAGAGACAGGGGGTCCTGCTTGTGGAATTCGAGGCTCCTCTTGTCGCAGGCCCAAAGCTGCCAGCCCAGCAGCAGAGAGTGGTCTTAGAAGAGGATGTCATTCCTCTCTCACCATCTGTAGGATACTCACTGAGACCAGGGGATAAGGTGCTGGCACTCTGGGAGCCAGGCCAACAGCAGTATGGCCCTGGCACTGTTCTTTTGGGCTTGGAGATGAGAGATCCCCAGAGAGGTAAGAGAAGCTGCTCTGACCCATCAGTGCCCAGAAGGAGCCAGGCTGTAATCAGGCCAGAGGAGAGAGCCAAGGCTGCGTCTACAGCTTAGGGGTTTCTAAGGCATTAAGAAGAGAATTTTTCCCCCTTGCTTGCTGCTTAATCTTGAGGGCAGCAACAGATGCCTCAAGATGCACAGTGTATCTTTCAGATTATTAAAAAAAAAATTGTAATCAGGGTAAATGGCCTAAAACTCTCATATCTATGTTGGTTAGCTAAACCATGGTTTAGCTACTCACAACCCAGCCCTCACCAGGTCCTCCAGGGACCAGACAGTCCTCTTCTGCAGGGTCAGTCAGCACCATTGTAATTCAGAGAATGACAGAATGAGGCTTCTACTGAGAATGCATTTTGGTTTTGACAAGAAAAGTGAGCCCCTGCAGGCCACTGTAGTCCAGGAGGCAGGGAGGCTCAGGCAAGTCCTTGGGAAGTGGAGGTAACTATGGTGCAGGTGAAGGATGTTCCTGGCAGGCTCTCCACGGAGAGGTGCATGTGAGGAGCCACGCAGCCAGAGCAGCGGGGCCAGGCTGAAGCTCTGCCTTTGCCTGTGTGGGTAGGAGAGGCTTTATCCCATGATTAGGACGTGGAAGCTACTTCGGAGGCTGAGGCAGGAGGATGGCTTGAGCCTGGGAGGTTGAGGCTGCAGTGAGCTATCACTGTGCCACTGCACTCCAGCCTGAGCCAGACCCTGTCTCAAAAAAAAAAAAAAAAAAAGAAAAGAAAAAAAGAAAAAAGAAAAAAAAGGAGATAATTGGTAATTATAACAAAATGTTGCCATTTTTTGTTATGTAGCATCAAAGGAAAAAGAAATCACTGTTCATTTCTGGAATGGCAAAGCTGCTAAAGTGCCCCTAGGTGGGGTCCAGTCGGTGTCCCTGACCATCTGGAAGAAGGCTGTGGAGAGGCTGCACAAGTCTTTCACCAGGGAGCACCCCAGGCCCCTTCACTGGGCCCCTTGCTGCTCTCTGCTAGGGCCAATCACTGGGCGCATCACTAATGAGCTTCCTCCGGATGCTCCATTCCTGTGCCCTCTCTGCCACCATCATGCCTGCTGCCAGCTACTGTGCCAGGGCTGCCTCTGTGGCTGCCCGCCATGTGGCACGACTTGGTGGCCTCTAACCAGGACCTCAGAAGTCATGGCCAGAGAACTTCCAGAGTTGGAGCCCACAGCACAGCTTTTGCCCCTGGAAGGTCCTAAAGAGGAGAAAGTAGCAATGCACGCTCCCCTGGCTGTTTCTTCCTCCTCATCCTCCTCCTGTGAACAAGACGGTGTGGAGAATGATCTGGAGATGGGCCCTCCCCAGAGACTGATGGTGAACAGTGCAGTCAACACAGATCCCATCTTTCTTGAGATGCCTCTGAGACAGAGTGGCCTCTGCCAGCCTGAGTGGAGGTATTGGAAGAGAAACGGGCCTGAGCCATGCCTTGGGAAGCCAGGTATACCAGGGGAGTGGGCTTGCTTTCTAAGGCAGGGGCTGGGGCCCCGCCTCCCTTCCCTCCCACATGTCCCTTAGGAATTTGATGCACGTGTCCACTCTGTTGGGACTGCAGTAATCCTTGGGAGTCTGGTCATGCTGAAGAGGAGGCTGTGGCAAGAGGGAAATAGCAGGTTTCCATTTCAGCTATGAGGCCCAAAGGAGCAGAAGGATGAACTGATCTTTGTGCTAAGGTTGCATCCCTATTTAATACCTGCCTTTTTCTTTCTTCACTAGTCTCTACTGATAGAGCACTGCCATTGTCTGTTTTTAGTCTCCTCCTTTTTTCTTGGAGGCCTTGGTTTTTCTCTAGATGAACAGTCCAAATGCCTCCAGGTGTTGATCAGAGTTGATGCACTGAAGCATAGAAACTGGTCTTGAGCATTGGTCGTGAGGCCCCACTCTCCTGCTGGTTCCCTCAGTAAGTGAGCGGGGAGGACCCGGGCACTGCGATGTGCTTCTTATCCCTCATGGCCAACAGGGAAGCCGTGTCCTGTTGCTGCTGGCAGTCTGCAGCCAGCCCCACACTGCATCGCCTCCAGCTGAGAACTGTGTGGCGGGCCCTGCTAGGTTCGGGGAGCCCATCCTATCTAAATTCCCAACGGAGTCTGGAAAGAGCAGAAGCCTGTCAGAGCTGTGTGAAGGAGGTGGCCTGGAAAAGTCTGGCCCTTGACAAGATTCTGGGAGTCCTGGGGTCACTGAACGTATCTGGGGCAGGGAGGCTGTGAGGTGAAGGAACACCACTGCTAAGGGCTTAGATCTCTAGGCACTGCCCACACTGGGACCCACTGGGGGTCCCTGGTTGAAACCATAGCCCTATTTCTAGGACAGCCACTGAGCCAGAAGGACTGCTCAGCCCATGAGGGTTTTTGTTGTTGTTGTTGTTGTTGTTGTTTTGAGACAAAGAGTCTCACTCTGTTGCCCAGGCTGGAGTGCAGTGGCATGATTTTGGCTCACTGCAACCTCTGCCTCCCAGGTTCGAGTGATTCTCATGCCTCAGCCTCCCCAGTAGCTGGGATTATAGGTGCATGCCACCATGCCTGGCTAACTTTTTGTATTTTTAGTGGAGATGGGGTTTTGCCATGTTGGCCAGGCAGGTCTCGAACCCCTGGCCTAAGTGATCTGCCTGCCTCGGCCTCCCAAAGTGCTGGGATTACAGGCGTGAACCACCAAGCTGGCACCAATGAAGATTTAAATCTTGCCCCAAGGGTAAGGATTTTATTAGTGTTCAGTTCCAGGAAGTTGAGAAATTGTTTGTAATGAGAAGCTTTCCTGGTGACTCCTCTGAACCCCTGGGCTTTGGGAGGGGTGGGGAGGAGTGTGTCTGCTGCACTTGGATTTTATATGAGGATTTTTCCCCTATCTCTCATAGGCCCAGCTGTGCTCTTCCTCCACTCTCCAGGAGGAAACTTTGTATTGAAAACATAAAATGGGGAGGTGGGTCCTGGGCTTCTGTGAAATGGGTTACTCCAATCTTGCAATGGCAAGCCTTGGCAGCAGCCACTCAGAAGTGGCGATTTCGCTGGGCACAGTGGCTCACCCAGCACTTTGGGAGGCCGGGGGGTGGGGGTGGGGGGTGGATCACTTGAGGTCAGGGGTTTGAGACCAGCCTGACCAACAAAGTGAAACCCCGTCTCTACTAAAAATACAAAAATTAGCCAGGCATTGTGATGCACGTCTGTAATCCCAGCTAGTTGGGAGGCTGAGGTATGAGAATCAGTTGAAGCTGGGAGGCAGGGTAAGCCACTACACTCCAGCCTGGGCGACACAGCGAGACTCTGTCTGCAAAAATAAAAAAAAAGAAAAGAAAGAAATGCCGGTTTCTTTCTCCATTCGAAAGAAATGAAGTTATGGAGAATTTAGCATGAAAACTCTAGAGTTTGGCACCATTTTCTTTATATTATCACTTGTAGAGAGGGCATAAAGAAGATGGCACCGAACTCTAGAGTTTTCATGCTAAATTCTCCATAGCTCCCAATGCCTCTTGCTCCAGCACAGCTTGGAGAAAGAAGAGCTGTACCTACCCAACAGAGAGGGGTCTGTGGGGAGCAACTGAGACAGTGCCAAGCCCAGCATAGGGGAGAGGGACAACCAGAGGGGCCATGGAGGCCAGACATACCCTAGATACCACGTCTGTGTTCCCATTGCTGTGACTTGCTCCATAGCAAACTCTAGAAGGGTTCCAAACCTGATTAAGTCCAAACAAATTTCCCCTGGCCCTAAGTTTACACAGCTCTTACTGCTACTGCCCAAAGCCACTTACACCTACAGTCTCTCTCCATCACCACATTTAAAGAGATCCACTCCAAAGTTATTTTCTCCCCTGAAATAAATTCTATTAATTGACTATAAAGAAGATAACTATAGTATCTTCAGGTACTTGGCCGGGCTTTCCTGTTAAATACTGGATCTTGTGTTATGCTCTAGGGAAAGTTCCTGGGGCTGACCCATGAGCATCATCAGTATGTTCCCAAATATATGGAGAGCATGCCCGAGAGGGGGTGTGGAGACATGGCCATCCCCCGCCCTCACCACATGTGTGGGACTACCTGCTCACTAGTGAAGAGAAGCACAGAAAACCAGGGTCAGGGCTGAAACAAGGCAAACACCAGAGCTTTGCTTTTCTCCCCTCCAGGTTTTGTATCTTTTAAAGGAAATGTGCTGTTTTGCTTCTCCTAAACATGCTTGATGTTTAATCAGTTCTTGCTATCAGGACTTGATATCCGTTCTGTCGAGTGCTGATGCTTGACACTCAATTTTGAGCTTTGCCTCTCACAAAAGCTCTTGCATAGGTTTCTCTGTCCTCCACACTTTCCCTTACTTTCAGTTACAGGCAGTGAGAGGTTCCAATTAGATCCTAATAGTCCTAGGGAGGCCAGATTGTGAGCTGCTGGCAGGGAGGTACTTTCTGCCTCCTTTGACTGAAACAGGATTCAATCTGTAGTTTTAAAAGAAACGTAAAAAGCATTCCTTCCCTTTTAGATTGGTCTATTCCTCAGGAAGTCACATCTCCCATTATTTTTGTTTTGCCCCAATTTTTTTTTTATTTTTAGAGACAGGGTCTCACTATGTCACCCAGGCTGGTGGGCAGTGGCACGATCATAGCTCACTGCAGCCTCAAACTCCTGGGCTCAAGCAATCCTCCCACCTCAGCCTCCCAAATAGTCGGGACTACAGGTGTGCACCAATGCACCCAGTTCAATTTCTTAATATTTGTTTTCTATCAGCTTGTAATCTCTTCTTTGTGGTCTGTGTTATCAGTGATCAGTGAAGGTGTCGAAGCTCCTTTAACTGGTGGCAGTCAGTTACCTTTGCTTGCCCTACTGGCAGTTTAGAAGACACATCCAATAACTTCTTCACAACTCCAAATCTTGGGTATCAGGTAATGTTTCCCAAAAGCATAAGGTCCAGAAATGATAACAATTTTTTTCTCTAAAAATAGAAAACATTACATGGACACATTGCATGATGGCAAAAGAAAACAGGCCAGGTGTAGTGGCTTATACCTGTAACTGCAACACTTTGGGAGGCTGAGGCTGGAGGATCTCTTGAGCCCAGGAGTTCAAGACCAGCCTGGGCAACATAGTGAGACCGTTTCTACAAAAAACTAAACAATTAGCTGAGCATGGTGGTGTGCGCCTGTGGTCCCAGCTACTGGGGGCTGTAGTGAAGAGCGGGTGGCAGGTGGGAGGATGACTTGAGCCCGGGTGGCTGAGGCTGCAGTGAGCTATGATCATGCCACTGCATTCCAGCCTGGGTGATAATAGCAAGACCCTGTCTCAAATACATAATAAATGAAAAGAAAACAATGCTTGAGCTTACAGATACTTCAGTGATCCTTGTTTTAGTTCTACTTATGCCATCAAAATGGTGGCATATTCAACCTAAGTAATTGACTTTTGGGTTTAGGAACAAGATATTCCAACATCTGCAAAGAAGAAAAGGATCACAAACAGCAGAGAGCACAAACTGCAGTAGTGGGGACTACCAAGGAGCTGGTCTCGAAAGCAACCCACATGAAGCCACCGCGGACCCCGCCAGGGGAAGCTGAACACAGAAAGCGGAGTCAGAGCCTTGCAATATGTCAGTGGAACAAGAATTCCCGTTAGACTAAGAGCCCTGAGGATCTAGGTAAAGCAGAATGGCTGGAAAGGGGCTTCCTAAGGACTCCTCACATGGGTCTTAGACCTTTTGGGTCACATCCCCTTTGAGAACAGTAAAACCTATGACCCCTTGTCCTAGAAAAATGCACATACCCTCAATTTTGCATGTAATTTCAGAAGGCTTATGGAACCCATGAATTTAATCACAGGCTTCTTGGGGGTGCAAGGATCCCCGTTTAAATGACCCTCTGTTCTATGGTATTGGGTAGGGGTCTGCTTTATTAGGCCCTCTGAATATGGAGTCTATTCCTCACTAAGAATGATAATATAGCCCTACTTAAACTTTATTTCCATTATATAAAATACTGGCACCTTTCCCAAGGAAAGGTTTGTGTTCAAAATGAGAGAATCACCAGGCAACGAAACTGGGAGATGTCACAGTTCTGCTGTGGCAGCTTCAAGACATTTGGGACACAGCAATGACTTTTTTTTCTGAGACAGGATCTCACTCTGTCACTCAGGCTGGAATGCAGTGGCATAATCATGGCTCACTACAGCCTTGAACTCCTGGGCTCAAGTGAGCCGCCCACCTGAGCCTCCTGAGTAGCTAGGACCTGAGTAGCTAGGCACATGCCACCACACCTGACTAAATTTTTTACTTTTTGTAGAGATAGGGTCTCACTGTGTTGACCAGGCTGGTCTTGATTACTAGGCTCAAGTGATCTTCCTGCCTTGGTTTC
Organism: Homo sapiens; assembly: GCF_000001405.40. Lineage (NCBI taxonomy): Eukaryota > Metazoa > Chordata > Mammalia > Primates > Hominidae > Homo > Homo sapiens. Next base: position 8,920,581 of record NC_000011.10, on the reverse strand, counting down.
CCAAAATGTTGGGATTACAGGTATGAGCCACCGCACTCGGCCACAATCAATGACTTTTTAAAATCAGTGACTTTTGATTCTTAAAATTGCAGTCAGCATAACAATGTATGGAATTTTTCCCCCTTTTATAGGTAAAGAATAAACATGGTAAATATTCGAGGAGAGTTATACAGAGTGGCTGACAAGGCCTTCTTCAACGGAAGGAGGCAGAGGACAGGCCACAGGTAACAGTCAAATAACCACCAGTATCTCCACCCCACGAAGACCTCCCTGCAGATAAGCAGCAGGAAGGCACCTGTTGTGAGGGCTATAGGAATGTGGGATCCTGCCCTGGGGCTCCCTGCCAGGGCCCTGGTGAAACTGCTTTAAGATGCCTCTTCCGTGGAAGAGGGGGTCAGCCTGCTTTGGGCAAATGTGTCCACAGCCACTCTGCCACCTTCCCATAAAGCCTAGTTGTACATGAGTGACATTTTGTTTCACCTCTTAATAAAAATGAATTCTCTTCATTTCCAAATCTCTTTATTATCATAATTAACCTTTACTTGGAAAGCAAGCAGTAAAACCTGTTCAGACAGCATCATTATATTACTTTCAGGCAAACAAGCGTGGAGGACCTCTACACCCTCAAGTTAAAAAAGGCACTGAGGCCGGGCGCGGTGGCTCACGCCTGTAATCCCAACACTTTGGGAGGCCAAGGTGGGTGGATCACGAGGTCAAGAGATCGAGACCATCCTGGCCAACATGGTGAAACCCCGTCTCTACTAAAAATACAAAAAAAATAGCCGGGCATGGTGGCGGGTGCCTGTAGTGCCAGCTACTCGGGAGGCTGAGGCAGGAGAATGGTGTGAACCCGGGAGGCGGAACTTGCAGTGAGCCGAGATCACGCCACTGCACTCCAGCCTGGGCAACAGAGTGAGACTGTCTCAAAAAAAAACCAACCAAACAAACAAAAAAGCACTGAAAGAGACAGACTCCAGTTCCCGGAAGGCTGACCCAGTCAGCACTAAAAACAGGATTAATGTATAGCTATTAAGAGAATCATACAGTGGCTTTATTCTTACTACTTAAAAAAAGGTGATGTGATGGCAGTGATGGTCAACATCACACAGGGAAGACCAGGTCCACGCTTTGTCCAGAATCAACTGCTACCACATGAGTCTTCTTGGTTAAGTCATTTGAGCCCACAGTGACAGAATAGGTCCCTGGATATACTTCTATGTAGAGGTCCTTAGAGATGTTCTCAGCCTAGAAGGAAAAGAGGATATTAGCAGTTTAGAGATTTTATACCCCAGTGCCACCATGGCCCCCCAGCAGGCTACCTGTCCTTGCAGAGGTGTGATGGAATGAAGCGCTAATGTGGGAGACAGAGGTCCTGCTTTCAAGGCTCAGCCTGCTCACGTACAACACTGTCATTTTGGTAGGTCTCAGCCTTTCCTTATTTCTAGCACTGTGATAATACCTCACAAATAAGCATGTGAAAACACTCTGTAAATGCTAAAGTGTTATATGAACATGAAGGATTATAAAAAGAACACTCTACTTGGAGTTAGGCAGAAGGAAAGGCTAGAGGCCACTGTTTTGGGGATCAGAAGTAGACAGTGGCACTTAGCACAGATGAGCAGTAATGACAAGGTACTCGGGAGTGATGAGAGCCATTCTTTTAAACGGTGCTTTGCTAAGTTCACTATCAGGAAGATGACAGGCATTTCTTTTGTCCTAAAGCTCAGAACAATTTGAGTGAATTCCATTTTGTCACTGAAGCAGCAATTCAGCTGGCTGACAAAACTCTCCCTTGGAGGACTGGTTCTCCCAGAGTACAAAACACTGGAAGCCAGAGTTAATGGAAAGATTTTATTTAGAGCCGAACTGAGCACAATCAGTCTTCCAAGGGTAGACTTCACTCATGGCTGGTAGATTACATCAGGTGTGCAGGCAGAGGATGGGTCTCAGTTCAAATGGTAAAAGGACAAAGTCACAAACCAGAAGAGAGCCTGTAATTAAGGGCCAGAGTGACACCTGGGATGCCATTACAAGCTTGCTTAATGCTGAGAAGGGGCCATAGGCAGAAGTTGTCGATTCCACTACCACACACAGGAAAAGCCAAACTACTGGCCAGCAAATTGCACTCAGAGGAATAAATGATCATGTTTACATTTTTATGAAATTTCCCCTCTTCCTCCTACCTTGCAGATGGATTTGAAGCCAATTTTTTCCAAAGCTGTTTTATGTTGTATTCTTTCATGCCTGTCCAGTTACTGCGAAATTGGAAGTCTACCATCCTTTAACTGACGTAAATGTGTATGACAATGTCATTAACTATTTATTGGTTGTCAACCATGTAAATAAAAGTCACTTTTAGAAAATATGGTTATATCAGAATTGCAGAAAGCCAAGGATGCTTCATTTGCACACAAGGAAACATAGAGGTAAGGTTGGCATGTGGCTGTAGAACTCCAACACGGTGGAACATCAGCATTACCAAAAGTCAGCAAGTGTTGAGAGGCGTCTAAGCCTTAACAACTTATATTTGTACTAGAAGCAGAATATTCTTAATTGTCACTAACTCTAGTATACTCCAAATCCTGACTCGTAGCAAACCGTATACAAACAAAAAGTAAATGTATTGCGGCACCATGCTGAATGAAGTTCCTTTCCTCAGAATTCTAGCCCTTCCAAGTTCCAAAAAGGATCCCCTGGCTTCATGACCTAATGAGTACTTTATCCTAAAAATGAAAAACTCATTATATGTTTTTACAGAGAAACATTTGTGGAAAATAAGAACAAATGCCTTCAAATGTTTTGGAACCTGATCTCACCAAATGTGTATGTTTCGGAATTTCAGCAATGGTTTTCACTTTGTTAGCAGGAGGATCGTGCCCCTCCTGCTGCTTGAACAGATGGTGGAATTCCAGCAGGACCCAGTGCCAGCCCAGCTGAGCTGTAGGAACTGAGAGGTGAATACTTCACATTCTTTCCAACCACAACTATGAGTTCAGGCACAAAGAGTATCCCTGAAGCTTAGAGTGAAGGAAGAATACCAAGAAAACCTAATTTTACACTGAACCAAAATCTTGTGTGCCCTTCTTAAGTGTAAGAACATCTCAACTTAAAAATACTATAGACTCAATTCAAATAGCCCTCTAAGAACCATGTCAACTGGTTCATGGAGTTGCAACGGTGGTGAAACCCAGTGCGTAAGCAGTTCCGTACTCACAGGCTGGGATGCCTCTGGAGCATGCTCTGATATTTGATAGCTGCCTCCAGGACCAAGGGATGTCTTTTTTCTGTCTTTTCTCTGAAGAGACAAGTAGAACACTGATTTGTGCCCAAGCTTTCACTTTTGGATTGTAAAGAGAAGTTCTCTTCTACCTTATTAGGAGTTAGTAATTGTTCTGTCAGCTTTTTCTAAGTTGTCATCTAAGTCATTAAGGCATTTTTAAGTGAATTCTGTGAGGTATTTTTAGTCAGGTATTTACTATAATTTTCATCCTTACATGGGCTTTGGAATCAGCCACGCCTGAGTTTAAGTCCTATCTCTGCTATTTACTAAGACAGATTAACTTCTCTTGAACCTTGGTTTTCCAGTCTGTAACATGGCACTCTTGGATTGCAGGGAAAATTTAAAGTGCAAAAGTGGCACTTAGGCTCTCAATACATTCTCTTCTGTGCTTCTTCTAGGAGTGGGGGTGGTCCTAGAAGGGAACAGGCTGACTGATAAAGCCAATTTCCCTTAGAGGGAACTTACATTTTAAAGGGAGAGATGGGAACGACTCTTCCCCACATGTACCTAAGTGCACCCTTTAGGGTCAGGTGCGTTTAGGTAAGAGTTCAGGCTAGGCCAGAAAAGGGGGCTCAGGACTCAAGCTCTGGCACCACTACTCACCTCCCAGGCCAGGGGAGGCATGTGGGAGGTGCTTCGAGTGTGCACTCAGCCCTTGCTCATGTCCCTGTGCCCACTCTCCCATCCTTTTCCTAAACTTCCTCCCTCTAACACCCCAAAATGGCTGACAGACCAAAGAAGTCAGGAATCCAACTTAGACTCTGGAATAGACTCTGGACTTCAGTTTGCTATCTTTGAGTACAAGTAGGGTAGGTTAAAACAAAAGCAAAAACCTAGTCTCCTCAGAAACCACCACCACCACCTCCTCCTTTGAATCAGTTCAATAAGCAGAATCTTTGGCTTCCCCAGAATGACATGTGGTAAAAGGTAAGTTTGTAGTGAGAGGCCCGTAACTGTTATTACCTTTACAAAAAGTATTTTGTTAAAAGAGACCCCCGTCCCCACACTTCCCTTGTACTTTCTTTTTAAAAATTATGAAAGACAGGGGCCAGGCATGGTGGCTCACGCCTGTAATCTCAGCACTTTGGGAGGCTGAGGCAGGCAGATCACCTGAGGTCAGGAGTTCAAGACCTGCCTGGCCAACACGGTGAAACTCTGTCTCTATTAAAAAATACAAAAATGGGTCAGGCGCGGTGGGTTACACCTGTAATCCCAGCACTTTGGGAGGCCGAGGCAGGCGGATCACGAGGTCGGGAGATCGAGACCATCCTGGCTAACACAGCGAAACCCCGTCTCCACTAAAAATACAAAAAATTAGCCAGGCGTGGTGGCAACGCCTGTAGTCCCAGCTACTCGGGGCTGAGGCAGAAGAATGGCGTGAACCAGGGAGGCAGAGCTTGCAGTGAGCTGAGATTGTGCCACTGCACTCCAGCCCGGGCAACAGAGCAAGACTGTGACTCCACAAAAAAAAAAAAAAAAAAAGAAAGAAAAATACAAAAATTAGCTGGGCTGGTGGTGTGTGCACGTAGTCCCAGCTACTTGGGAGGCTGAGGCAGAATTGTCTGAACCTGGGAGGCAGAAGTTGCAGTGAGCCGCGATCGCACCACTGCACTCCACCTTGGGTGACAGAGTGAGACTCCCTCTCAAAAAAAAAAAAAAATTACCAAAGACATGACAGTTATCACCTTATAGTAAAAAATGTAATTATTAAAAATCTTTTCCCCCAGCCTGGGCAACATAGCAAAACCCCATCTCTATTAAAAACATTAAAAATTAGCTGGGTGTGGTGGCATGTGCCTGTAGTCCCAGCTACTTGGGAGGTTCAGGTGGGAGGATCACCTGCCCAGGAAGTCAAGGCTGCAGTAAGCCATGATTGCTCCACTGCACTCTAGCCTGGGTGACAGAGTAAGACCCTGTCTCAAAAAAAAAAAAAAAAAAAAAAAGAAAAAAAAAATCCTATCCCTAGATGTAGAAGAGGATATTTAGAGCTCTTTTAAAAAAAAATTAGAGAAAGGGTCTATGTTGCCCAGGATAGAATGCAGGGGATAGTCACAGGGGCGATCATTGCATACACCACATTCCAGGCTTGGAAGCTCTTTTCTTTAAACCTGCTGGAGAATCCCATGGCCCAGGACTGCAGGTTCAACTAAAGATCCTACAGTGGCATCAATCTTATATTTTTGACAACCTCCTATTTCATGTTCATTGCTGTAAGTTCTCTAAGGCTATGAATTTACACATTTCTGTTAAGCACTGTAATGCCAAGTCACACGGGCATCCAGTGACACAAAGTCTAGCAGGGGCTCTTGAATATAGGGTGTCATATCTTGGTAGACTGAAGGCATGGTGCAGGACAGTTGAGTACACTTACCTGACCATTCCCTATGTCCAAGCACATGTGCAGCTTCGACTCGCCTCTGTGATAACGATAGACATGGGTTGCCCCTCCTTCCTCTGGCACAGATGAATAATATTTCTAGAGACGTAATGTCAAAGATGTTAGCTAACCAAATTGTCTTGTCAAATTTTCAAAAAACCCTGATATTTGGGCAAAGTGCAGTTAAGGAGGGAGGCAAGAGAGCAAAGGTGAATTACCTGCCCTCTTGACAGGCCTCTGAAGTCATGCAACAAACCTTAGCCCACCCAAAGTGGCTGCAGAGAAAGAAATGCATTTGGCATCCCCGTGCTGCCACCTGCTGCCTCCATAGGGCAAGAACGCTGGCTAACTAAAGGTGGGCAGGACCATGCTCTCTGCCAGGTTAAACAAATTTCACATCTTTGCCCCCATGTCCAATGCACATATCCTTTCATTTCCTCCCCTAAAAAATGTGGATGAACGGTTCCATGTTTATTGTCTAAGTCTCAGACCAGGACACGGGAAGAGAGGGGTACATTTTCCTGAGATTTAGAAACACAGCAGGAAATGAAACAAACCCAAGAGCTGCTCTGCAGCCCTTTTCTCTGTGCTTCCTGCGCGTGGGGGAGTGGAGGGAGAAGTCTCTAATTTAAGAAGAATCTTCCGAAAGATCGGAAAACAGTTACATTTCTCTTGTCTGCTTCCTTCCTCCCCCTCAAAGTTAGCCTTAGACTTGCCCTTGATAATGACTAATGACATCACAGCCCTGCTTGTTTTGAACAGGGTAGGCACACTGTCTAAAAAACATGTGACCAGAAGAACGAGAAGCTGGGGAAAGCACTTGAGGACACAGACCTAAAGATGTGTTTTAGTGGCTGCTTCAAACTGTGGAGACAAACCCAGTACACAATTCTTAATTCTATCTCTAGAAAGCCAAGAGGTTCTGAGGCTCCATTTCATAACAGAGACTTGAACTGAAGCATGAACTGAAAACAAAAATGAAGAACAGCAATTTGCTAAACCTCAAACCAAAGACAAATATTATTCCTTTTGCTGAACCATGAACCAAGGGTTTAATCACTTTACAGTAGAGTTGAGGCTATTGATTTTTGTAAAACCACTGAACAACACAAATAAGATAAAAATATTCCCTGAAGTATTCCTCTTTGGTTGGAATCCTATTCTTGGAGTCAGGGATTCTTATAAAAGATGTAGAAAGATTAGAGTTTTTTGAGATCTTAACATATGAAACTGAAAAGCAGGGCAGAAACAAGGTATTCTCTTCCATCTCCTTTGTGGATCAGCCTCCTTAAAACCATGTAGGACTCACCAAGTGTTAAGACTGCATGAGGCCAGAGCCTGCTGTAATTCCTAGAAGACAGTGCCTTCCATGCAGGTAATTTCCTTGAATGTTTTCTGGCCTGCCCTCAACATTCCCTAAGTATCGAAAGATGACTTGGCTGGGTATGGTGGCTCAAGCCTGTAATCCCAGCACTTTGGGAGGCCAAGATGCGCGGATCCCTCGAGGTCAGGCGTTCCAGAGCAGCCTGGCCAACATGGTGAAGCCCTGTCTCTACTAAAAATACAAAAATTAGCCAGGCATGGTGGCATGTGCCTGTAGTCCCAGCTACTCGGGAGGCTGAGGCAGGAGAATCGCTTGAACCAGGAGGCCAGGAGGTAGGGGTTGCAGTGAGCCGAGACTGAGCCACTGCACACCAGCCTGGGTGATGGAGTGAGACTCTGTCTCAATTAAAAAAAAAAAAAAAAGGTCGGGCACGGTGGCTCACACCTGTAATCCCAGCACTTTGGGAGGCTGAGGCGGGCGGATCACGAGGTCAGGAGATGGAGACCATCCTGGGTAACACAGTGAAACCCCGTCTCTACTAAAAATACAAAAAAAAAAATTAGCTGGGCGTGGTGGTGGGCGCCTGTAGTCCCAGCTACTAGGGAGGCTGAGGCAGGAGAATGGTGTGAACCCAGGAGGGAGAGCTTGCAGTGAGCCGAGATCACACCACTGCACTCCAGCCTGTGCCACAGAGCAAGCCTCTGTCTCAAAAAAAAAAAAAAAAAAAAAGTTAAAAAAAACCCCTAATATTTAACTTATTTGCTATGAAATTCGGCAAATAAGCTATTTTCCCCCCACTAGACTGAAAGATCACTGAGGGCAGAAGACCTTTTCTGACTTTTCATTGCTATATTGTCAGCTACAGGGTTAGGCATTCAATAAACATTTATTGGGTGAATTCTAACTTGGATTTACCCCCTGGTTTAAGTCCTTGACTGATTACAATCTGACCGTGAAGGCTGGGCAGGAGAAACAGGTAGTGTCCAGATTCTCCGTAAATTCCAGAAAGATCCAAATGTGGTCCATCAGCAGGTGATGGGGCATAGTTTTGGTTCACACCAACTTACCCCACACTGACTTGAAGTATAGTCCATGAATTCAGCCATTGTTCTGAAGGAAGCACTAAGGGTTGGGGGTCTCTCTTCTCTCTATTTGAATAAATGGCACGTCACAGGTTAGCTCTAGGATTCCCTACTGGAGAATGAAGCCATTTTGGAAATAGTCTCCTTTTTACTTTTGGAAAGGCTCTGCAAGTTTATGTCAGAAAGAACGATGTTATTGAGAAAGAATTCCAACTCTAAAAGATAGACATGCAATTTATCCAGGATCTAAGAGACAGGCTTGCAGGCTTTCCTCTACTATCAGATGATAGCTGTAAGATTTTTTTTTTTTTTTTTTTTTTGAGACGGAGGTTTCGCTCTTGTTGCCCAGGCTGGAGTGCAATGGCGCGATCTCGGCTCACCGCGACCTCCGCCTCCCGGGTTCAAGCGATTCTCCTGCCTCAGCCTCCCTAGTACCTGGGATTACAGACATGCGCCACCACGCCCGGCTAATTTTGTATTTTTAGTAGAGACGGGATTTCTCCATGTTGGTCAGGCTGCTTTCGAACTCCCGACCTCAGGTGATCCGCCCGCCTCGGCCTCCCAAAGTGCTGGGATTGCAGGCATGAGCCACCGCGCCCGGCTAATTTTTTTTTTTTTTTTTAAGTAACCAACCAGGGCTGAACACTACCGTTATTCTACAGCTACCCAACAAGAATCTGTCAAATGTAAAGCGTTTTGAAAGGACTTTTCCATTCATTGTTCTGATCCTTTCCAGCTTCCGCTAAGGGAAGGTTTCCTCAGCTGCTTCTGCGCTGCGCACCCCTGGCTCCCAGCGGGCTACCGCGGCGCGAAGGACTGGGGCGGCCCCCGGCACAGCGACCCTCACCTCTCCCGGGAGAACGCGCTGCGGGCCGGCTGCCGGCTGTTTCTCTAGGTGGGGCGCCTCCCGGGCAAGGACCCCCATGCAGCCTTTGGGACGCTCCAGGGCATGCCAGTCCACCGCCCTCCTCTTGGCCCTCTCCAGCACTTCTAGAGCCAGCCTTGCTGAACGCTGCAGGGAACGTCGGTCCACCCCATTCAGCGCTGCGGCCGCCAAACAGTTGTCCATGGCTCCCTGAGTGGGCACACAACGTACAAACGCCGGCGGGTCAGCTGGGCCGCGGCGACCCTGCTCCAAATCCGGGTGGGAGCCCCAGCCTCGACCTCCCTGGAGACCACCGCTCCTGGTCCGCCCCCAACGCACACTCCAGCGGGAGCCCAGCCAGGACTAGGCCTAGCGCGCCCGCCCCTTCCATTTTCATCTACCCCTTCCGCTACTTAGGGAGCCCCCTCACCCGGCTCACTCGTCAAGGCGCATGCGCGCAACGCTATTCTAGGAAGAGGGACCAGGCCTAGCGCTCCCGGCGGCGCCGGCGCAGCTGGGCCATTGGCGGAAGGCGGGAGAGGCGGGAGAGGCGGGAGAAGTGGGGGAGGCGGGGCGGCTGGGCGGCCAAACACGCCTTCTGCGTCCCAGCCTTGGCGTCTGCGCGCGAGTTGCCTGGTTAACTGCTGAGCGCTGGAGGCGGGGCGCCGGGCGCTGGGGGCCGGGGGTCGGGGGTCGGGGGCCGGGGGTCGGGGGTCGGGGGCTGGGGGCTGAGGACTGAGTCGAGCCAGCAGCCCAGGGCATCTGTCCACGCTGTCAGAGGAGCCTCTGGGCGTGGGGCTGGCCCTTAGAGGGCTACTGCGCTGCTTAACTTGGTGGGTATAAAGGCAGGTCTCCTGTTGAGCTAAAAAATTATGGGGTACCAGCTAGGTAGGCAACATAGCGAGAACCCGTGTAGACACACACACACACACACACACACACACTAGCCAGGAGTGGTTATGGGGTACCAGCTAGGTAGGCAACATAGCGACAACCCGTGTCCACACACACACACACACACTAGCCAGGAGTGGTTATGGGGTACCAGCTAGGTAGGCAACATAGCGACAACCCGTGTCCACACACACACACAGTAGGAGGAGTGGTGGCGCGCATCTGTAGTCCCAGGTACTCGGGAGGGTCGAGGTGGGAGGATCGCTTGAACCCGGGAAGCGGAGGTTGCAGTGAGACGAGATCGCGCCACTGCACTCCAGCCTGGGCGACAGAGGAAGACTTCGTCTCAAAACAAAAACATCATGGGGAATAAGGCAAGTGCCTCCCGCGCCTCTTTCTGCTTGGTCTACATTTTGGGGTGTCGCTACTCTTGTTTGAGGAGGTGATTAGGCCAAACTGTGTGGCTGCCAAGGTGGCCTTTGGAGAAGGGAACAGCTCGGGATTGAGGCGAGACGGAGGCGGGGCTGTCTGCAGATGTTCCTGGCCCCCGGGGCAGGGGGCGCCTGAGAAGTTGTAGGGTCTCTCATAATCCCTCAGCGCAGCTCTCTCTCCCCTCCAGTGGGAAGTACGGATTCACATATTTTTGGAGACCTGTTCTCTTGGGGTCTGACTCCATCTTTTAGGAAGACTGCACCATGTTTAAGTAAGGAACTGTGAATGCTTACTTAAACCATGTTTAAGTAAGGACCTGTCACTCCACTCCGCTGGTTATTTGGTAGGAGATACAGCCCAGGCTCTCACTGCTAATTAGTGACTCAGCCGCACCACCCAGCGCAAAGCAAAGCGCCGATGCTTAGGAAGGTCCACTTTGAGGGACACGCTCAGTGGGGGTCACTTTAAGGAACACAAATAAATCCTCCTTTAAGTCTCCTCTGTGGTTCATGAAAAAGGAGAGAAACTCCATCCTCACCTAGTCTCAACAGATGGCTTGATGAGCAATTATCAGGTACCAGGTGAGTAGTAGCCGACCAATACGACCTCCTTCTATGCTACTTAACTTTTGCAAATTTCCTGCTTTCCCCTTATAAAAAAGAATAACAGTGAGTGAAACCCTACATTATTCTTGAGATGATTTTTTTTTCATTTTATTGGTATTCCAAAACATTTCCTTCAATAAGGGTTTATCAAGTGCCTCCTTTAGAACATAGTGGTTGTACGTGCATGGGGTCCTGTATATCCACTCGGGAGAGCTGGTTTGAATTCTGGCTCTGCCATCTTTTTTTTTCCATTTCTTCTCCTTCTCCTTCTCCTTCTCCTTCTTCCTCCTCCTCCTCCTTCCTCTTCCTCTTCTTCCTCTTCTTCCTTCTTCCTTCTTCTTCTTTTTTGTTTAATAAAGAAACGAGGGTATCACCCTGTCAGCCAGGCTGAAGTGCAGTGGCACGATCTCGGCTCACTGCAGCCTCGACCTCCTGGGCTCAAGCGATCCTCTTCTTCAGCCACCACGCCCTGCAAATTTTTTAAATGTTTCGTAGAGACAGGGTCTCCCTATGTTGCCCAGGCTCTCTGCCACTTTTTTGCTCTGTGGTTCTGGGCAAACATATTACTTCTTTGAGCCTCACTTTTCCTCATCTCTATATCTGGGGATTCCAATAGTACTAACTTCTTTAGACTGAGCTTCTTGAGGGAAGGGACTGTATCTGTAGTGTTTAGAGTTTAAGGTGCATCTAGTATTTACTATTTTGTCTGTCACAGTAAGGACTAAAAATAGCCCTTGAATGTGTGAATTGGGTTGCCATTAGGATTCTGTGAGATAATTCCTGTAAAATGCTTAGCACAGTGCCCGGCAAAGATAAGTGCTCCATAGACTTAGCTAGCATTAGTATGTGCCAGGCACTGCCCTAGGAGTTGTGGAGAACAGAATGTGGATCAGACTAAAGGAGAATAAAAAAGAGGAAAGAATGCACATAAAATCTATAATACCAAGAACAAAATATTCGGACATGCCATAAGATTGACACAGATAAAATGCTATCAAGCTTAGGAGACTATGTTCAGCTGGGAGGATCAAGAAAGGTTTTGCAGAGAATGTAGTTTTCAAGCTAGGCCTGATGGCCTAGGAATCAGTGAGAGAAGAGGTAGATAAGATACCCGTTAACTGCTTTTACAATAAGTGTGGTTGGAGTGGGACAGAATTTGGTCCTCTTTATTTTTTATGGATTTCAAGGTTTTAGCACATTCCTCATAGGGTTATTGTGAATATCAAGTAAGTTAATATCTATAAAGTGCATTTATAGTACTTGGTACATAGTAGGTGCTCAATAAATATTAGCTAGTATTATTATCTTAAGCTTCAGCCTGGTCTCCCAAAATATGCTCTCACTTACCCAGTATCATAGCCACACCTCATCTCATTTGTCTCTCTTCCCCATTCTATTTTAGTCATTCCAGTTGAGGCACTACTTTCTTTTTGTCAGGTCAGCTCTTTGAAACTTTTCCCAGTGGTTCCCAGTTGCCACCTCTGTTGCCATAGCCTTAAAAAAATTTTTTGTGTGTACTTTTCCAATCTAATTTAAATTATGTGTAGTTATGGTTTCTTCTCTCCCAATAGCCTTTCAATTCCTTGAAGGCAGAAACTGTTCCTTATTTGTCCCTAAACATTCCAGGACCTGTTAAGTAGCGGGTGTTCAGTAGCCATTTGTTGAAATTACTCTGATTTAATTTTTAAGTTAAATAGACTTCTGTTAGCCCACATAAAGAGGTGGCTTTGTGGTGGCTCACACCTGTAATCCCAGAAGTTCAGGAGGTTGAGGTGGAAGGATTACTTGAGGCCAGGAGTTTGACAGCAGCCTGGGCAACATAGTGAGACCCCTGTCTCTATTTTTTAAAAAATTAAAAAACTAGCCTGGCATGGTGGCTCATACCTGTAGTCCTAGCTACTCGGGAGGTTGAGATGGGAGGATTGCTTGAGTCCAGGATGTTGAGGCTGCAGTGAGCTATGATCGTGCCACTGCCCTCCAGCCGGGGCAACAGAGTAAGAACCTATCTTAAGAAAAAAAAGAGTTGGCTTTTCTATTAAAAAAACACCTACCTACATGAACTTTAATGAATGTAATGAATATTCAATTGTAACTACATTTTCTCAGAATTTAACATTTAGAAATTTATGGGAAAGAAGATGCTTGAAATGAAACTGAAACCAAAAGACTCTAAATTAAATCTTTGCATTTGTTTTTATTTTTCTATTTGTAAATATATTTGTAAATATATTTTTATATGTGCATATTTATAATTTTAAAGATTCATCCTGTAAACCACAGATTGAGAGACTTGAGAGATTCCTTTTTATCTTTTTTAAGATTGGCTGGGAATAATGATAGAACATGACCTACCATCAGGCCCCTTGTGGATCAAATATAGCCCACGCCAAATGAAAGCCACTGGTGAGAACTGAAAATGGAATTGTAAATGGAGAGAGGGCAACTAATTAGGAATGTGCCTGGTCAACAGGGAAATAGACTGTCAGTATTGACAGAAAAATAAACTATTGATATGAGTTTTTAATGACTTCTATCTTCACAAGGGTAAATTCACTAATGAGAACAGATGAAAGTTAGTTGTCAGGGTTCTATGTTTTGGAGGAGATGCGTTGGAAGAGGTCTTTAATTGTGAAATGGGGAAAGAGACTGGTGCTGTATTTGGGACTTTTTGAGGAGAAAAAACAAGTCCAGTGAAGAGCAATGTAAATTCCTTTTCTTTATGTGAAGGGGGCCAAAAAGGGTTAAAAACCCAGGATGCAAAAGTGGGTACTGTGCCAGAGTTAGACAGTGATTTATACTGTACATACCAGAAACTGTATAAATCATTTTATTTGACAAATGGTATTGTTATTTCTCCAGCAGACTTAAGAGCTTTGGAATCATCACAGCTTTGTAAGGTAGTATTACAGACTGAGTCATTAGATCATTCATTTTGCCTGATTACATCATCTCACTGGGTTATTGGGGGAATGAAAGAAACTCATTATCAAAATTGTCATCTTGATGATGTAGATTAAAGAAAATGAATCAAACTTCTGAGAATTAACTTTCACAATCTGTTTAAAATTGACTGGGAGTTAAAAAAATTGGTTGCAGAGCAGGAATGATTGAAATCTTGTCATTTTTAAAAGTCAGAGATCAAAGGAATAGTATTTGGAAGATATTTAATATAAACAGTTGAAATTTATGTAGAGTTTTTTTTTTTTTTTTTTTGAAGACTTCTTGGCTGGGCGCGGTGGCTCACACCTGTAATCCCAGCACTTTGGGAGGCTGAGATGGGCAGATCACGAGGCCAGGAGATTGAGACCATCCTGGCTAACACGGTGAAACCCCATCTCTATTAAAAATACAAAAAATTAGCTGGGCGTGGTGGCAGGAGCCTGTAGTCCCAGGGGAGGCTGAGGCAGGAGAACGGCGTGAACCTGAGAGGCAGAGCTTGCAGTGAGCCAAGGTCGCGCCACTGCACCCCAGCCTGGGTGACAGAGCGAGACTCCATCTCAAAAAAAAAAAAAAAAAAGAAAAAAAAGACTTCTTTATTGAGGTATAATGTACATATGATAAAATTTACCTGTCTTAAGTGTATATTTCAGTATTTTTTGTAAATTTACAGAGTTGTCAACATCACCAAAGTGCAGTTTTGGAACACTGTCATTACCTGAGAAAAATCCCTAGTGTATACCATATGCAGTCAGTTCTCAGCTCCTGCCTCTGGTCCTAGGTGACCAGTCTTCTGCTTGCTGTCTTATGAATTCGCCTTTTCTGGACAATTCATATAGATGGAATCTGATAATATGTGACCTTTTTTTGCCTGGCTTCTTTTAATTAGCATAATGTTTTTGAGGCTCACACATGTCGTAGCATGTATCAATACTTCATTCTTTTTTATGACTGAATACTATCCCGTTATATGAATATATTACATTTTGTTTATCCATTTACTGGTTGATGGTCATCTGAAATGTTTCTGGTTTGGGGCTATTTTGACTGATAATGCATAGTAAGACTTTGTGTGGACACATGTTTTCATTTCTCTTGGGAATACAGACTTGAGCCGCCGCACCCACACCAGATGTATGATTCATAAGTATTTTCTCCCAGGCTGTGTCATGTATTTCATTTTCTTAGTGGTGTAATTTGAAGTACTAACATTTAAAGTTTTGATGAACTCCAACTTATTAATTTTTTTCCTTTATAAATTGTGCTTTTGGTGTTATATCTAAGAAATCTTTGCCTAACCTAAGGTCATGAAAATTTTTTTTGAAGATTTTTTCTATGTTTCCTCCTAATAGTTGTATATTTTAGTTTTTACATTTAACTCTATGCCATTTTGCATTAATTTTTATGTGCATTATGAGGTAAGGGTCTAGATTCATTTCTTTTCATGCAGATGTTCAATTTTCTCAGTATCATTTGTATAAAAGACTATCCTTTTCTCATTAAATTCCCTTGGCAACTTTGTCAAAAATCAATTCACCATAAATGTAAGAGTTAGCTTTTAGACTTTAAATTATGTTCTATTGATCTATATGTCTGTCCTTATGCCATATTATACTGTATTGATTATTGTAGTTTTGTAGTAAGTTTGGAAATTGGGAAGTATATCAACTATGTTCTTCATTTTCAAAATTATTTTTATATTCTAGTACAGTCATTATTTCCATAAAATTTAAATTCAGTTTGTCAACTTCTGTGTAACAACTGTTGATGTTTTGATAGAGATTATATTGAATTCACAGATTAATTGAGGAAGAATTGCAATCTTAACAATATTGGGTTTTTGAATTTATGAACATGGAATGTCTGTCCATTTATTTCAGTTTTCTTTATTTTTTTTACTAATATTGTGTAGTGATTAGTGTACATATTGCACTTCTTTTAACAAATTTATTAAGTATTTTTATGCTGTTGTGAATGAAATTGTTTTCTCAATTTCATTTTCAGATGAAATTATTACTAGTGTATAGAAATATAGTTGACTTTTTCATATTGATATTGTATCCTGTAACCTTGTTAAACTCATTTACTTGTTCTAAGAATTTTTTTGTGGATTCTTTAGGATTTTCTGTATACTGGATCAGATCTTCTGTGAATAAAGAAAGGCTAACTTTTTTCTTTTCAATCAGGACTTCTTTTTCTTGCCTAATCGCACTGGCTTGAACCTGTAGTACAATGTTGAATAGAAGTGGCAAGGGGAACATCTTTGCCTTGTTCCCAATTTTAGAGGCAGAACATTCAGCCTTTTACCATTAAGTATGATATTTGTTTTTTTGTAGATACTCTTTATTAGGTTAAGGAAGTTCTCATCTATCTTTAAAAATTATTTTTAATTAGCTTCTTCAGGTTGAGAAGAAGTTTCCTTCTATTCCTGGTTTAGTGAAAGTTTTTATCATGAATGATTTTTGAAGTTTTTCAGACGTTTTTTGTATGTCCATTGATGTGATCATGTGGTTTTTATTTTTTATTCTATTAACATGTGTTGAATGAATTGATTTTTGGATATTAAGCCAATCTTTCGTTGTTGAATTTGGTTTGCTAGTATTTTACTGAGGATTTTTCTGTGTATATTCATGAGGGATATTGATCTCTAGTTTTCTTGTTTCTGGTCTTTGTGTCTTTTGGTATTAGGATAATATTGGCCTTATAGAATGATTTAGGAATGTTCTATTTCTTGGAAGAGTGTGTAGAATTGGTATTATTCTTAAGCATTTGATTAAAACCATCTGGGCCTGGGCTTTACTTTGTGGGAAGATTTTTAATTACTAATTCAACTTTTTTCCTTGTTTTAGGTCTACTTATATTTTCTATTCCTTCTTTTTTTTTTTTTTTTTTTTTTGAGACAAGGTCTCACTCCTGTTGCCAAGGCTGGAGTGCCGTGGCATAATCACAGCTCACTACAGCCTCAACTCCCTGGGCTCAGGTGATTCTCCCACCTTAGCCACTCGAGTAGCTGGGACTACAGGCATGCATCACCACTAGGCCCACCTAATTTTTTTGGTACTTTTTGTAGTAGAGATGTGGTTTTGCCATGTTGCCCAGGCTGGTCTTGAACTCCTGAACTCAAGTGATCTTCTATTCCATCTTGAGTCAGTTTCAATACTTGGTGTCTAAGAATTTGCCCAGTCACTTAAGTTGTCTAATTTGTTGACAAAAAGCTATTGGTAATATTCCCTCACAATCTTTTTTATTTCTTTAAGATCTGATTATGGTAATCTGTGCCTTCTCTCTCTTGCTTTTTTTTTTTTTTTTTTAACATCTTGGTCAGTCTAGTTAAAGTTTTGTCAACTTGTAATATCCTTTTTTTTTCTTTTGAGACAGTCTCACTCTGTCACCCAGGCTGGAATGCAGTAGTGCAATCTCAGCTCACTACAATCTCCGCCTCCCAGGTTCAAGTGATTGATTCTTCTGCCTAATCCACCCAAGTAACAGGGATTACAGGTGCATGCCACCACACCCGACTAATTTTTGTATATTTAGTAGAGACAGGGTTTCACCATGTTGGCCTATGCTGGAGTGAAACTCTGTCTCAAAAAATAAATAAATAAATAAAACTTTAAAAAATACAGATGGCCAGGTGTGGTGGCTCATGCCTGTAATCCCAGCACTTTGGGAAGCCAAGGTGGGTGGATCATGAGGTCAAGAGATCGAGACCATCCTGTCCAACATGGTGAAGCCCCATCTCTACTAAAAATACAAAAATTAGCTGGGTGTGGTGGCGCATGCCTGTAGTCTCAGCTACTCAGGAGGCTGAGGCAGGAGAATTGCTTGAACCTGGGAGGTGGAGGTTGCAGTGAGCCGAGATTGCACCACTGTGATCAAATGTAAATTCAGCCATCTCGATAATAATGTTAAATGTGAATGGTCTCAACAGCCCATTCTATAAGCAGAGATTGTCAGACTGGCTTAGATCCAACTGTCTGTCTACAAGAAACACAACTTATAGTCAAACACACAAATAAGTTGAAAGTTAAAGAAAAAGATATACCATGTAAACTATAAGCATAATATTGCTGGAGTAAAGAAACAGAATCCTGCAGATACCTTGATTGTAGTCCAGTGAAAACCATTTCAGACATCTGACTTCCAGAACCTTAAGATAATAAACTTGTGTTGCTTTAAGCGACTCCCCTTGCCAAAAAAAGATTGCTGAAGTAAATGTATTAACATCAGACAAAATAGACTTGAAGACAAGAAATATCACTAGACAAAGTGGGGCATATCAGAATCACAAAAATGACAAATCATTACATCTGGAAGATATAGCACTTGCAAATGTACATGACCCTAACAACACAGCCTCAAAATACCAAAGCAAAAACTGACAAAATTCAAGCAAGAAATAGACAATTCAACAGTGGTAGTTGGGGACTTCAACACCTCACTCTTTTTTTTTTTTTTTTGAGATGGAGTCTCACTCTGTCACCTACACTGGAGTGCAGTGGTGTGATCTCAGCTCACTGCAGCCTCTGCCTCCTGGGTTCAAGTGATTCTCCTACCTCAGCCTCCTGAGTAGCTGGGATTACAGGCGCGTGCCACCACACCCGGCTACTTTTTGTATTTTTAATAGAGACAGGGTTTCACCGTGTTGGTCAGGCTGGTCTTGAACTCCTGACCTCATGATTCGCCCACCTCAGCCTCCCAAAATGCTGGGATTACAGGCATGAGCCACCGTGCCCAGCCCAATCCTCAGTCTTAATAACTGATAGAACAAACAGAAAATCAGCAAAGATATAGAAGGCTAAACGATACTGTCAGCCACCTTGACACCTATAGGAAACTCCATCCAACAATAGCACAATACACATTCTTGTCAAATACTCCCAGAACATTCTCCAAAACAGACCATTATTAGGTCATAAAACAAGTCTCAATGAATTTAAAAGGACTGAAATCATACCAGGTATGTTCTCTACCCACAATAGAATTAAATTAGAAATCAACAATAGACAATTTGGGGAATCTACAAATATTTGCAAATTAAACAACGCATAGGTAAATAATCCATGGGTCATAGACTAAATCACAAGGGAAACTAGGAAATGTTTTGAACTGAAAGGAAACAAAGATGTGATATATCAAAATGTATGAGAGGCAGCTAAAACTGTGATTAGAGGGAAGTGCCAAGCTTTAGATGTCTATATTAGAAAAGAATATAGGTCAAATCAATAACCTAAGTTTCTACCTTAAGAAACTAGGAGCCGGGCATGCTGGCTCATGCTTGTAATCCCAGCACTTTGGGAGGCTGAGGTGGGCAGATCAGTTGAGGTCAGGAGTTCGAGACCAGCCTGGCCAACATGGTGAAACCCCGTCTCTACTAAAAATACAAAAATTAGCCAGATGTGGTGGCATGCACCTGTAATCCCAGCTACTCGGGAGGCTGAGGCAGGAGAATCACTTGAACCTGGGAGGTGGAGGTTGCAGTGAGCTGAGATTGCACCACTGCACTCCAGCCTGGGCAATAGAGCAAGACTCCATCTCAAAAAAAAAAAAAAAAAAGAAAAGAAAAGAAAAGAAAGAAAAAGAAAAACTAGGAAAAGAAGAACAAACTAAACCCAAAGGAAGCAGGAGGAAGGGTATAATGATGATTAGGTAGAAATCAATAAAATACAAAGTAGAAAAATAGAGAAAAATCAATGAAACCAACAGTTGGTTCTTTGAAAAGATATTAAAATTTGGGCCAGGTGTGGTGGCTCACGCCTGTAATTCCAGCACTTTGGGAGGCCAAGGTGGGCAGATCAGTTAAGGTCAGGAGTTCAAGACCAAGGTTTCACTCTTGTTGCCTAGGCTGGAGTGCAATGGCATGATCTCGGCTCACTGCAACCTCTGCCTCCCAGATTCAAGTGATTCTCCTGCCTCAGCTGCTCAAGTAGCTGGGGTTACAGGTGCCCACCACTATGCCTGGCTAATTTTTTTGTATTTTTAGTAGAGAGAGGGTTTCACCATATTGGCCATGCTGGTCTTGAACTCCTGACCTCAGGTGATCTACCCACCTCGGCCTCCCAAAGTGCTGGGATTACAGGCATGAGCCACCGCACCCGGCCTTTAAAAAAATTTTTTAGTGATTGTTCTAGGAATTAGAATATGCATCTTTATTTGTCACGATCTACTTCTTTCTTTTTTTTTTTTTGAGACAGGGTCTTGCTCTGCCACCCAGGCTGGACTGCAATGGCGCAAGTGTGGCTCACTGTTGCCTCCACCTCCTAGGCTCAAGTGATCCCCCCAACTCAACCTCCTGAGTAGCTGGGACCACAGGCACACGCCAACACACCTGGCTAATTTTTTTTTTTTTTTTTTTGAGATGGAGTCTCACTCTGTCGCCCAGGCTGGAGTGCAGTGGCACGACCTTGGGCACTGCAAGCTCCACCTCCCGGGTTCATGTCATTCTCCTGCCTCAGCCTCCTGAGTAGCTGGGACTACAGGCACCACCACCACACCCAGCTAATTTTTTTTTTTTTTGTATTTTTAGTAGAGACGGGGTTTCACCGTGTTAGCCAGGACAGTCTCGAACTCCTGACCTTGTGATCTACCCGCCTCGGCCTCCCAAAGTGTTGGGATTATAGGCGTGAGCCACTGTGCTGGGCCAATTTTTACATTTTTTATAGAGATGGTGTCTCATCATGTTGCCCAGGCTGGCCTCTAACTCCTGGGCTCAAACAGTCCACCCATCTCGGCCTCCTAAAGTGCTGAGATTACAGGTGTGAGCCACCATGCCTGGCCACAATCTACTGATTGATATAAACTTAATTTAGGTGAAATATAGACACTTCTGTCCAATATAACTCCATATCCCCCCTTCTCATGCTGTTATATTACATTCATATATGTTACAGATCCAACAAGACAGTGTTACAATTATTGCTTTATATGCTCTTATGGCTTTTAAAGAAGTTATGAGAAAAAGTGAGAAACATATGTATAGAGTCCTTTATATTAACCAATATATTTACTATTTCTGATGTTCTACATTCCTCTCTGTAGATTTGAGTAACTCTAAAATCACTTTCCATCAGCCTGAAAAACTTCCTTCAGTATTTCTTGTAAGGCAAGCTGGCAACAACAAATTTTTTCAGTCTTTGTTTATCAACTGTCTTTATTTCACCTTCACATTTAAAGGCTATAAGGCTATTTTTGCTGGATATAAAATTTTTAGTTGGCAGATTTTTTTTTTCCTTTAAACACTTTGATCCCTGCTTTCTTAGTCTCTGTTGTTTCTGATAAAAAGTCATCTGTTAATTTGATTGTGGTTTCTTTGTAAATGATGATCCACTTTTCTCTGCTGCTTACAAGATTTTCTCTTTGTGTTTGCCTTTCAACAGTTTAACCTTGGTGTTTCTAGGTATGGACCTCTTTGTGTTTATGGTACTTGGAGTTCTTTTGATCTTCTTGGATGTGTAGATTTGTTTTTCCTCAAATTTATAAAGTTTTCAGCCATTTTTTTCTGTCCCTTTCTCTTTCTCTTCTTTTTCTGGGACTCTCCTTATACATATGTTAGTATGTTTGGTGGTATCTCTCAAATCTCTGAGGCTTGTTCATTTTTCTTCATTCTTTTTCTTTTCTTTTCTTCAAATTGTATAATCTCTATTGATCTATCTATCTTCCAGTTTACTGATTCTTTTTCTGTAATCTGAAATTTGCTCTTGAGCCCCTCTAGTGAATTTTCATTTCAATTATTTTCTTTTCACTCCATAATTTGTTTTGTTTTATAATTTATTTTTATTGATATTCTATATTGTCACTGTTGCCATACTTTAATTTTTAAAATTTTGTTTTCTTTAGTTCTTTGAACATATTTACAACAGCTGCCTTGAAGTCTGTCTGCTAAGTCTAACATTTGGGCCCCTACAGAAAAAGTTTCCATTAACTGCACCTTTTTCTATATATGGGCCCCACTTTTTGTTTGTATGTCTTGCAATTTTTTGTTGAAAACTGAACATTTTAGATCAGAGGTCAACAATTTATTTCTATAAATGACTGGATAGAAAATATTTTAGGCTTTGTAGTCAATGTGGTCTCTATTGTAATGTGAAAGTAGCCATAGACAATATGTAAATGAATGAAAGTAGATGTCTTCCAATAAACCTTTATTTAAAAAACAAGCAGTAGGCCATAATTGGGCCATGAGTTGTAGTTTGCTGATCGCTGTTTTAAATAATGTATGATGGCAACTCCAGATTCTGATTTCCATCCCTACCTAAGGATTTTTGATATTGCTGCTGTTTGTTGGTTTATTTGTTTAGTGAGTTAACGGGGTTGATTCTGTAGTCTTTCTTTCCTGTAGTGTGTAGCTACTGACATCTTTTCTTAATTTTTTCCTTTCTAATTCTTGTTTTTATTTTATTTTACTTCATTTTATTTTATTTTTTATGAGATGGGGTCTCACTATGTTGTGCAGGCTGGACTTGAATTTCTGCGCTGAAGCAGTTGTCCCTCCTCAGCCTCTTGAGTAGCTGGGACTACAGATGTGTGCTGCTGTGCCCAATTTGGTTTTATTTTTAAATCTCTTTCCTAGGAATTGCCCCTGGGTCAACATAGCTAGTGGTCAGCTAATAACTGGGAAGAGATTGTACTTAAACATCTTGAGCCTAGTAAGGCTCTACTGTTTGCTAATTAATCTGTGTATAGTTTGGGGAACACCTTTAAAGTTCAGTCAAGGCCATGTGGCTATGGCTTATGCCTATAATCCCAGTGCTTTAGGAGGCCATGACAGGAAGACTGCATGATACCAACAGCTTGAGGCCAGCCCAGGTAACACAGCAAGGCCCTGTCTTCGCAAGAAATTTTTAAAAAATTAGCTGGGCATGGTGGTGCATGCCTGTGGTCCTAACTGTGGGAGGATTGCTGGAGCCTAGGAGTTCAAGGTTATAGTGAGCTGTAATTGTGCCACTGTGCTCCAGCCTGAGCAACCATGTGAGACCCTACCTCTAAAAAAACAAGAACAAAGAAATAGAGTTCAGTCAAGTCTGCCCCAATTTTATTTCTATGTATGCAAGGCTTCACATTCAGCCATTGAAATCTGTAGCCCACTGTGGTCTCTCCTGGGCATGTGCATAACCGTGCCCTTGTACACAGCCTTCCAGACCACCAAGGGTATCAGGTTCCACTATGGCTGTCTTTTTCCCTAGATCTGCCTATTAAATTTCTGGCTGGTCTGTTACTTTTCCCAACCAAAACTACAGTTTCAGCCAGCAATGATATTGACTTTCCCTGATCATTTACTACCAAGATCACATGTTTCTGACAATGTCCTATGCACCAAATTACATTGCAGAGCTGCTGATTTTCATGGATTTTACTGTCCTGATAGAACTACTATGTTGGAGCTGGGGGTAGGGAGTGTAGGGATTGCAAAAACTCAAAATACCATAGATTCATATTTTTCTTACCAAGGTTCAATAGTTTGATTTTTTTCCTTTATAAATGCTTTTTAATTTGTCATGTGCCTCTGGTTAGTTAGTTAGTTTGTTTGTTTGAGATGGTGTCGTGCTCTGTTGCCCAGGCTGGAGTGCAGTGGCGCAATCTCTGCTTACTGTAACCTCTGCCTCCCGGGTTCAAGTGATTCTCCTGCCTCAGCCTCCAGAGTAGCTGGGATTACAGGCATGCACCACCACACCTGGCTAGTTTTTAAAAAAAAAAATTTTTTTTGTATTTTTTGTAGAGATGGGCTTCGCCATGTTGGCCAGGCTGGTCTTGAACTGCTGACCTCAGGTGATCCACCCGCCTTGGCCTCCCAAAGTGCTGGGATTACAAGGCATGAGCCACCGAGCCCAGTCTCAGTTTTCAAAATCCTGAAATGATTGTTTTAACAGTTTTGTACAGATGTTCTTTGACCTAGGAAGGAGTTATATCCTGATAAACTCATTTTAAGTTGAAAATATTGTAAGTCAAAAATGCATTTAATACACCTATCTGAAAACATCGTATCTTAGCATAGCCTACCTTAAACATGTTCAGAACACTCACATTAGCCTAAAGTTGGGCAAAATCATCTAACACAAAGCCTATTTTATAATAAAGTGTTGAATATCTCATGTAATTTATTGAATGCTGTACTGAAAGTGAAAAACAGAATGGTTGTGTGGGTATTCAACATATGGTTTCCACTGAATGTATATTGCTTTTGCACCATCATAAAGTTGAAAAAACCGAAGTCAAATCTTTATAAGTCAGAGACTACCTGTACAGTTTTATTGCGGCTTTATGTTAAACGATTTGCCAGCCTCCTCACTATGCCATTCTGGAAGTGTTCCTTGTGTAGAGTTTTAGTGACCTAAAAAAGGTCACAGTATTTCCCGACAGATCCAGCAGTTTTCAAAAATTAATATATTCCAATTCCTGTTCCCTTCCAATTTTATATTCCTCCTAACCTTTTTTGTGATATAATTCTGGACTCTCTTAAGGCTTACTTTTATATATTCTTTTAGGATAAAGCTTATATTTATTCCTTCCATCAATATTTATTTATTTGTTCCATGGACATTTATTAAACCTCTTCTGTGCATTGATACTGGAATGTATTTCCACTCCAGGAAGCTCTAGCAAGTAGAGTAGGTAGCCAGATCTCCAGGGTTAGTATTATACCAGTTCTAGAGAAAATTTTATATCTCCTAGCTTATACTAAGTTTACCTAATTATAATTATGGGTATACTCTATTTAATAAATGTAAGTTATACTGTGATTATATTACTGTTTGCATTCAAGTATTTATATCCCTCAGTTTTGTGACTTCTTTTTCCAGTCATATACCATACCCTCCACATTTTTTTTCCAATTTCTAAAATTGTGGTAAAATACACATAAAATAGGCCGGTCATGGTGGTTCATACCTGTAATTCGAGCACCTTGGGAGCCAGAGATGGGAGGATCTCTTGAGGCCAGAAGTTCAAGACCAGCCTGGTCAACATAGCGGAACCCCCATCTCTAAAAGAATAAACCTTTCTTTAACAAAAAATAAAAATAAAAAATAAAAAAACACACAAAATAAAATATAGTTTTCTAAGCATTTTTAAGTGTATACTTCAGTGGTATTAAATATATTCAAAATGTGCAACTATCACCACCATCCATCTCTATACTTCTTTTCATCTTGTAAAACTGAAACTCTGTATTCGTTAAACAATAATTGTCTATTCTTCCCTACTCCCAGCCCCTGGAAGCCACCAATCTGTCTTCTGTCTCTATTATTTTGACTACTGTAAGTACCTCATATAAGTGGACTCATACAGTATTTTTCTTCTCGTGACTGGCTTATTTCATTTAGTATAATGTCGTAAAGTTTCATCCATGTTGTAGTATATTGCGGAATGTCCATCCATTTTTTTTAAAATTTTTTTTATACTTTAAGTTCTAGGGTACATGTGCACAACGTGCAGGTTTGTTACATATGTATACATGTGCCATGTTGGTGTGCTGCACCCATTAACTCGTCATTTACATTAGGTATATCTCCTAATGCTATCCCTCCCACCCCCCTACCCCACAACAGGCCCTGGTGTGTGATGTTCCCCTTCCTGTGTCCAAGTGTTCTCATTGTTCACTTCCCACCTATGAGTGAGAACATGCGGTGTTTGGTTTTTTGTCTTTGTGATAGTTTGCTGAGAATGATGGTTTCCAGCTTCATCCGTGTCCCTACAAAGGACATGAACTCATCCTTTTTTATGGCTGCATAGTATTCCATGGTATATATGTGCCACATTTTCTTAATCCAGTCTATCATTGATGGACATTTGGGTTGGTTCCAAGTCTTTGCTATTGTGAATAGTGCCGCAATAAACATACGTGTGCATGTGTCTTTATAGCAGCATGATTTATAATCCTTTGGGTATATACCCAGAAATGGGATCACTGGGTCAAATGGTATTTCTAGTTCTGGATCCTTGAGGAATTGCCACACTCTCTTCCACAATGTTTGAACTAGTTTACAGTCCCACCAACAGTGTAAAAGTGTTCCTATTTCTCCACATCCTCTCCAGCACCTGTTGTTTCCTGACTTTTTAATGACCGCCATTCTAATTGGTGTGAGATGGTATCTCATTGTGGTTTTGATTTGCATTTCTCTGATGGCCAGTGATGGTGAGCATTTTTTGATGTGTCTGTTGGCTGCATAAATGTCTTCTTTTGAGAAGTGTCTGTTCATATCCTTTGCCCACTTTTTGATGGGGTTGTTTGTTTTTTTCTTGTAAATTTGTTGGAGTTCATTGTAGATTCTGGATATTAGCCCTTTGTCAGATGAGTAGGTTGCAAAAATTTTCTCCCATTTTGTAGGTTGCCTGTTCACTCTGATGGTAGTTTCTTTTGCTGTGCAGAAGCTCTTTAGTTTAATTAGATCCCATTTGTCAATTTTCGCTTTTGTTGCCATTGCTTTTGGTGTTTTAGATATGAAGTCCTTGCCTATGCCTATGTCCTGAATGGTATTGCCTAAGTTTTCTTCTAGGGTTTTTATGGTTTTAGGTCGAACATTTAAGTCTTTAATCCATCTTGAATTAATTTTTGTATAAGGTGTAAGGAAGGGATCCAGTTTCAGCTTTCTACATATGGCTAGCAAGTTTTCCCAGCACCATTTATTAAATAGGGAATCCTTTCCCCATTTCTTGTTTTTGTCAGGTTCGTCAAAGATCAGATGGTTGTAGATGTCTGGTATTATTTCTGAGGGCTCTGTTCTGTTCCATTGGTCTAGATCTCTGTTTTGGTACCAGTACCATGCTGTTTTGGTTACTGTAGCCTTGTAGTATAGTTTGAAGTCAGGTAGCATGATGCCTCCAGCTTTGTTCTTTTGGCTTAGGATTGACTTGGCAATGTGGGCTCTTTTTTGGTTCCATATGAACTTTACAGTAGTTTTTTCCAATTCTGTGAAGAAAGTCGTTGGTAGCTTCATGGGGATGGCATTGAATCTATAAATTACCTTGGGTAGTATGGCCATTTTCACAATATTGATTCTTCCTATCCATGAGCATGGAATGTTCTTCCATTTGTTTGTGTCCTCTTTTGTTTCGTTGAGCAACGGTTTGTAGTTCTCCTTGAAGAGGTCCTTCACATCCCTTGTAAGTTGGATTACTAGGTATTTTATTCTCTTTGAAGCAGTTGTGAATGGGAGTTCACTCATGATTTGGCTCTCTGTTTGTCTGTTATTGGTGTATAAGAATGCTGTGATTTTTGCACATTGATTTTGTATCCTGAGACTTTGCTGAAGTTGCTTATCAGCTTAAGGAGATTTTGGGCTGAGACGATGGGGTTTTCTAAACATACAATCATGTCATCTGCAAACAGGGACAATTTGACTTCTTCTTTTCCTAATTGAATACCATTTATTTCTTTCTCCTGCCTGATTGCCCTGGCCAGAACTTTCAACACTATGTTGAATAGGAGTGGTGAGAGAGGGCATCCCTGTCTTGTGCCGGTTTTCAAAGGGAATGCTTCCAGTTTTTGCCCATTCAGTATGATATTGGCTGTGGGTTTGTCATAAGTAGCTCTTATTATTTTGAGATACGTCCCATCAATACCTAATTTATTGAGAGTTTTTAGCATGAAAGGCTGTTGAATTTTGTCAAAGGCCTTTTCTGCATCTATTGAGATAGTCATGTGGTTTTTGTCTTTGGTTCTGTTTATATGCTGGATTATGTTTATTGATTTGCGTATGTTGAACCAGCCTTGCATCCCAGGGATGAAGCCCACTTGATCATGGTGGATAAGCTTTTCGATGTGCTGCTGGATTCGGTTTGCCAGTATTTTACTGAGGATTTTTGCATTGATGTTCACTAGGGATATTGGTCTAAAATTCTCTTTTTTTGTTGTGTCTCTGCCAGGCTTTGGTATCAGAATGATGCTGGCCTCATAAAATGGGTTAGGGAGGATTCCCTCTTTTTCTATTGATTGGAATAGTTTCAGAAGGAATGGTACCAGCTCCTCCTTGTACCTCTGGTAGAATTCGACTGTGAATCCATTTGGTCCTGGACTTTTTTTGGTTGGTAAGCTATTAATTATTGCCTCAATTTCAGAGCCTGTTATTGGTCTATTCAGGGATTCAACTTCTTCCTAGTTTAGTCTTGGGAGGGTGTATGTGTCCAGAAATTTATCCATTTCTTCTAGATTTTCTAGTTTATTTGCGTAGAGGTGTTTATAGTATTCTCTGATGGTAGTTTGTATTTCTGTGGGATCGGTGGTGATATCCCCTTTATCATTTTTTATTGTGTCTATTTGATTCTTCTCTCTTGTCTTCTTTATTAGTCTTGCTAGTGGTCTATCAATTTTGTTGATCTTTTCAAAAAACCAGCTCCTGGATTCATTGATTTTTTGAAGGTTTTTTTGTGTCTCTGTCGCCTTCAGTTCTGCTCTGATCTTAGTTATTTCTTGCCTTCTGCTAGCTTTTGAATGTGTTTGCTCTTGCTTTTCTAGTTCTTTTAATTGTGATGTTAGGGTTTTAGATCAATTTTAGATCTTTCCTGCTTTCTCTTGTGGGCATTTAGTGCTATAAGTTTCCCTCTGCACACTGCTTTAAATGTGTCCCAGAGACTCTGGTATGTTGTGTCTTTGTTCTCATTGGTTTCAAAGAACATCTTTATTTCTGCCTTCATTTCATTATGTACCCAGTAGTCCTTCAGGAGCAGGTTGTTCAGTTTCCATGTAGTTGAACAGTTTTGAGTGAGTTTCTTAATCCTGAGTTGTAGTTTGATTGCTCTGTCGTCTGAGAGACAGTTTGTTACAATTTCTGTTCTTTTACATTTGCTGAGGAGTGCTTTACTTCCAACTATGTGGTCAATTTTCGAATAAGTGCGGTGTGGTGCTGAGAAGAAAGTATATTCTGTTGATTTGGGGTGGAGAGTTCTGTAGATGTCTATTAGGTCCGCTTGGTGCAGAGCTGAGTTCAATTCCTGGATATCCTTGTTAACTTTCTGTCCCGTTGATCTGTCTAATGTTGATAGTGGGGTGTTAAAGTCTCCCATTATTATTGTGTGGGAGTCTAAATTTCTTTGTAGGTCTCTAAGGACTTGTTTTATGAATCTGGGTGCTTCTGTATTGGGTGCATATATATTTAGGATAGTTAGCTCTTCTTGTTGAATTGATCCCTTTACCATTATGTAATGGCCTTCTTTGTCTCTTTTGATCTTTGTTGGTTTAAAGTATGTTTTATCAGAGACTAGGATTGCAACCCCTGCCTTTTTTTGTTCTCCATTTGCTTGGTAGATCTTCCTCCATCCCTTTATGTTGAGCCTATGTGTGTCTCTGCATGTGAGATGGGTCTCCTGAATACAGCACACTGATGGGTCTTGACTCTTTATCCAATTTACTAGTCTGTGTCTTTTAATTGGCACATTTAGCCCATTTACATTTAAAGTTAATATTGTTATGTGTGAATTTGATCCTGCCATTATGATGTTAGCTGGTTATTTTGCCTGTTAGTTGATGCAGTTTCCTCGTAGCATTGATGGTCTTTACAATTTGGCATGTTTTTGCAGTGGCTGGTACCGGTTGTTCCTTTCCATGTTTATTGCTTCCTTCAGGAGCTCTTGTAGGGCAGGCCTGGTGGTGACAAAATGTCTTAGCATTTGCTTGTCTGTAAAGAATTTTATTTCTCCTTCACTTATGAAGCTTAGTTGGCTGGATATGAAATTCTGGGTTGAAAATTCTTTTCTTTAAGAATGTTGAATATTGGCCCCCACTCTTTTCTGGCTTGTATAGTTTCTACCAAGAGATCCACTGTTAGTCTGATGGGCTTCACTTTGAGGGTAACCTGACCTTTCTTTCTGGCTGCCCTTAACATTTTTTCCTTCATTTCAACTTTGGTGAATCTGACAATTATGTGTCTTGGAGTTGCTCTTCTCGAGGAGTATCTTTGTGGTGTTCTCTGTATTTCCTGAATTTGAATGTTGGCCTGCCTTGCTAGGTTGGGGAAGTTCTCCTGGATAATATCCTGCAGAGTGTTTTCCAACTTGGTTCCATTCTCCCTGTCACTTTCAGGTACACCACTCAGATGTAGATTTGGTCTTTTCATGTAGTCTTATATTTCTTGAAGGCTTTGTTCATTTCTTTTTACTCTTTTTTCTCTAAACTTCTCTTCTCACTTCATTTCATTAATTTGATCTTCAATCACTGATACCCTTTCTTCCAGTTGACTGAATTGGCTACTGAAGCTTGTGCATTCATCACGTAGTTCTCATGCCATGGTTTTCAGCTCCATCAGGTCATTTAAGGACTTCTCTACACTGGTTATTCTAGTTAGCCATTCGTCTAATCTTTTTTCAAGGTTTTTAGCTTCTTCTCGATGGGTTCAAACTTCCTCCTTTAGCTCAGAGAAGTTTGATCATCTGAAGCCTTCTTCTCTCAACTTGTCAAAGTCATTCTCCATCCAGCTTGTTCTGTTGCTGGCGAGGAGCTTCGTTCCTTTGGAGGGGGAGATGTGCTCTGATTTTTAGAATTTTCAGCTTTTCTGCTCTGTTTTTTCCCCATCTTTGTGGTTTTATCTACCTTTGGTCTTTGATGATGGTGACGTACATATGGGGTTTTGGTGTGGATGTCCTTTCTGTTTGTTAGTTTTCCTTCTAACAGTCAGGACCCTCAGCTGCAGGTCTGTTGGAGTTTGCTGGAGGTCCACTCCAGACCCTGTTTGCCTGGGTATCAGCAGTGGAGGCTGCAGAACAGTGAATATTGCTGAACAGCAAATGTTGCTGCCTGATCGTTCCCCTGGAAGTTTTGTCTCAGAGGAGTACCCAGCCGTGTGAGGTGTCAGTCCGCCCCTACTGGGGGGTGCCTCCCAGTTAGGCTACTCGGGGGTCAGGGATCCACTTGAGGAGGCAGTCTGTCCATTGTCAGATCTCAAATTCCGTGCTTGGAGAACCACTACTCTCTTCAAAGCTGCCAGACAGGGACATTTAAGTCTGCAGAGGTTTCTGCTGCCTTTTGTTTGGCTATGCCTTGCCCCCAGAGGTGGAGTCTACAGAGGCAGGCAGGCCTCCTTGAGCTGCGGTGGACTCCACCCAGTTTGAGCTTCCTGGCCGCTTTGTTTACCTACTCAAGCCTCAGCAATGGCAGGTGCCCCTCCCTGAGCCTCGCTGCCACCTTGCAGTTTGATCTCAGACTGCTGTGCTAGCAATGAGCCAGGCTCCATGGACATGGGACCCTCCGAGCCATGTGCGGGATATAATCTCCTGTTGTGCCGTTTGCTAAGACCATTGGAAAAGTGCAGTATTAGGGTGGGAGTGACCTGATTTTCCAGGTGCTGTCTGTCACAGCTTCCCTTGGCTAGGAAAGGGAATTCCCTGACCCTTGCGTTTCCCGGGTGAGGCGATGCCTCGCCCTGCTTTGGCTCATGTTCATTGGGCTGCACCCACTGTACTGCACCCACTGTCTGACAAGCCCCATTGAGATGAACCCGGTACCTCAGTTGGAAATGCAGAAATCACCCGTCTTCTGTGTCCCTCATGCTGGGAGCTGTAGACTGGAGCTGTTCCTATTCGGCCATCTTGGAACCACCTGTCCATCCTTTTTAAGGCTGAATAATATTCTGTTGTATGCACATACCACATTTGCTTATCCATTCATCCATTGATGGACATTTTTGTTGCTTCCACATTTTAGCTATTGCAAATAATGCTGCTATGAACATGGGTTTATAAATATCTCTTTGAGACCCTGGTTTCAATTTTTTGGGTATATACCCATGGTTGAATTGCTGGAACATATGGTAATTCTATTTATAACTTTTTGCAGAATCACCATACTGTTTTCCACAATGACTATACCACTTTATATTCCCACCAAGAGTGTACAAGTGTTCCAGTTTCTCCATATCCTCACCAACATTTGTTACTTTTATTTTGCCTTTGTTTTCCTTAATGGTAGCCATCCTAATAGGTATGAGGTGGCATCTCATTGTAGCTTTGATTTGCATTTCCGTAATGATTAGTGATGTTGAGCATCTTTTCATATTGTTATTGGCTGTTTTTGTATCTTATTTTGAGAAATGTCTATTCAAGTTCTCTGCCCATTTTCGAATTATGTTGTTTTTTGTTGTCGAGTTTTAGGAGTTCTCTACATATTCTGGATGTTAATCCCTTATCAGATATATGATTTGGAAATATCTCTCATTCTGTGGGTTGCATTTTTACTCTGTTGACAGTTTCCTTTGGTGCCCCCAAATTTTTAATTTTAATGCAGTGCAATATATCAATTTTTTCTTTTGCTGCCTGTGCCTTTGTGTCATATCCCAGAAATGATTGCCAATTCAACGTTTTGAAGCTTTGGCCTTATGTTTTCTTCTAAGAATTTTATTGTTTTAGGTCTTGCATTTAAGTCTTTGATTCATTTTGAGTTAATTTTTGTATAGGCGTTAGGTAAGGGTCCAAGTTCATTCTTGCAACAATGGCCACCAGCCTCTTTCTCTGCACATCTATGATCAGAAGCAGCAATCAGCAGACAGAGCACAGATCACTGACATTTGAAGGACAAGATCCTTTTTGCCCATCCTGGCTCCAGCAAGCTGTTTCAGGAAATGTGTACAGCTGCCTGCCATGGGGGTGGTCATGGGTAGCGTCCACTACACTAAGAGCCGAAATTGACCAAAATTAACCACAATTTAGGTCCAAGCCTTTTCCTGGAAGTCACAAACCTTCAATAGACTCTAGAGTTCCAAAATAATTACATCAGACAGATGCTGCTGTGCAAATGTTGTCTAGCTGGGGAGAGACATTCCAGCAGCTTCCTACTCCACCAGAATGCTGTCTCCTTCTCCACATTTTGTGCAGAGAACATAACTGGCCTCCACACAAAGTTTATTTTTTTCTCCCCATCCCCAGTAGTAACGAAGGCTAAGATGTTCCATTTGGGAGGGAGGGGCAGATTGGGTGTATACTGGAAGTCACAGATGGTGGTTGTGGATCATGGGGAGGGACCTCAGGGTTGAGGTGGCTCAAATTGTTATCTGAGGTGCCTTGGCTAAAGGATATTATAGCAGGTAGAGAGGTATGTCACCTTTTATATTACTTTATTCCTTTGATTAGGGAAGTTTTGCTCCCCTTTGTGACCAGGCAAGACTGGGCATAAGGTATGTGGGGCAGAGGATCCTTCTAGTATGAGAAAGAAGAAAGAGAAGATGTGTGGTTAGGATTGGAGCTGAATAGAACATGTGGCTGGTGGAGAGAGAAAAGGTATGGAAGGGCTGAGTAGACTTTATGCAAGACAGATTTATTTGGTTGACAGTAGATATTATCAGTTAACACATATATTATCATCCTTTTTGCAGTTAAGTAAAGTAAAATAAGGTGAGGTAGGAGGATTATTTTAGTAAAGATAGTAGAGGGATTTTCAAATCCATTTTCTGTTATACAGTGGGGAGAGAGGGAAAATACTAGCAAATGTTTCAGGCAAATTGATTCTAAACCTGGTTCTCTGACTAACTTAATCTTTGACTACAACCAAATTGTTTAACCTGCCTAAGCATTATTGCTAGCACTTGTGAAATGAGAAGTTAGAAAAAAATGAAGATAATGCAAAATATTTTGAAAAATTATTTGCTATATAAATGTAAGAAAGCTTTATCATTCTATAATGCCAAAATATTAAGAGCTGCTGCAAAATGAAAATTTATTGTAAGATAAATCTTCACAGGCCGGGCGTGGTGGCTCACCGTGCTGTAATCCCAGCACTTTGGGAGGCCGAGGTAGATGGATCACCTGAGGTTGGGAGTTCAAAACCAGCCTGACCAACATGGAGAAACCCCATCTCTACTAAAAATACAAAATTAGCCGGGTGTGGTGGCACATGCCTGTAGTCCCAGCTACTTGGGAGGCTGAGGCAGGAGAATCGCTTGAACCCGGTAGGTGGAGGTTGCAGTGAGCCAAGATTGCACCATTGCACTCCAGCCTGGGCAACAAGAGTGAAACTCTGTCTACACCCCTGCCAAAAAAAAAGATAAATCTTCACCAAAATCATGATGAAAATTAATGGAACGGTAAGATTTAATTTACTGCAAAAATCCAACAGACATGTATTGAGTACATGTTTGTTGAGCCGTGATGTTCATGTATGTTAAAAGTGACGGACAGACCACTGATTTAATTGTCATAAATCCTACAGGTACTATCATCTAAAATTTCTCGGTGCCCTTTTCTGCTTGTTGTGTCTATGATGCTAGTTTAACTCAGTACATTTGCTTTATAAAAAGCCAGAGAAAGATGATAGTCTGTTTATCTAGGTTCTCCAAAGCATTTCCTGCCAGGCAGTTGACATGTAGCCTTGGCACAATTTCAGGAAACTGTTTGCTTCTGTTTACCCTTTCCAGATACAGCATCTCCTAAGAATTGAGGTGAGGAATCTCCTTTAACTTTTTTACATTTTAGAAGTATACTTTATTCTAACACTTTAGAATGCTCTTCATGTAAGAGCAATGAAAATCTTTGTGTCTTTAAATTAAAAAGGATATGTTTTAGTGCTTCACTAGTAGAAAAGGCAAAGCCTTAAAGCAAGTTAACCTAATAAGATGTACTCAGAAGAATATTTCTAGGCTGGGCGTGGTGGCTCACGCCTGTAATCCCAGCACTTTGGGAGGCTGAGGTGGGAGGATTGCTTGACCCCAGGAGTTTGACACCAGCCTGGACAACATGGTGAGACCTTGTCTCTACAAAAAAATTTTAAAAATTAGCCTGATGTGGACCTGTAGTCTTAGCTACATGGGAGGCTGAGGCAGGAGGATCACTTGAACCTGGGAGGTCGAGGCTGCAATGAACCATGATTGTACCACTGCACTCCAGCCTGGGTGACAGAGCTGAAACTCTGTTCTCCCCCCGAAAAAAGTTAGAAAAAAAAAGAATATTCCTTTCCTGGAATATTGTTCACATTAGTCTCTCTTTCAGAAAATTCAATGTAATTATAGCTGAACATACAAAACTTATTAATTATGGGATAGTTGTCACCATTTCCAAAATCCTTCTTTACTATGAAAAAGAACCCACCACTGAATTTCTTCAGAATGGTATGCTTTTCTTGATTCAATTATAATATTTTTCTTTTTATATAACATTTCAGAAATATTCAGTTAAGTGGCATAGACATTATATTTGAAAAATAAGTTACTCAACATTTTTATTCCTTATTGGGAGCCAATTTGTTTCTAAATGTTTTAAATACTCATTATGTAGTTAGAAATGCAGGAATGTATTATAGCTTTATTGCACTCCCAGAGTACATGTTAATTAAGTATGCATAAATATATCTTTGAGAGAATGTGGTGGCAAATGTATTAATTTAGAGATTGAAAGCTTGAGGTGTGGAAAGATATAATAACAATGCACATACTACAGTTAATTGTGAGCAAATTTATATCCTTTCTGCATATTGTTGTCACATAAACTAATCATCTCTTAATTACTTTGTCCTTCCAGAATGAATTAAAAAAGATTCTATAATTTTAGCCAGCACTAGAACTATAGGCAGCCGTGGGTGGGGAAGCAGGATAAGAAACTGTGATGAGACTGATATGCATGGCATGGGACAGGTGGCAAGAGAATAATTTAGTTTGTGATCAGGCCTAGGCCTGGGGTCAGGAACCAGATAAGCATTTCAGATTGGTAGCATATCTGTGACCCAAGATTACAACAAGGCCATGGATCAGAGCCAAATGGCCTCTGAATGGCAAGGATCATGGCAAGCAACAGGTCAGAGACAAAGCGGAGGAGGTTGTCACACAGGTACCAATGGGATTGGTAGATGGGGAAGAATGAGCAAATATCCAGAGTTGGGAGTCTCAAAGTTAAGTTCTGCCGTTAGAAAATGGCCCCTTAGTACTTCTGGACAACATAGATCTCTTCCCATCTTCCTTTCCTCTCTTTACAAGGTTTCAGACTTAGTTGGAAGACATGACTCTGGCTTTAACACACTGATATTGAAGACTTATGGGCTGAGATGAATGGCTCCCTGTTTAAGAGAATCAGAAGTCAACATAGCTTGCAGAGTAGGTCTAGAGAGTTCTGCCTTAAAGGGTGGAGTAATAAAGCCAAAGGATTCAGCAAACCAAGGGTCATCATTGGTACCATGCATGAAGAGTTATCTTCATCTTGTGAAATTGGTGACTTTGCTCCATTCTGTGACTTATCTCTGTTTTGAAACCATATTAACTCCTAGGCTGCCTGGTCCTGTAACCATCGATCACTGAATGACTGCCTTAACCCAATCCTGTAAACCTACCACAACTTAATTCTTAGAATTTCTAGCTGAATATACTAGAGGAAATAAAGAATAGGAAATCTAAATCAGATGTGGTGGCTCGTGCCTACACTCTCAGCTACTTGGGAGGCAGAGGTGGGAAGATTGCTTGAGCCCAGGAGTTTGAGGCTGCAGTGAGCTATGCTTGCACCACTGAACTCCAGCTTGGATGACAGATCCTGTCTCAAAAAAACAAAAAACAACAACAACAACAAAAAAACAAAGGAAGTCCGAAGAGGATTTTTTTTTTTTTTTCTGTTAGTAGACTAGTATTAGTATCCTTTTAGGGACTGACCCCATCCCCACCTTCACTGAATTGCCTGTCATGGAGAAAGCCCTTAATAAATGTTGGTTGAATCGTGAATTAGAGGGTCTTCAAGTGATCAAAGTAACTGAATGAAAGGAGTGAGAGAGCAACTTCTGACACAGGCATAGAGCCTGAATGCATTTTGAAGATGTGAGAGAGATGGAACTGTATCTCTATAGAGGAAAATCTAAGAAGTCAACTAAGATACAAAGAAATTACTGACCTAGCCAAGGCTATAGAACCATTGAGGGCAGTACTGGAAAGAATGGGGTGTCTTCATTTCTAGATTTCATGCTGTGCACACTAAACAAATGGTTTGTAAAGATTCAAAACATCGCTTAAGTCAGCCAAAAATGTTTTTCTATTAATCTAAAGTTTGAGTAAGTGAAATTTTGAAGACGATGGTATCTAATTGATAACTTCCTTACTCCTTAACCTGTAGATAATCTCCCTTTTTAAAGTGCTCATTACAGTAGTGATTATGTAGAGAAAAAGCTTCTGATGAAAATGTGGTATAAAATTGTATTCTTTGTTCAGCAAGTTAAAACAAGCTGGTCTGTAAGCAATTATTATCTTCATCAAATTTCCTAGCTCTAATGTTTTGGCTTCATAGGCCCAGCACGTATGCCTTCTCAAACAATTGGATGGTTTTAAAACACTTATGAGATGTTTGTGCTTATATCTTAACATAGCATCAGTTCAACAAGAAAAAGAAAAAGAAAATGTAAGATTTGGCATTAGGGCTTAGTTTGAAAAAGAAAATCAAACCAAACTAAAGAAAACAAAAAGCCCCTAATGACACTTAATCCCTGCATAGGAATGAACATTCTTCATTCAGCTTCATAATGCCCTTAGTAGCAGTGCTCTAGTTAAGAGTTCAGAAGTGTCTTTCTTTTCTTCACTCTTTAATCACTTGACATTTTTGGAAAAGAAATTTATCAGAATGCTTGTTGGCTAACCACTATTAATATTTTTATATGGGTCATATATTCTAAAGAGATCTCTTTTTGCCTTTTCTTTGGTTTTATTTGTAGTTATCCCAAATGAAAACAACAACAAAATGTGTTCTGTATTCTAAGAGCTGTTCAGGTACCCATCTGGGTGAGCAGATGATTTAAAACTGAATTAGCTTTTTGAATTCTGTGCAAGTAACTCTGTGCAAGTTACTATGAAGAATGCGCCTTTGTATAAGCTTGGGAATGTTTATTTTAAAAATAATATTTAAAAATTATTTGATTGATTGAGACAGACTCTCACTCTGTCGTCCAGGCTGGAGTGCAGTGGTGCAATCACAGCTTACTACAGTCTCAACCTTCTAGGCTCAAGAGATCCTTCCACCTCAGCCTCCCAAGTAGCTGGGATCACAGGCATGCACCACTATTCCTGGCTAATTTTTGTATTTTTTCTAGAGACAGGGCCCTGCTGTGTTGCCTAGGCTGATCTCCAACTGCTGGGCTCAAGCAGTCCACTCACCTTGGCCTCCCAAAGTGCTGGGATCACAGGCATGAACCACAGTGCCCAACCAAAAAATGATAATCTTTTAAAATTAAAAATAACCATAGATGCATTTTGAAACTTACATAATATTTTTCTAGTGGGTTAGGTTTCTGGTTACATTCTATGATTAATTAATTATTACATAGTCAAATATTTATACTGTATGTTCACCTGAAATTATTGTAATTCAACAGCTATTTATTGAGTAACAGCCATTTGCTAGAGGTTAAAGATGGAACTTATACTGATAGATAAATAACCCATGCTTTCAAGAGGCTCACAATCTGGCAGTCAGCAGATTGGCTCATGGTGAGCAATACTTATGAACAATGGTTATGGGCTATGAAGTGAGCCTTGGGTGCCAAGGGAGAGAGTAATCCATTCTCCCAAGGAGTAGGAAGAAGTCGGAGAAGGCTTTATTAAAAAGGTGACATTT
Organism: Homo sapiens; assembly: GCF_000001405.40. Classification (NCBI taxonomy): domain Eukaryota; kingdom Metazoa; phylum Chordata; class Mammalia; order Primates; family Hominidae; genus Homo; species Homo sapiens. The sequence goes on along the minus strand of NC_000011.10, from coordinate 8,882,296 downwards.
GAGTTGGGCCTATCAGAGATGTTACCTTTCATAATATTTTCTGGGAAATAACAAGTTGTTTATGAGATTGGAGCATAGGATGCCAGAAGCCAGCAATGTAATGTAAAGTTTGAGGTGTCTGGAACATCTAGGTGCAGATATCCACAAGGTAGTTGGAAGTTCAGGTCTAGAAATTAAAAGAGAGAAGTCGGAGCTAGAGATAATAGTTTGGCAATATCAGCTAAATTGAATTGAAACCATGCAAGTAGATAAGATGTCCAGGATGGGCTGTGTAGAAGAGAGCCAAGAAAAAAAAATCCAATTAAAGAGTATACAGAGAAGGAGATAGTAAATGAAGGCCAGTGAAAAAGAGTGGTCATAGAGACAGGAGTTGATAGAGATATTAAGAGAATAGAGAAGTTAAGTAAGAAGCTCAAGATGCTCTAGAGAAAAGGAACAACAAGAACAAGACTGGCCGGGCATGCTGGCTCACGCCTGTAATCCCAGCGCTTTGGGAGGCTGAGGTGGGTGGATCGGTCACTTGAGGTCAGAAGTGCAAGACCAGCCTGGCCAACGTGGTGAAATCCTGTCTCTACTAAAAATACAAAAAGTAGCCAGCCAACTGTGATGGCAGGCGCTTGTTAATCCCAGCTACTCAGGAGGCTGAGGCACAAGAATCACTTGAACCCAGGAGGCAGAGGTTGCAGTGGGCCGAGATCATGCCACTACACTCCAGCCTGGGTGACAGAGTGAGACTGTCTCAAAAACAAACAAACAAAAAGAACAAGACAGAGCATTTGGAAATTAAAAAATCATAGTTGAAATTTTAAAAATTGATAGAAGAATCAGAAGAAAAAATTTACAAAATTTCCCATACAGTAGAACAAAAAGACAGTAAGATGGACAATTAGGAGATCAACCAAAGAGGTCCAACATAGAAGTCACAGGAGTTGTAGAAAGAGAAATTTGAGAAAATATATGGGATGAAATTATTAAAGGAACAGTACAGGAACATTTACTGGAACTATAGAACATGAGCCTCCAGATTAAAAAGGCCCACAAGTGCCTTAGAACGATGTTTGAAAAAGTACCCATACTAAGGCACATCACTATGAATTTTCAGGAAAATATCCTACAAGCTTCCAAAGACATAAAAATATATACATTATATTTCCCAGCTGGTAAAAAAAAATTTACCTCCTCTGCAGCCTTTCACAGAAAACCACTGGAGGAGATACTCACAAAAATGAAGGGGAAGAACAGGAAACAGGAAGACATGAGATGAAGGAAACAGGAGATTCAACATGGGTAAGGGTCGTTCTTCAAAATAAGTAGAGTAAGCATGCTTCTGAGACAGGAGATGGGGGAATGAAGATACATTTGGACATGGTAAGGGAAAGTTGAGGGAATTTACATTTCTCCTTTCTCAGTGGTGAAGGCAAGGTTACCTCCTGAGAGTGAGTAGTTGGAAGTTTTGGGAAGAGACAGGCTTGGGACAGTTGCTGTGGGGAACAAGAAGAGGATCGAAATCACTAGGAATAAAAGGATTGTTGAGCAGTATTCAGTATTAGGAGGAGGTTTGTAGTGAAGCCTGTCAGTTTTATTTATTATTTTTTAGAGACGAAGTCTTGCTACCTCTAGGAGATAACATGCGTGACCATAGCCACTGTGACCTCGAACTCCTAGCTTCAAGCTATCCTCCTGCTTCAAGGCTTGTCAATTTTAGAAATGAAGATAGTTTTTCTGTCAGGCAGCTTTAGTGCTGTTTATTGGAGATCACTTTATCTTGAGATGCTCTGAAGATGCATTTTGCAACACAAACTGAATTATTGTCAGAAAATGATTTATTTCTTCACAGTATTGAAATCTCTATTCTGGAAAGCTGAGGCTCTTAGCAATTACATATAATAAATCACATTTGGTAGTAAAAACTACACACACACACACACACACACACACACACACACACACAGTTCAAAGTGACAGCTTCCAGTGCATCTGTAACCTAGGCTTTTTGAGCTCTTAAATATTTTGGCTCTTCAAGTCTTGATTAGTTGAAAGTTGACTGATGAGTACCTAGGAGGAAGGAATTAAGAAGAGCATAGAATGCCAATTATCCTAAAAGAAAAGGAAAAAGGAAGCAAAGAAGGAAAGGAGATGTAAGAGTTTGACCTTCTAGGAGACTGAAGATGGCTCTGTCCTTTGTCTGTGGTATGTCAACCATGTTCCCCAGCATAATGGAAATGTTGGGGTAGGCTGCTGCTTAGTTAGCAATAGAGTAGATGCATGAAAACTACCACCACCATTCTATTGGTACCTAAATGTTCAAAGTAATAACTCTGACTGTACAAATGTTAATGTGACTAACCTTTTCATAACTTACTATTTCAATCGAAACTCCCTAAGCATTTATCGTTCCATTATTTTATTAGAATGCTTATTTGAATTCACTAAGCATGTGAATTTGGTCATCTCTGACTGAAGTTGGTATCTCCTCCTTGCCTCTAACCTCTAGTCTAGAATTTCCCATAATTTTTTTTTCAATCATATGTACCTAGCATAGAGACTCTGATTCAGGATATCTGGAGATGTCTTGGACCAGAGCATTGCATTTTGAAAAGCTTCTCGGGTGATTTTTTTTTCTCCAGAGGACAAATATTTTATTCTTTAAAGAATTTATAAAGGAATTGGAAGATGACTACAGTTCTCTTTGGGTGATTTTTGACATGCACCAAAGGTTAAGAGCTACTTTTGTTTCTAGAGTTATTTTCCTCAAATGCACATCATGTCACTCTTCTCAAAAATATTGTCTCTCCACATCCTTCAGAATCAAATTCAAATTCCTTCATATTGCCTTCATATCCTTCCTAGATCTGATCCTGTATCAGTCAGGAGGAGCTAAGCTTATGCTGCAATAACAGCTTCTCACATTTCAGTGGCTTAAGACAATGAGGATATTTCATACATATCCAGCATGGCCAGCATGGATCAGTAGGGAGGTATTGGTTTATTCAGGGATCCGGTCCGCTACAGTCTCACATGGCTTTGGGTTTATGTGGCAGAGAAGAGAGGCATGGACATCTCTTACCCCTTCTTCAATGCTTTGGCCTGGAAGTGACATGTGTCACTTCTGCTCACAGCCTGTTGGCTAGACAAGGGTTGGACAGTCACATGGCCCTGCCTAACTGCACAGTGACTGGAACGGTAGACTTCTGTGGACTGGGAAGTATAACAGTGAGCATTAGTGAGTCTACCTTTTTAAAAAATGTTTGAGGTGAAATTTACACAACATAAAAACCATTTTAAAGTGTATAATTCAGTGACATTAATTATAGTCACAATATTGTGCAATCATCACTTCTAGTTCCAAAACATTTTCACCACTCTCAAGGAGCTCCCATACCCACTAAGCAGTTACCTCCCATTTCTTTCTCCCCCGGAGCCCTGGCAACCATTTATCTTCTGTCTCTGTGGATTGATGGAATCATACAATATGTGACTTTCTGGGTCTGGCTTCTTTCACTTAGCATAATGTTTTCAAGTCTCACTCACATTGCATGTATCAGAATGTTATTCCTTTTTATGGTCAAATAATATTCCACTGTATAGATACACCACATTTAAAAAATCCATTCATGGCTGGGCACGGTGGCTCACACCTGTAATCCCAGCACTTTGGGAGGCTGAGGCCACCTGAGGTCAGGATTTCAAGACCAGCTTGGCCAACATGGTGAAACCCCATCTCTACAAAAATACAAAAATTAGTTGGTCATGATGGCAGGTGCCTATAATCCCAGCTATTTGGGAGGCTGAGACAGGAGAACTGCTTGAACCCAGGAGGTGGAGGTTGCAGTGAGCTGAGATCGCGCCATTGCACTCCAGCCTGGACGACTGAGCGAGACTCTGTCTCCAAAAAAAAAAAAAAAATTCATTCAATTGTTGATGGACATGATTATTTCTACCTTTTGGTCCTGTATATAGTGCTGCTATGAACTTTTGTGTACAAGTAGTTGAACAATTGTTTTCAGTTCTTTTGGGTATATACCCAGGAGTGGAATTGCTGGTCACATGGTAATTCTATGTTTAACTTTTTGAGGAACCACCAAACTGATTCCCACTTAATTTACCTTTTTAACTTCCTACTTCAGTCAAATGAGGACCAGTCACTGTTCTTACAGCTGGTTTCTCATTTTCATGGCTTAGGCAATTCCTTTGGCTTAAAATTTTCTCCCCTTCTTTTCTAATGACTGAAATAGAAATTCTGACAATCATTGAAGGTTCAGTTCCAACCCTCTTTCTCTAAATTCTAGTAAGAATCTCTACTAGTTCTGCAAATTCCCATATTTCCTCCTCTTTATCTCTTGTATGCTATTATTTTTGAGTAGTTGTTTATTAATGCCTTTATCACTAGATTTTAAATTTGCTTACACAACTTATTACTTTTATTCCCCCCAGTGTCAAAAATAGTTTTGTGATGTTTAATAAATGCTTATTGAATGAATAAACAAATGAATAAGGAGCTACAGATACAATCGTGATTTTTTTGGGGGGGAACTATGGATTTCTGTTTTGCCAGTAAGATGGAGAATGACAAAATGATATTAAATTTCACAAGTCTGGTTTCAGGGATGCATGTTGGGTAAAATTCAGTGAATTCAGTGACAAATATAGATCATTATTTTATCTGGAGATAATTCATTAAATCTAAGACTGATACCATTAGAACAAAGATTGGTAACTAGTGTTTCAAATGAGTAAATTTTTAGACTTTAATTTCTTCCAATAAAAAATTATCTTCAGGCTGGTTCAAGTGCAGTGATGTTTACAACTAATTGATGACAACCAGTTACAGATTTCTTTGTTCCTTCTCTGCTCCCACTGCTTCATTTGACTAGTGTTTAAAAAAAAAAAAAGGCCGGGCACGATGGCTCACGCCTGTAATCCCAGCACTTTGGGAGGCCAAGGCGGGTGGATCACAAGGTCAGGAGATTGAGACCATCCTGGCTAACATGGTGAAACCCTGTTTCTACTAAAAATACAAAAAAAATTAGCTGGGCATGGTGGTGGGCACCTGTAGTCCCAGCTACTCGGGAGGCTAAGGCAGGAGAATGGCATGAACCCGGGAGGTGGAGCTTGCAGTGAGCCGAGATCGCACCACTGCACTCCAGCCTGGGCAACAGAGTGAGAGTCCGTCTCAAAAAAAAAAAAAAAAAAAAAGTATCTTCAAGCCCATGAGAGAAGGAAGAAGGATGACTTAGCAAGACAGAGGAGTGAGGGGACCATCCAGGTTGGATGAGCCTTTCTGAGCTTGTCTCCTGTCCGTCTAAAGGCCACCTGACATCTCCTCTCATTTACTCTCAGATCCAGCCTGCCCAGCATCAGCAGTCAAGCTGCCTTATTACTTTCTTTTCTTTTCTTTCTTTCTTTTTTTTTTTTTTTGAGACGGAATCTTGCTCTGTCGCCCAGGCTGATGTGCAGTGGCACAATCTTGGCTCACTGCAACCTCTGCCTCCGGAGTTCAAGCAATTCTCCCTGTCTTAGCTTCCCAAGTAGCTGGGATTACAGGTGCTCGCTACCATGCTTGGCTAATTTTTGTATTTTTTAGAAGAGACGGGGTTTCACCATGTTGGCCAGGCTGGTCTTGAACTCCTGACCTCAGGTGATAGGCCCACCTTGGCCTCCCAAAGTGCTGGGATTACAGGCATGAGCCCCTGTACTTTATCTAAATGAGTATTAGACAGCTTGCTATCTGGAACAAAACCCCAAACAACATAGCAGGATAAAATCAAATAAATGGATTGGAGTGAACCTTTTTGTGAGCTGATATAGAAAGAGAACTTTGATTGGATGTATCCTGTCTTCTGTACACTTAGTAGGGAGGGAACAAAAGGCACTGCATGGTATCCAAGGCAGGAAATATAATCTACTATAAAAAAGACATAAGTAACACAATTCAGTTTACTTATTCCTTATATATTTTAAGAAAATGAATAATTTATTTTTAATTTTATATTAAAACCTCAGTAATACTTGAAATCCAAATGAGATTTACCAGCTTGACAAGATTAAAGTATATATATGTACTTTAGTATAATATAGAGATGGGGTCTTGCTATGTTGCCCAGGCTGGTCTTGAACTCTTGGGCTCAAACGATCCTCCTGTCTCAGCCTATCAAAGTGCTAGGATTACAGGTATGAGCCACCATGCCCGGCCTATAGTATATCTTAATTCTTCTCTTAAGATCTTGATTAATAACCCTGTAACTTATGTTAATGATATTAACCAGGAGTACTACATTTATTTTTCTCCTTTAATTCTGTGTAGATCTAAATAAAATAATAAAGTGTTGAATATCTCATGTAATTTATTGAATACTGTACCGAAACTGAAAAACAGAATGCTGTATGGGGACTCAACGTATGCTTTCTACTGAAGGAATATTGGTTTTGCACCATGGTAAAGTCAAAAGATTGTAAGTTGAACCACCATATATTGGGGATCATTTATATATTTTTAAACTGTTTCTGAAGTTTTTACCTGGTGTATATCTTACCTACATATAAAAAATTTTTTTTAGGTCAAAATGTCAGCTAGGTGTGGTGGCTTATGTCTATAATCCCAGCACTTTGGGAGGCTGAAGTGGGAGGATCACTTGAAGCCAGGAGTTTGAGACCAGCCTGGGCAACACAGTGAGACTCCTATCTCTATAGAATAGAGATTTTTAAAAATCTCTATTTTAAAAGATTAGCCATGTGTTGTGGTATGTGCTTGTAGTCCCAGCCACTGGGGAGGCTAAGGTGGGAGGCTGCAGTGAGCTCTGATTGTGCCACTGCACTCCAGCCTGGGCAACAGAGACTCTTTCTCAAAAAAAATAAGAATAGTAAAATTAAAAAAAAAAATCACAGTGTCAAAAATTTTTGCATGCAAATTTTGGTTTCTGGGCTTCCTACTCAGTGCAATTTAGAAAATTTAGTAGTTTTTTTTTTTTTTCTTTGAGACTGAGTCTCACTCTGTAGCCCAGGCTGGAGTGCAGTGGCGCGATCTGGGCTCACTGCAAGCTCTGCCTCCTGGATTCACGCCATTCTCCTGCCTCAGCCTCCCAAGTAGCTGGGACTACAGGTGCCCACCACCACGCCCGGCTAATTTTTTGTATCTTTAGTAGAGACGAGGTTTCACCGTCTTAGCCAGGATGGTCTCCATCTCCTGACCTTGTGATCTGCCCTCCTCGGCCTCCCAAAGTGCTGGGATTACTGGCATGAGCCACGGCGCCCGGCCTAGAACACTTAAAGTCATCTAGGCTAACCACCTTTCCCAGTTGTCTGCTTTAGAGAAAACTGGTTGTTTGGATCATGAAGCATAAATAAGGCCCCACAGCCCCAATACCTTTTCTTTGAGACAGGGTCTCACTTTGCCGCCCAGGCTGAAGTGCAGTGGTGCAATCATAATTCACTGGAGCCAGGACCTCCTGGGCTCAAGCAATCCTCCCACCTCAATGTCTTGAGTAGCTGGGACTAGAGGTGTACATAAACCACCATGCTCAGCTAATTTTTTTTTTTTTTTAAAGACTGGGGTCTCACTATGTTGCTCAGGCTGGTCTCAAACTCGTGAGCTCAAGAGGTCCTCCTGCCTTGACTTCCCAAAATAATGGCATTATAGGAATGAGCCACTGAACCCAACCCTCACTGCCCCTTTAATGAATACATATAATATTACAGGCAGAGTACCTAGGAAGAAATCATTGTTTCGTGAGTGCTAGACCTGCAAACCTGAAAATCTTCCTAGAAAATCTTAACCCTTCTGTCCTTCAAAGGAAAAAACAAAACATGCCAAAGCAAAATCCATGAACCAGAAAACCCAGACAACTCACCATGCTTAAGTGCAGGATTTAAAATAGCAAAAGGAAGTAAAGCTCATCTTTGTGATGTCAAGTTCTATTTTGGTATATAACAAAGTAGTTGAATTATAAGGCTCTCAAGGTTAAAATATTAAACAGACCCTTAGCTACAAGATGTGTTGCCAGGCATCTGTATGGAATATAACCATGTAATCAGGGCATATTGTACTTCTCTGCACAAAGAGAACCAAAGCTACTGCTTCTAAAGATTAGGAAACTTTCATTAGACTGACAGAAGACCGTACAGAGGAAATGGCTTGCGGGTGGAGGAGACGTATGAGAGAGGATGAAAGGAACAGTATTCATAACTATCCAAATTAGAGCCAGGATGTTTATGCTCAAATCTTGTCTTGGCTCTGTGTTGATGGGACTGAATAATGGAACATGGGAAAGTATATCTCAGACCCCTAAATTAGGCAGTAAATTTACCAAATTCCTCCTACAAGCGCTTCCTATTTTCAGCAGTCTCTGCACATTTCTCAATATATGCTGTGATTAAAGTCCAAAGCTGGCTAATGCTAATGATCCCTTCCTCTTTTTTGTTGCTAGTATCCTTCCATGGCGATTTCATTCTGTTGTTTATAAGTCACATGTCTCTACAACAGGATTGTAACCTTATGAGGAGTGTTTTTATTTATCTTTCATTTATTCAGACAGCATATATTTACTGTGCGCTTATTTCATGCTGGGCACTGTGCTAGGCAGATAGGATGTAATTATTAGCAAGACAGGCTAGGTTGCTGTCCTCAAAGAGCTTGCCATCTCTTATACATAGTCGACCTTGTTTGTCAAGTGATGTGAACATTACGTTAACGCAAATTACTAAATTACTACTATTTAAAATATAGCATTAACACCATTTCTGATGTCAGTGTCTCTAATAAATATTTGGCCAGTATTAAGATGAACTAATAGTCACATATATGAAGTTTAGACTCAAGGCTATATTTAGACTATATTTAGACAATTTAAGGGATGTTAACTTTTCTTTCTGAGAGAGCAGATCTAATGAAGTTTTTTTCCTAAGAATTAAAACAGTTCCATGCATAACTTACAATGGAATTGGCCAACAAAAAGAACAAGTATTTATATCTAATTATTGCCCTCTTACATTGCTTCAGCACATATAAGAGGCAGCAGCAGCAGCTGCCAATGATGAAAATAATTATTGTCCTGGGTCTGATTAGAGAAAATCTTGATGCTGTCTGTTGAGTTGTCTTTCCTTAGAGATGTTACAAGAAAAACGGGACTTTAGTAGTAGAGGTTCTAATAGTTTTGAAAGTGGGAGACTTAAGAACCTCCTTACAGAGCTCAGAGAGCTGCAGGTAGAATTTACCTGGAGGCTGGCTAAATTCTGTGGCTTGCCTTTACATTCATGAGTTCTCTTGTTCCACGTTTGGGGCAGAACCATCCTAATTTGAGATTGGAGAGATTGGAAAAGACTGGAGAGGGCTAAGTTCATCCAAATATGGCCCAGGTCTCCTGAGGTGTTCAAGCACTTCAGTGAACTAGAGTAGAAACTCACTTAGATTGTGAGTTTGGAGAAAAACTTGTTCTGATTAAAGTAAAACTGTTCTGATTTTTGGAGTAAAACCTGTGCTGATTTTTGGCCTTTGTGTTTTCAATGTGCCTCAACAACAGCTGAAATCTTGGGCTTTCCTAATGTAGAAGCAACTCAACGAGGAATTGATTTATTTTTCATGCGCAGACTGCATCACACCGCATATAAGGCCTTCTGCTAGAAAGGCCAAACTGTCCTTTGGCCTCAGTATTTTGGAGACAAAGAGTTAATACTAGTAATTCCTGTGTAATATCCTTTTTTGGCAAAGGAACAGTAGACTTTATCAGTTTGGTTCTTGCCATTACTTGTGTTCGATCTTGACCAAGTTAAATTATTTCCAGGATGTATCTTTTTTTTTCTTTTTTTTTTTTTTTTTAGACGGAGTCTCACTCTGTTGCCCAGGCTGGAATGCAGTGGTGCGATCTTGGCTTACTGCAATCTCTGCCTCCTGGGTTCAAGGGATTCTCCTGCCTCAAGGCTCCCTAGTAGCTGAGATTACAGGCGCCTGCCACCACTCCTGCTAACTTTCGTATTTTTAGTAGAGATGGGGTTTCACCATGTTGGCCAGGCTGGTCTTGAACTCTTGACCTGAAGTGATCCGCCCACCTTGGCCTCCAAAGTGCTGGGATTACAGGCCTGAGCCACCGCGCCCGGCCTCAGGATGTATCTTAAACTCATTATTTTTGATGCTTGCCCTGCAGCTGAGTAAATACCTCTTTAGGATATGTGACAATTGAACTGGCTTGGATTTTGGAACATGTCCTGGCCTTGGAGCCTGCTTATGTTCATACACACTGGTTCCTTAGAAATGTAAATTTGTAAAGTCAATGTAAAACTGAAACTTCAAAAGTCAATTTTCATTGCTGCTGTTGTGCATTTCTATTATCAAATTTTATTTACAGTGATTTACGTGAGTAAAAAATGGATTACACGATTTCCTAACATCTCACTAAGTATGGGTTTGGATCTTAAGTAATTTACATTTTTCTTTTCCAAGTTGATTGTTATACTGGGCTAATGATTTCCTTCAAATTCCACTAATAAATCACAGATTCTCAGTGCTGTTATTCCATTGCTTTATTATTAAATGGCACCCTTTTCTAGTTTTTGTTTTTGCAAACCAGTGGAGTATTTAAAGTAAAATTTCAGAATCCCTTTTGGAGCTTTCGGTTGAGACCAGGCTCCTTGGAACCCTAGTGCTTTGGGAGTTCTGCTGCTGCTGCAGTACCAAAAGTAGCTTCTTTGAATTTCATTTGGGTTTTGTAGGGCTCCCCCGAGGCCCGAGAACTGGGAGAAGGGAAAGAGCTCATCGGTTTGTTTGAAGGCCGGCGGGCGGTGCAGGCAGCTTTTCCCAGACTCTCCCAGCTCCGGCTTTTCACGCATACCAGAAGAGCCGCTTTTTTCCTCCAGTGATTGAAACCATCTGGACTCCAGGGGGGTCACGTGTGTATGAGAAAATGACATAAAGTTTCAGACCCCGTTGTGCTTTGCTCCAGACCCAGACAACTCTTGGTCGGATGGTGAGGAGGTGAGGGCCGTCCAGTTTGGGGGCCAACTTCTCCTCCCTGCTGCCCCCGGCCCCCGCCTCCCTCACCCCTGTCCCCCACCCTCCCTCGCACACTCTCGGCGCGGCTTTCTCGCTGCCTCCGGCGCCTCCGAGCGCTCCCCTCCGCCGGGCTCCAGCAGCCCACCCTCTCTGTCTTGGGTGGAGGCGCACATCCTCCACGCCCCCTCCACTCAAATCTGCGCTCCCTCCCCTCTCTCTCCCTGCAGCCCGGCCGCAGCCCGGGGCGCGGATGCCTGCCCGCCGCCCGCCCTCTCTGCAGGAGCGGCTCCTCCTCCGGGCCGCGCGGCTCCCGGCGAGACCCCATCCAGGCGCCGCGCCCGGCCCGGCTGGGGAACGCAGAGGTAAGCGCCTCCGGGCCGGGTGGCCCCGGTTCCCGCGTGCGCGCCCGGTCCCGCCCCTGCCCTCCCAGCCCTTTTCCCTCTGCTCCCGACTCCCGGCCCCGGCAGCGGTGTCCAGCTCCGTGAGTACGCGCGTGGGGGCCGCCGCAGGCGCAGAGGAGCGGGGCTGGTGGGGTCCGCCCTCCCGGGCGGTCAGTAGCCGCCGGCTCTGCTTTCCGGCCCGGCGGGGGCCGCGCGGTTGGGGGTGGGGAACCTCGCGGCCAGAGTCCGGCGGTGAAGAGCTGCCTGGTGCCGAGCGGAGACCCGATCTCGGGACGTCCTGGGAGCTGGCTCTGCGCACCGCCTTGCCTCTCGGTGGCGGCATTCGAGCTCCTACCTGGAGCTGTTGCAGCTTGTATGCAGGCTCCTTGAAGAACGCGCGCGCGCGCGCGCACACACACACACACATACACACGCACAACACACACAGACACACGGAACTCAAACAAAGGAAAATTAACTTTGCATGCTATTACTGCAACAAGTTAAACTATGTTTATTTGTGGATGGTTCACTTTTTGCCCTTGTGCAGACACGCACTAAGTATTAAAGGGTCCACACTCTAGTCAACGTTTATGGCACGTTATCCAATAATTTAGTAACTGAGTAGAGTTCAAGAGACAATGTTTTCAAGTGTTTCTAAAGAGGGCTTATTGCATTTTCCTGGGATCTTTATATGAAAGTAGTTGATGATTAATATGAATAAAATAACTTCTTCATTAAGTGAGAAAATTTGCCTTAGTACAGCCTTAGTCCAGCTCTTGCTTTTATTACCAACCAGGTGTTTCTGCTGTTTGGATAGCAGGGTCTTGGGAATGGCAAAGAGGTCATTATCCCATCTGCAAGACTGTTTTCAGCTACCTCTTAGCTGCACACACTGCAACTGGCCATTTTGGGATGGGGCCACAGGGTTAAAACCCAAAGGGCTGCATTGTTTTGTTTTAATATTTTTCAGAAGGTGAATCCCTTAATTGATTTTTTTTTGCCAGAATTAGGGGTTTCTAAAAGGTTAGACGTAATCTGGGGTCCAGAAAGCTAATCCAAGATAGAGACTGAATTGTTCACAGCCTATCTCCCTTGCTGAATTAAGGACCGCACAAGGCCAGAACTCAAGAAGAGCCTGTTGAATGCATGAAGTGAAGGCTTCTTAAATTCTGCTGGTCTGGCAGAGAGTTCCTAGGTGACTAACATAGATGTAACCCTCCTTTTTATTTATCTGGCATATATTTTTTATTTAAAAAATTTTTTTCTTTTTTTTTTTCGAGACGGAGTCTCTCTCTGTCCCTGGAGTGCAGTGGCGCAATCTCGGCTCACTGCAACCCCCGCCTCCTGGGTTCAAGCAATTCTCCTGCCTCAGCCTCCCGAGTAGCTGGGATTATAGGCGCCTGCCACTACGTCTGGCTAATTTTTGTATTTTTAGTAGAGATGGGGTTCCCCATGTTGGCCAGGCTGGTCTCAAAGTCCTGATTTGAGGTGATCCACCCGCCTGGGCCTCCCAAAGTGCTGGAATTACAGGCGTGAGCCACTGGGCCCAGGCTATCTGGCAAATATTACCTTTGGAAAAACTCCCCAAGATAGGGGGAAGAAAAATTGTTCAAGTGTATGTATGGGAAATGTTATCCCCTAATTGGGCCAGAAGGGCACCCATTTTGGTAGACAACTCCAAGGCAACTCTTACCTTAAAAGTATTTTTTTACTGAACGCTTAGATTGGATTGGCTTGGTAATTAGGGAAATCCTTGGTCTTGAGTTTGTGGACTCCTTGGGGAAAGAGAAGTGACATTTGAGTGAAGGATAATTTCAGATCAATTGGCTTAGAACAGGAATGTCCAATCTTTTGGCTTCCCGGGGTCACACTGGAAGAAGAATCGCCTGGGGCCGCATGTAAAATACACTGACTCTAAGGATAGCTGATGAGCTTAAAATAAATCGCATAAAAAATCATAATATTTTTAAAAGTTTACGAATTTGTGTTGGGCCACACTCAGAGCCGTCCTGGGCGGCCCATGGGCCGCAGGTTGGACAAACTTGGCTTAGAATCTAAGAATTATAAAGCTCAAGGAGAAAATGATTCTGAGGCAGGGCGGTTTCATAGAAGAGGGGAGAGCCTTGAAGCAAAGTATGCTTCTGAAACTGGTGGAGAGTTGCTGGGGAAAGCTTTCAAGAGAATGGAGAGCAGACCATTTGGACTGGACCTAGAGAGAAAAGTAATAGCATCTGCTCTATGCCACCTGCCAGCTCTCTCTTTCATCCTTCAGTGTTGTGACATAGGTATTGTTGCTCTTGTTTTAAAGATGAGGGAATTCTTGTTTTTAAAAAGACAAGATCAAAAAGATACGTAACTGGCTTGGGATGACACAAGTGGTAAAGTGGCAGAGCTGGAATTCCAATGCCTGGCTCTCAGACTAACATGGGTGCTTTCACAGCTGCCTTCTCCAAAGAGCAGTGGGAGGTCCAGTGGAAGCCGAACTGTGGTCAGGTTGAATTCTGGCTCAAGGGCTGGAACTTTATCCTGTAGACATTGTTTAGGTTTTAAAGATTTTTGAGAAAAGGAGCTATGGGTAAAGCAGTGATTTTAGAAGATTAAGGTGACATCTATGTACAGGAATGTGACATGCTCATCACAAGTCATGTGCAAGTCATAATTCCTAATGAGGAGGTTCAAAAAGGAAATGTAGCCAGGATATCTGGGTGTTTCAATTCCTGTCTCACTTACTGTACCCTGCAGCGAGTAGCTTGGTTCACTGGGTAAAGAGCTAGTTGGAGTGACCACGGGGCTGCTCTGGATCAGAAAAGAGCTGAATCTTACCAGGCATACGCTGAAATGGAATGTGTATGTGGATCAATGCCACTGCTGGTTTGTCCTTTATGTTCCCCCATGTTTCGCAATGCTTTGGTTTTTTCTTTCATGACTACCCTGAGAGGTAGATCAATGTTGTAATTTGTTTAAAAGCTTTTCCTCGCCCTAAACATCTTAGGTAAGTTGATGTGCCTTTTCCTCTCATATTCTCTTATTTCTTAAAAATGCTGAATTTTGGCCAGGTGCTGTGGCTCACACCTGTAATCCCAGCATTTTGGGAGGCAGAGGCAGGCAGATTGCTTGAGCTCAGGAGTTGGAGACCAGCCTGGGCAACATGGTGAAACCCTGTCTCTACAAAAAATACAAAAATTAATCATGCATGTTGGCATGTGCCTGTGGTCCCAACTATTCAGGAGGCTAAGGTGGGAGGATCGATCACTTGAGCCCAGGAGGTTGAGGCTGCAGTAAGCCATGATCATGCCACTGCACTGCAGCCTGAGTGACAGAGTGAGACCCTGTCTCAAAAAAAAAAAAAAAAAAAAAAAGCTGAATTTTAAAACTTGGTACTAGTAAGGTAAAAGTGAATTTAGATTACCTTTCTTAATTATGAGAAAGATTAACATAAAATATACATTTATTTCACTTTGTGTTATGGAGGAAAAACAGGAGGCCTTTGTAGAGTTCCTGCGTGGGGATTTAGAAGGGATAGGAAAGCCAGGATTTAGAGATGTGCAAAGGTCTTCCTACCCCTCCACATTTCTTACCAGTTAATCGTATTGTTCATGTATACAGCTTATGGAGCTTATAAGGACATTGGACACCCACATTTATAGCCAGGCCCTTTGATTCTCGGCAGATAATGGGCTCAGGAAGGGCAGCAGTGGGTGGAGACATTTTACTAGAATTAGTCTGCCGCTTTGAATACAATCTGGATTTCTTGCTATTTCTTGTGCAACCTGTACGCCGTTTCCTCTGAACTTGCTAGTGCTCTGGAGACTTGGTTGTTTGGCCAAGGAATATCCCCTAGCAGGAGGGCTCACTAAGGAGGGGCAGCTTGACAGGCAGAAAAGTGATGTTTGTCAACTAAAGAAGTTTTCTTTTAATTAATGTTAGAGTCACCCATGGTTTTTTGTCAAATAAAAAATGCGAAATCAAAATATGATCTCGGTTCTCCACACCCATTTTTACCTTTAAGAGCCTCTCACACCTTGGAGAGCTTGCCTTACTGAATGGGGTTTTGATAGGTGAAATTATCACCAGGACCTCTACATGGGTCAGGATATGACTCAGTTTGGGTTTTGGACCTCTGAGGAATGTGACCCCTCTTAGTGTAGGGGATTTGGAGTACAAAAACCTGGGTTAAAGTTCCAGCTTTGCCATTTATTCAGAAGTTCCTGGAATTTGATGTTTGAGAGATCTCTGAGCTCAGTTTTCCTAGTTCTTCTAGATCAGGGTAATCCCTTAGGGCCAGATAGAGGTGGTCACACCCTGATTAGCACCTTGGTTCCTTCTCCCAGTTTGTATTTTGTGTCACCTGAAAGTCATTTTATTTTCTCTGTAGCCTCTGGTTATAGGTTATGTGGTCATTCCTCCAGAGAATGGCAAAGCTCATTGTTGGTTGGGGATCATTTGGTATGTCTTCCCGGGAGAATGCTCTTGAACCTAGTTTTGAGAGTTGGGGCCTCAAGAAGAGACTTTGGCAATGCCCTTATTTAAATGTTAGAAATGTTTGGTTGCATTTTTGATGCATTGCTTACATAGTTAATGTTTTTGTATTTGGTACTTGTCATTTTAATAATTTATTAAACAGGTGATTTAGGTTTTCTAAGATAGCTAAGAGCTTAGAAAAATAGGACTGCAGGTCGGGTGCGGTGGCTCACGCCTGTAATCCCAGCACTTTGGGAGGCCGAGGCAGGCGGATCACAAGGTCAGGAGGTCGAGACCATCCTGGCTAACACGGTGAAACCCCGTCTCTACTAAAAATACAAAAAATTAGCTGGGCGTGGTGGCGGGCACCTGTAGTCCCAGCTGCTGGGGAGGCTGAGGCAGGAGAATGGCGTGAACCCGGGAGGCGGAGGTTGCAGTGAGCCGAGATCGCGCCACTGCACTCCAGCCTGGGCGACAGAGCGAGACTCCGTCTCAAAATAAAAGAAAAAAAAAGAAAAAGAAAAATAGGGCTGCAATATCCTCTTTAAAAATAGTCTAAATTATTTTTTAGTGGGGATGGCATTTGGACAATTCCCCAGGACTGGAATATCCCTTTGATACTCAGATGTAATCTCCTAGTATGGTAGAACTTTGACTATTTTGACCTCCTCCACCTCCAAATATCCTTAAATCTTTCTGAAGAGATTTAATCTCTCTTAAAGAGATCTCACAATTTCCCTGGGAAACACTTTCTAAGGAAGGTTTCCAGATTGATGATCACAGATTATCTCCTTGTAGTTAGCTTTTCTTTTAATGTTTCCTACTTTTACTGTTTTCCTGTCCCTCTTCAATGCACACATGTTCACAGAGTGAACAAATTGTCTTTCCTGGACTCCAAAGGCAGCTACCAAATGTACAGACTGTCCCATCTGTACCCATCCTTTCCTTCCCTTCCTCTGGCTAAACAAGCTGAGCTTTCTCTGTTTTCCTTAACAAGTCTCTCTTTTTAGACCTATGATTATACTTGTTGCTTTGTGTTTTGTTTTATGCAGGAAGTTCATATCAGATATGTTGGCAATTAGAGCTTTCAAACTGGAAGGAGCCTTTTGGAGTAAAATATATATATTTTTTTCTATCAGCATAAGTAATTGTGGAATATATGTAAACTCTGGAGATGATCTTTTAAAAAAATTACCATCAAAAGAATTTTACTCAAGTCCTTTAAGGGCTTAAGAAGAATCCAGCCTTTGCGAGATTGCACTAAAAGTAACAGATTAGCCCAATTAAGGCCTATCTAGAAGTCTGGGAATCATTTGTTTAAACTGGAATTTAGGATCTCCATGCAAATATGATAGAAATAATCTGCTTAACCCTTTGTTAGTAGCATTAGAAATAAGCCCCTTTTTATGGGACTCTTAATGATAAAAGGTCATAGTAATTAGAATATGCTGGGAATTTGTCCCTGTTTGTTAATGTTTTGGAAACTCCTTTGAGTAGGCAGGGGTCACTTTGGGTGGCTTTTTTCTTTCTTTGATGTGAAGTTGGGATCTTGGATGTAAATTTAGCCAAGGACAAGTTTGAATTTAGATTTTTTAAATTTTTTCCGTCTTGTTCCATTCTTCCTTTTGGAGGCGGCTAACTAGAGTGGGGTAAAAAGTGCCTTTAATCAGAGTCAGTGTCCTGAGACTGTCAGACACTGGTCTCTGGGAAGTGCTCTGTATCACTATCATTTATATACTTTTCCTTTCTTGTGTCCTATAGTTTTTGAATATCTCCTGCGGAAAAAGCACTGGGGTGTGTACGGGCATCTGTTTATTCTCTTATTACCTTTCTTCAGTGAATATGCTTAATGTTAGGGGTTTGATGAATCAATGAGTGGATGAAGTTAAGAAATTAGATGGAGGCCAGGCCTGGTGGCTAACACCTGTAATCCCAGCACTTTGGGAGGCCAAATTGGGAGGATTGCTTGAAGCCAGGAGTTTGAGACCTGCCTGGGCAACACAGTGAGACTCTGTCCTTATGAAAAAAATACAAAAATTAGCCGAGCGTGGCGGTGCGTGTCTGTGGTCCCAGCTAAACGGTGGGCTGAGATGGGAGGATTGCTTGATCCTGGGAGGTCAAGGCTGTAGGGAGCCGAGATTGTGTCACTACACTCCAGCCTGAGCAACAGAGTGAGCCCCTGAGTGAAAATAACAACAACAACAAAAGAAATTGGATGGGAAATTAGTTTTGGATATGAGTGTTGGGTACCTCCTGATCCAAATATTGCTGTTGGGAAGCAACTGTTTTTACAACACTCTGGTCTCTGGAAGCTGAGATGACCTCTGTTAAGGCTCATCATGTGGGGATATATTTTCTAGTGAGTAAACAGGGCCTAGTCAGTTATTTTTTCTATTAGTCATGTTGGATTACATTTACTGTTGCCGGGAACTCTAGTTAGCATAATATCCCCTTGAATTAGGAAGTGCCACTCAATAGCTGTCTTTCTCCAGGACTGCCTGGAGAAGCTTTTCTTGAAAGTCTGGTCTTGCCTCTTGAGCCAGGGATGAGTGCATTCTAAGTACTTAGACCCAAAAGGCTTCTTCTACTGGGTCCAAGTCCCAGGGGAATGGAAATTCTCTTGAAAATAGTATAATTGTATGGGAGGGGAATCAAAGCTTTGTACTTTTCAGTAGTCACTCGAATCTGTACATAGATACCTGGAGATAAAGAAAACCCAACTTGCAAATGAGTATTTGGTGCTGTGGGTTAACATGGAAAAATGGCACTTAAGGTCAAAGTATATTAATTGAATCCTTCTTGTCCAGTTAATCAGCAATATCAGTTGTGAGGATTCCGTTTTGCTATTTTTCCCCCATTTGTACATTGACAGGTCACTCTTTTGAATTAGAATAGCACTCAGGACCACAGTGTTTGCATAGGAAGTGGCGTAAGAGGCAGGCCGGGCGCAGTGGCTGACGCCTGTAATCCCAGCACTTTAGGAGGCCGAGGCGAGCGGATCTCAAGGTCAGGAGATAGAGACCATCCTGGCTAATATGGTGAAACCCCTTCTCTACTAAAAATACAAAAAAATTAGCCAGGCGTGGCAGCGTGTGCCTGTAGTCCCAGCTGCTGGGGAGGCTGAGAGGTGGAGCTTGCAGTGAGCCGAGATCGTGCCACTGCACTCCAGCCTGGGTGACAGAGCAAGACTCGGTCTCAAAAAAAAAAAAAAAAAGAAAGTGGCGTTAAGAGTCATGGGGCGTGGGTAGAGGCCACTTTATATCTTGTTTCAGAGGGCCATTTAAAATTTTTTTTAATTAATTAATTTACTTACTTATTTTTAGAGACGGGGTCCCCCTATGTTGCCCAGACAGGTCTCGAACTCCCAGGCTCAAGCAATCCTCCCACTTTTGCCTCCCAAAATGGTAGGTTTAAAGATGGACCATTTTTAAAACCTCCATGAGTAGCTCAGTGATCAGAATTAGCTAGAAATAGCTCTGCCAAAAGGTATTGGCAAAATAACATCTAGCAGCCTTTGTCTATTTCAGGTTAGGTTTGTTCAAGAAAACCAATTTGGGAGCAGTATGATGTGCCCAGCTCTGTCTACATTTGAGTCGCCTACATAGTTCCCATGTATTTGTCACTATTTCTGGTCCCTGGAGGGCTGGGGTAGATCTCAGGATATGAGGCTCAGACTTGGTTGAAGCCACATCAAGAGCTGTGGTCCTGGTGGGTCAGCGTTATTTTCTGCGGCTTATCACCCAGGCTAGGCGTGTGGGAGCATGGGTGGGTAGGACAGGGAAGAAAAACAGAAGACCAGATAGTTCTGTGGAAACTGAATAAATAAGTGAAAAAGTTGGCCAGGCACTGTGGCACTCACCTGTAATCCCAGCACTCTGGGAGCCCATGGCAGGTGGATCTCTTGAGCTCAGGAGTTTGAGACCAGCCTGGGCAACATGGTAAACCCCTATCTCTACAAAAATTAGAAAAATTAGCCAGGCACAGTGGCACACACCTGTGGTCCTAGCTACTCAGGAGGCTGAGATGGGAGGATCACCTGAGGTGATCACCCGAGGTTGAGATTGCAGTGAGTCGAGACTGTGGCACTGACCTCCAGCCTGGATGACAGAGTGAGACCCTGTCTCAAAAAAAAAAAAAAAAAAAAAAAAAGAGTGAAAAAGTTAATCTTTTTCCCCTCACTGACTTGGACCTTTGTTCTGTTGGAAACCCTTATCACTTGAGGTCATTTTATTTATGTATTTATTTTTAAATGTTTCATTATTATTATATTTTAAAAATATGTATTTTTTATTTCAATAGCTTTTGTGGTACAAGTGGTTTTTGATTATATGGATGAATTGTGTCTGAAATTTTAGTGTGCCAGTCACCTGAGTAGTGTACATGGTACCCAATATGTAGTCTTTGTAACCCTTCATCTCCCCTCCCTCCCTCCCTTCCTCCCCCTTCTGTGTCTCCATAATCCATTATACCACTCGATATGCCTTTGCATACCCATAGCTTAGCTCCCACCTATAAGTGAGAACATACAGTATTTGGTTTTGCATTCCTGTGTTACTTCACTTAGAATAATGGCCTCCAGCTCCATCCAAGTTGCTGCAAAAGACATTATTTCATTCTTTTTTTATGGCTGAGTAGTATTCCATGGTGTATACATACCACATTTTTTAATCACTCATTGGTTGATGGGCACTTAGGTTGGTTCCGTATCTTTACTGTTGTGAATTGTGCTGCGATAAACATATTTGTGCAAGTATCTTTTTGATATAATGACTCATCCTTTGAGTAGATACCCAGTAGTGCAATTGCTGGATTGAATGGTAGATCTATTTTTAGTTATTTGAGAAATCTCCATACTGTTTTCCATAGAGGTTGTACTAATTTATATTCCCACCAGCAGTGTATAAGCATTTGCTTTTCACCACATCCATGTCAAGATCTATTGTTTTTTGACTTTTTAGTAATGGCTAGTCTGGCTGGAGTAAGGTAGAGTATTTCATTGTGGTTTTAATTTGCATCTCCCTGATGATTTGTTATGTTGAGCATTTTTTTCATATATTTCGTGGCTATTTGTATATCTTCTTTTCAGAAATGTTTATTCATATCATTTGCTCGGTTTTTGATGGGAGTGTTTTTTTCTTGCTGAATTATTTGAGTTCCTTGCAGATTCTAGGTATTTGTTGTTTGTCAGATGCATAATTTGCAAATATTTTCTCCCATTCTGCGGGTTGTCTGTTTAATGGTTATTTCTTTTGCTGTGCAGAAGCCTTTTAGTTTAATTAGTTCCCATTTATTTATTTATTTTTGTTGTTACATTCGCTTTTGGGGTCTTAGTCATAAATTCTTTGTCTCACCCAATGTCCAGAAGAGTTTTTCCTAAGTTTTCTTTTAGAATTTTTATGGTTTCATGTCTTAGATCTAAATCTTTGATCCATCTCGAGTTAATTTTTGTATATGGTGAGTGATAGGGATCCAGTTTCATTCTTCTGCGTGTGGCTAGCCAGTTTTCCCAGCACCATTTATTGAATAGGGTATCTTTTCCCAGTTTATGTTTTTGTTTGCTTTGTTGAAGGTTAGTTGGTTGTAAGTATTTGGCTTATTTCTGGGTTCTCTATTCTGTTTCACTGGTCTGTGTATCTACATTTATACCAGTACCATTGCTGTTTTGTTACTATAGCCTTGCAGTATAAGTCAGGTAACGTGATGTCTACAGATTTCTTCTTTTTGCTCAGGATTGCTTTGGCTATTTGGGCTCCTTTTTGGTTCCATATGAATTTTAGAATTGTTTTTTCTAATATTTTCGAAAATGATGTTAGTATTTGGATAGGAATTGCATTGAATCTGTAGATTGCTTTGGGTAGTATGCTCATTTTCATGATATTGATTCTTTGATTTCATGAGCATGGGGTGTATTTCTATTTGTTTGTGTCACCTGTGGTTTCTTTCAGCAGCGTTTTGTAGTTCTCCTTGTAGTGCTCTTTCACCTTCTTAGTTAAGTATATTACTAGGTATTTTATTTGTTTTTGAAGGTATTAAAAAGGATTGAGTTATTGATTTGATTCTCATCTTGGTGGTTGTTGGTATATAGCAGTGCTACTGATTTGTGTACGTTGATTTTGTAACCTGAGACTTTACTGAATTTATCAAATCTAGGAGTCTTTTGGAGGATCTAGGCATCTTTTAGGGTTTTCTAAGTGTACAATCATATCATTAGCAAACAGAGATAGTTTGACTTCCTGTTTTCCAATTTGGATGCCCTTTATTTCTTTCTCTTGCTTGATTGTTCTGGCTAGGACTTCCTAAGGTCATTTTATAAATATTCATAGTAACTAGTTGAAGGCACTGAGATTCCTGTACCTTGGCGGGAAGAACCCTGCTGGATGATTCTCTAGGTGTTTATTTGGGTTATGCCCATTTTCTTTCCCTCTTTTCTTCCTAAGTTTTGATGCTCCTGTTTTTCTGGGAATATTTTGGCTTCATTGTTTAGGCTTTTTTAAGGGCCATGGGGAATTCTGGGGACAGGGGCAGGTGTGACATGTTGCTAGGTATGGGAGGTTTTTACAGCTTGAGAAATTTCCAGGAAAGAAGAGACAGAAAACTTTGTTCACAAAGCATGTGGACAGGAAGTCAGGTGGGAAAATGGCATGGCAGATGGTGTAACTTCTTTGGTCAGCATGCCTGTCTCTGCCAAGATGGGACTGATAGGGTAGTGGGGGTAGTGGGGCAGTGCTGAGGATATAACTTATAATTCACATTATTCCTTGAAGAGAAGATGGTTCTTTGTTTTAAAAGGAAGTATAGTGCCTTACATTGATTTCTTTGAAATATACATGATATAATCCATGAATGAGTATTTGCAAAACACGTGGCCGGGCGCGGTGGCTCACGCCTGTAATCCCAGCACTTTGGGAGGCCGAGGCGGGTGGATCACGAGGTCAGGAGATTGAGACCATCCTGGCTAACATGGTGAAACCCCGTCTCTACTAAAAAATACAAAAAATTAGCCGGGCGCGATGGCGGGCGCCTGTAGTCCCAGCTACTCGGGAGGCTGAGGCAGGAGAATGGCGTGAACCCGGGAGGCGGAGCTTGCAGTGAGCCGAGATCGCGCCACTGCACTCCAGCCTGGGCGAGAGAGGGAGACTCTGTCTCAAAAAAACAAACAAACAAACAAACAAACAAAAAAACACGTTAGTGTTTATCTAACCCTATGCCAAGCCTGGTAGTAGATATACAATACAACTGAGGGAAAGTGATAACCTGAACTTAGAACATATAATTGTTACCTAAAGAATGATATAAAGCAGTACATCATCAAGCTCTAAATTTTGAGTTATTGATACATACAGGGGGTTTGGAGCCCCAGACAAGGTTTAGGACGTGCAGGCTTATGGCAAATCTTGGGCCAAATGGAGGCCTTTGGAGCTTTTGGAGCGCCCAAGGGCTCAGTCTTCAGCCTGTTTCTTGTCTCTGTCTTCACTTTTCTTAGGTGATTCCCTGGCTTTGAAGTACTAGCATTTATGGAATGTTTACTGGCTGCCAGAGGCTGTTGTAAGGGTTTTATGTGCACTAATCTAGCCTTCCAGACAACCTTATAATATAGGTATTTTTATTATCCTTGCTTAAAGGTGTAGAAACTGAGACAAGAGATGGACTTTCTTGAGCTCACACAGCTTATAAGCTGGAGAGCCAGGAAATGACCTAGTTTGGGTGACCAGCCAAGCCCTCGACTGGTTCAGAATAGCCATCCTCAGCTGGTCCTGGCTCCTCTGCTCCTGTCTTTGCAGTCTCTTCTCCACATAGCAATGAGAATATATATATTTTTTACCCTCATATGGAATGCTATCACACTTAGAAGTACAATGCACATTTACTACCAAGTTCTTGTGTGGTCTAAGCCCCAGCTCTCCCATCTGCTCCTGCCTTCCTCCCATCTCTTCTGTCTCATGGCCTTTGCCTGCTCCTAGGATGCTCTTCTCCTTGAATATTGCTGGTTTGTCACCCAGTTCATTTGAGTGTGGGCTCGAGTGTGCCACCTCAGGGAGGCCTTCTCTGCCCATCCTATGTAAAACTGCTCCGAGTCACTCTTTAATCCCCTCCTTTCTTTTTCTTCCTAAAATTATATTACATATTTCTGTGTTTTTCCTGTCTGCTTTCCCAAATAAATAAACTCCATGAAGTTAGGGACTTGATCCATTTGTTTACTGATATCTTTACTTTTTAGAATAGGACATGGAAGGTTTTCTTTAAATATTTGTTAAATAAATGACTAAATGGTATCTTTTGCATTCATTTGCTGTTCATGACTTCACTTGGGTAAAAATAGTGGAGAGGAAAGGGAGGTACAGGTGATAACTACAGCCTGGGTCCTAACTGGTTTTATGTTTATTACCAAGGCTTTGCTATCATAACATGGCCAAGAAAATGCTCAGAAATCTTGGTTGAATGAATGCACTGTGTAATTTGTTCTGGATTCCACACAGAGGGGACAGAATAGTGTGGGCTGAAGTGCTCAGAGAAATTTCTTGGAGGACCTGCAGACTTTGAAGGAGAGATTGGATTTGGTCGAGCATATAGGAATCGAAGAATACTTTTTTTTAAAGGTGGAAGGGCTATAGGGTGAACTAGTCCAATCTTTCTGTTTATAGACAGGAAACTGAGCCCAGAGAGGTGTAGGACCTGCCCAAAGGCACACAACCAGTTGATGTCAGAACCACGTCTGGCATCCAGGTGTTTTGACTCCTAATTTAGTTCCCTTTCTTCTACACAGTGCTGCCTTCAGAATCCAGGAGGACTCTGGGGGTTGGGGAGTAACCAGGGGCAGCATGAGCAAAGGCCCAGAGGCAGAAAAGATGTTGGCTTGTATGGGCTGGAAATAGGTGGTCTATTGGAATCAGCAGGTTTATAAAGGAGCCCATCGGAGACAGACCAGGCTGAATCAGATCCTCTGGGATCTTGAATGTCATCTTGAAGACTTTGAGTTTGGAATGAGTGGGAGGCATGTGAAAATGCTTTGACTATTGTTCTGTCTTTCTCTACAGGGATGGTGACAGAATGGATAGTATAGAAAATGGATTGGAATTGAGGAGGAAACTAGAAGCTAAGAGGAGTTAGGAGGCCCTTGTAACAATCCAGGTATTATTGCTAAGGGCCTAGTATCATTTTAGTTATTTCTGTTTCTGTTTTTAGAGATTTGTGGTGGTTTTTGGAGAAGATGACATGAAATTATCAGGCAATATGTGTATACTCAGCTTTCTAATAGAGTTTGGGGATAAGAAGGAGGAGACCTGGTATTTTGCCTTAATTCTGTATGCGGCTATAAATGACATTTTAGTATCCAGATGATAATTCTTCTAAGAAACCTGGGCCAGGTTAGGACAGGAGGGATACAAGATAACATTATACTGATGTGAAAATAGTGATGGGGCTAAGTGCAGTGGCTCATACCTGTAATCCCAGTGCTTTGGCAGACTGAGGCAGGAGAATTGCTTGAGCCCAGGAGTTCTAGACCAGCCTGGGTGACATGGTGAGACCCTGTCTCTGCAAAAAGTAAAAAATTAGCTGGGCATGGTGGCACACATCTGTAGTCCTAGCTACTCGGGAGGCTGAGGTGGGAGGATTGCTTGAGACCAGGAGTTCAAGGCTGCAGGGAGCCATTATTGCACCACTGCACTCTAGCCTGGGTGACAGTCAAGACCTGTCTGAAGAAAGAAAAAAAAAAAAAAGAAAATAGTGATAGAGTGAGGAGAGACTGAAGGAACAGACGGAAATGAATGGGAGCAGCTGCCCAGAGAGGGCCTGGGCCTGCCTTTCCATCAGGGGAGCTGCCCAATATAGTGGTTGGGGAGTCAGGCATCCAGGGACTTCCAACCAACCTTGCACATTTTTTTTTGGACACGTGTGACCAGTGGAAGTAAAACCTGTCTCCTGGGCCCACAAATGCTTTGGACGGATAAGTTGTGCTCAAGCCTAGGCCCATTCAGGTAGTCCACATATGTTTTCAACCAGAGCTGATGAGAACAGATTGATACAGCCTGTACCAGGCCAGTGAATTGGCAGTGTATGATACTTTAAAAATTTTTCCATACCCAGAAATCTTTTTCCATCTCTAACAAAACACTTTGAAAGTCAGCATAAAAGTGAGAACACAGACTTTTAAATAATATCTTCTACTGGATCTGAAAGTTTTGGATGCAAGAAAAAAATCCTGGATCATTTAACATTCAATGGATATTTATTGAGGAGCACTTCTTAAACACCAGATACTGTGCTGGGTACTAGAGCTTCAGTCTTTTGATCATATTGCATCAAATGTTATTAATGGAACATTAACATTTGATTCTATTTCATGTTAAGCTCTTTTAGCCCCAAACGTTATACAGCTTGGTCCATAAACCTTCAGTTGGTTCAGCCTGTTCACTTATGTTTGTGTTCAGTTGTTGAATGTTTATGTGTAACAGGCAACATATGTTGGGTGCTCAGACAGTTTTGAAGATGAACAAGAATTGGAGAGAGTTCTCCAATTCTCTAGCTGGTTGACTGGAATTTACCAGGTAGATCTGGCAGCTGTCTAGTTTGCTGGGATTCCTCCCAGAGGAGAGTATAGTCAGCAGCAATGTATCCCCTTTCCTTATTCTGTTTGGATTGGGCCCTTCCCTTTGCCCTTTACACCTTCTCCCTAATCCCTGTCTTTAAATTTGAGACAAACGAAAATTAGCTCCTTTGTATTAAGTTTGGGCAGCTCCATCAGGACAGCACTTCCCTGATGATGCCCTAAAGTTAGAAACCCTTCCAGGAGAATCTCTGTTGCCATGTAATCCCAAAGAAGAGCCTTCTCGGCGTGCTGTTTCCTCCTTCCTATGAAAGTTGCTTTTGCCTACTGTGTGGATACAGGGTGCACAGCACTTGGTATTTCTCGGGCTCTTTGCATCTGCCTGCTCCGTTGGCTCACTGTGGGGATGCTGGCAGGGGCTTGGTGTCTTGTTTTCTTAGAATGAATGATGCAGATGAGCAGCCTCTCTAGATGATGGGAAAATTTAGCATGATCCATCATGATCCATCAGGCTAAATTTTCCCGTCATCTAGAGAGGCTGCTGCTCAGAATAAAAGAGAGGAACATAAGATGGGCGCCCAAGAGGAGTGCTTTATTGAGCCTTTAGATTGCCAGCCTGAGCGAGATAGTCTTCCCCTCCTTGCTTGGCATCTGGAGCCAGCTTGTACACTACACGTTTGAGGTTTGCTGTTCTCTTCTTTTCTTTTCTCTCTTCTCTACTCTTCCCTCCCCCTCCCTTCCCTTTTCTTTTCTTTTTTCTTTTCTTTCTTTTTCTTCTTTTGAGACAGAGTCTCCCTCTGTTGCCCAGGCTGGAATGCAGTGGTGTGAACACAGCTCACTGTAGCCTTGACCTTCTGGGCTCAAGTGATCTTTTCCACCTCAGCCTCTTGAGTAGCTAGGACCACTATGTGGGCCACTATGCCTGGCTAATTTTTTCAAAAAAATTTTTTTGTAGAGAAGCCGAGGCAGGCGGATCACTTGAGGCCAGGAGTTTGAGACTAGTCTGACCAACATGGCAAAACCCATCTCTACTAAAAATACAAAAATTAGCTGGGCGTGGTGGCACAGGCCTGTAATCCCAGCTACCCAGGAGGCTAAGGCATGAGAATCGGTTGAACCTGGGTGGAAGAGGTTGCAGTGAGTCGAGATCATGCCTTTGCACTCCAGCCTGGGTGGCAGAGTGAGACTCTGTCTGGAAAAAGAAAAATAATTTATAGAGATAGAGTCTTGTCATGTTACCCAGGCTGGTCTTGAACTCCTGGGCTCAAGTGATCCTCCCACCTTGCCCTCTCAAAGTGTTGGAATTACAGGCATGAGCCATCATACCCAGTGGCTGCTGCTTTTTTTGTGTCTGTGAGCTCCTTTAATAGAAAACTACAGAATAGAAATTATTTCCAACTTTCAACTTTAAATTGGTTCTTTTAGGCCAGGCACTGTGGCTCATGTCTGTAATCTCAACACTTTGGGAGGCCGACGCAGGTGGATCACTTGAGGTCAGGAGTTTGAGATCAGCCTGGCCAACATGGTGAAACCCTGTCTCTAGTGAAAATACAAAAATTAGCTGGTCGTGGTGGTGCACGCCTGTAATCTCAGCTACTTGGGAGGCTGAGGCAGGAGAATTGCTTGAACCCAGGAGGTGGAGGTTGCAGTGAGCTGAGATTGTGCTGTTGCACTCTAGCCTGGGTAACAGAGCAAGACCCTGTCTCAAATAAATAAATAAATACATAAATAAATAGGTTCTTTTAAAAATGTAATATATGGCCAGACATGGTGGTTCACACCTGTAATCCCAGCACTTTGGGAGGCCAAGGCAGGAGGATTGCTTGAGGCCAGGACTTCAATACCAGCCTAGGCAACAAAGTGAGATCCTGTCTCTACAAAAAAAAAAAAAAAAAAAAAAAAAAAAAAATTAACTGGGGCATGGTGGCATTCACCTGTAATCCCAGCACTTTAGGAGGCTGAGGGGGGAGGATTGCTTGAGCCCAGGAGTTCAAGGCTGCAGTGAGCTGTGATTGTGCCATTGCACTTGAGCCTGAGCGACAGAGTGAGACCTTGTCTCTAAAAAAAAAAATTAAAAATATAGTGTTTGCTTTGCAGTACATTCTAAAAAAATAAAAACCTCACTTTCCCAACACCCAGAGAAAAATCTTAGTCCTCTCCTTTCTAGGTCTTTCTCTACGCATACAGATGTACATATTTATATTCTTTTTCTACCAAAGTAAGATTATACTATATATACTGTTTTTTATTCTATCTTATTTTTCAATTACGTTCACTTTTCTAATTCAGTAACTTTTTATTTTAACTAATACTCAGACCATATTCAGATTTCCCCATAGTCTTAGTCCATTCAGGATGCTATAACAAAATACTTTAGGCCAGGTAATTTGTGAACAACAAAAATGTATTGCTCACAGTTCTGGAACCTGGAAAGCCCAAGATTTGGTGTTTGGAGAGGGCCTGCTCTTCATAGGTAGGACCTTCTGGCTGTGTCCTCACTTGGCAGCGGAGGCTAACAGGCTCCCTCAAGCGTCTTTCTTTTCTTTTCTTTTTGTTTTTTGAGATGGAGTTTTGTGCTCTTGTCGCCCAGGCTGTAGTGCAATGGTGCGATCTCAGCTCACTGCAACCTCCACCTCCCGAGTTCAAGAGATTCTCCTGCCTCAGCCTCCCGAGTAGCTGGGATTACAGGTGTGTGCCACCACGCCCGGCTAATTTTTGTATTTTTAGTAGGGACGGGGTTTACCATGTTGGCCAGGCCGGTCTCGAACTTCTGACCTCAGGTGATCCACCCGCCTCATCCTCCCTAAGTGCTGGGATTACAGGCGTGAGCCACCGCGCCTGGCCGAAGCTTCTTTCATAAAGACAGCAATCTTGCTTATGAGGACAGAGCCCTGGTGATCTAATCACCTCCCAAAGGCCCCACCTCTTAATACCATCACCTTGGGGTTAGATTTTCACATGAATTTTAATCACGAAGTTTAATTAGCAGTCACACTCATAAAAGCTTATCAGGCCCACCTCCCAAATGTGTCATGAATCGTCCTTCTCCTTACTGTCTTGCTGCCTCCAATCCAGCCAAAGTCTTGACCCTCTTTTGCCAGAATGCAGCTTTCATTTCTCAGAGTGCTGCCTCAGGGTGTTCAGTCTTCTAGGCTGCTGAACAAATGAGCTTTCTAGAATAGTTTAATTGTGATACTTCTTTGCTAAAAGCTCTTTGCTTTCTTATTGAGGAGTAACACAGTAAAGTACGCAAATTTTAAATGTATAGCTTAATGGATTTCAACGTTTGCATACATTGTTATAACTACCACTCCGATCAAGATGTGGAGCATTTCTGGCATCTCAGAAGGTCACCTGATGCCTCTTCCCAGACAGTATCCACATTCCTATCCCAATTACTCTTCTGTTATCATTTGTTTTTTCTTTTCTCTTATTTACTTGTTTATTTACTATTTTTGTAAAGACAAAGTCTTGCTATGTTTCCCAGGCTGGTCTCAATCTCTTGGTCTCAAGCCATCTTCCTGTGCCTTGGCCTCCCAAAGTGTTGGGATTATAGGCCACTGAACCTGGCCTGTTTTACCTTTTTTTGATCCCCATATTAATGAACCACGAAAGCTCTTTATTGATTCTTCTTTGACAGGATAATTCCACCCTTTAATGTGACATTCAGAAGTCTTTGTGATCTGGCTTTTACTTCAGTCCTCCACTTGCACCCTGCCCTTCTGCCACGCCGAAATTGCATGTAGCTTGTCAACATAGTAGGCGCTTTCATTTTTTGCACTTGATAGTCTCTTGCCCTCCTCACTTTATTCTTTGGCAAATTCATCCTTCAAAACTCAGCTCCAGGCAGAATCAAGGCCTTCTCTGCTCTCCAGAAGCAACAACTGTTATAGGGAGTTGCTTTTATACCTATAACGTTTTTCTCCTCTACTGGTGGCTTTGGGCTTTCAGGAGCCCAGGGATAATGGGGCATTTCCCCCCTAATTAGTTAGTTGAATTTCATACAAGTAATTCATGGTCTTTCTAGAAAAATTGGAAAATAGGAAAAAGATCACCCACAATCCTACTACACAGAGATAATTAGTGTTTATATATATACCAAAATATATATGAATACTTTAAAACGAATTAAAAAATATTCACAAAATACTAAATATTTGATCTACTTTAATCTCCTGTTATTGTTTAGTTTGTCCCCCCCTATGTATTTAAACTATTACAGAAATGCTATGGTGAATATCCTTATACCCATATTTTAGTGCAGTTCCTTGATTATTTTGGGGATTCCTAGAAGTAAAAGGGATGAACATTTTTAAGGACTTTTGATGTGCTTAGCCAAATTGCCCTCCAGAAAGTCTTTAACCTGTGTACACTGTACACTTCTACTAGCGTGAGCGAGAGTGCCTGTTTCCAGCCATTCTTGCCAAACTAAAAAGAATGAAGATAATCGGTATTTGCAAATCTGATAAGATAAAAATGGTATTGCATTTCTGTTTTAATTTCCATTTCTTGGATTGCTATGGAGCTTGAATATTTTCTCATATATTTAATGGCCGTTTAATTTCTATTTCTTTTATGATTTACATGTTTTTGTTATTTTATTTTTAAATTGACAAATAATTGTATATATTTATGATGTACAATGTGCTGTTTTGATTTATATATATATATATTTAGAATGACTAAGTCATGCTCATTAACATACATTACCTTACATACCTATGTTTTTTTGAGGGTGAGAACAGTTAAAATCTACACTATTAGTAATTTTCAAGTATGTGATGTATTGTTATTAACTATAGTTGCCATGATGTGCAGTAGATCTCTTGAACTTATTTATTCCTCCTATCTCTCTGAAATTTTGTGTTCTTTGACCAACATCACCCCAATCCCTTCATCCCCTAGCCTCTGGTAAAATGGTTATTTTACCCTCTGTTTCTATGAGTTCAACTTTTCTAGATTCGGCATATAAGTGAGATCATGTGGTGTTTCTCTTTCTGTGCCTGGCTTGTTTCATTTAACATAGTGTCCTCAGGTTCATCCATGTTGTAGGAAGTGACAAGATTTCCTTCTTTTTTTATAGCTGAATAGTATTCCATTGTGTGTATATAAACCACATTTTCTTTTTTTATTTATCTGTTGATAGACACTCAGGTTGACTCCATATCTTGGCTATTATGAATAATGCTGCAATGAACATGGAAGTGCAGATAGCTCTTTGACATACTGATTTCATATCCTTTGGATATATGCTCAGTAGTGAGATTGCTGGATCATATGATAGTTCTATTTTTAATTTGTTGAGAAATCTCCATGCTGTTTTCCAGAATGGCTGTACCACTTTATATTCCCGTCAACCTCCACATCCTCTCCAACACTTATTATCTTTTGTCGTTTTGGTGGTAGCCATTCTAATAGGTGTGAGGTGTTATCTCGGTGTAGTTTTAATTTGCATTTCCCTGATGATTAGTGATGTTGAACATTTTTTCATATACCTGTTGGCCATTTGTATATCTTCTTCTGAAAAACGTCTGTTCAGGTCCTTTGCCCATTTTTAAATAAGTTGTTTTCTTACTATTGTGTTGATTCCTTATATATTTTGGGTATTAACCCCTTATCAGATCAAGCAGTTTTATATTTTATTTAATGCATTTTACCAACTTTTAAAATATTAAGAACAACTCATATATACTACATATGTTTTTCACAGTTTGTCTTTTAACTTTGTTTTCCACATACAAAAATTTTTAGTAATTTAATGTGAAATTTATCAGTTTTTGTGTGTGTGTGTGTGACTGGGTATCCCTCTGTCCTCCAAGCCAGAGTGAGGTGGCACGATCACAGCTCACTGCAGCCTTGACCTCCTTGGCTCAAGTGATCCTCCCACCTCAGCCTCCTGAGTAGCTGGGATTATGGGCATGTACCACCACACCTGGCTAATTTTTGTATTTTTTCTAGAGACGGGGTTTCACCTTGTTGCCCAGGCTGGTCTTGAACTCCTGGGCTCAAGTGATCCACCTGCCTTGGCCTCCCAAAGTGTTGGAATTACAGGCATGAACCACAGCACCCAGCCTTATTGGTCTTTTCTTTTCTTTTTTTTTTTGAGATGGAGACTCCCTCTGTCACCCAGGCTGGAGTACAGTGGGGCGATCTCAGCTCACTGCAACCTCTGCCTCTTGGATTCAAGCAATTCTCCTGCCTCAGCCGCCTGAGTAGCTGGGATTACAGGTGCCTGCCACCACACCTGGCTAATTTTTGTATCTTTAGTAGTGATGGAGTTTCACCATGTGGCCAGACTGGTTTCAAACTCCTGACCTCAAGTGATCTGCCCACCTTGGCCTCCCAAAGTGCTGGGATTACAGATATGAGCCACCATGCCTGGCCTTATCAGTCTCTTCAGTCTTTCTGTCTGTTTTTTTTTTTTTTTTTTTTTTTGAGACAGTCTAGCTCTGTCGCCCAGGCTGGAATGCAATGGTGTGATCTCGGCTCATGGCAACCTCCACCTCCCAGGTTCAGGTGATTCTCATGCCTCAGCCTCCTGAGTAGCTGGGATTACAGCCATCTGCCACCACACCTGGCAAATTTTTGTGTTTTTAGTAGAGACGGGGTTTCACCACGTTGGTCAGGCTGGTGTTGAACTCCTTACCTCAGGCTATCCACCCACCTTGGCCTCCCAAAGTGCTGGGATTACAGGTGTGAGCCACCGCGCCCGGCCTGTAGTATTCTCTTCACCTTTGTATCCCTAGTGCTTAGCAGTGACTGTCTTATTTTAAGTGTTCAGTGAATATTTGCAGAATGGTGCAACCCTTGGGGGTCCATGGGTAGAATTTGAAGGGTCTGCAACTTGGATAGGAAAAAAAAAATTACATCATTTTCATCCACCCCGATTGAAATTTAGTATTTCTTTTTTATTATGAATATAGGCAATAAAACAGCAGTAATGGCAGTACCTGTGATTTAGCCACCCATAGAAATCATGGATATTTCCCTGGATAAACCCTGGGTTAAGAATCTGCTTTACTGTTTTTTTTTTCTTGAGGCCATTTTATTTTTGTGTCAAATACCTAAGCAATACCTGGTACTCAGTAGATACCCAATAAATATTAATTTAAAAAACTTCTTATTTCAAAATATGCACAAAAGTCAGGAGAACTGATTCAGTATCTTGGCTATTATGAATAATGATAGCCATTGTTCCCATCTGTATAATGAACTCCATATATTCTTAATCTGCTTCAAATATTATTAACATTTTGCCAATTTTATCTTTCTCCTCCATTCCTGGACATTATGTTATTTACCCAATAATATTTCGGGAAGCATATTTGATAAGAACTTTAAAAATCTATAACCACTCTCTCACATTTAACCAAACTAACAATAATTCCTTAATATCATCTGTTATTCAGGTCATATTTAAATGTCCTCAGTTGTCTCAATGTTGTCTGGTATTTAAATGCTGGGCATGGTGGCACGTGCCTGCAGTCCTATTTTATTAATAATGTGTTTTTGACAATTGCTCTTTCCCTATTTAACATTTTATTATTATTTTTAATGGGAAATTATTGATTTGGGTTCTTTGGTCTTATTTGTAAAACTTAAAACATTTAAGTCTCATTTACAGTTGTTCTTGGACATAATTTAAAGTGAAGTGTGTGATGGGTAAATTTCTTCAGGTATGATCAAAGCTCTAAGAGATATTTCTTTTTCACTTGCTCAAAGAGTCTACTCACCTTGTTACACTGGAGGTAAAAATACTTTCTCTGAGAGTTTTATATGCATCTCTGGACTTTAATTGTATCCTTTGCAAAATTGGAAGAAATTTGGATTTGGGTCTTCTCAGCCTGCTGAGTTTTTTCTTTTTCTTATGCTTAAAAATATGAGAATGTCATAGTGGTAGTCTCTGGTTGATGATTTTGTACATCTTTTGTACTCAGAGCAAATCCTTCTGTTGTTTTTAGATAGCATTTTTTTCTATTAAACTTTATAGATTTGAGGCCATTTGTTCAAAGACTTTGATCATTTGCGGGATAGTTCTCTGAGCTGC